>NC_000005.10:63234807-63859807 GCF_000001405.40 Homo sapiens
TATAATGCTCTTCCTTCCAAGCTCCATAAATCCTACCTTTCTTTCAAGCCCCAGCTTGAAAATTCCACTTTTCCATCAAGGTGTATAGCCAGACCACCTTGATGTTCCTCTTCTTAGCTGCTCAGAGAAGCCAAAGTCTGGGAGCAGTCAGTTTTGGCTGGGGAGGCTGTTGATGGCATAATGAGGGTTCTCTGCATATTTCACTTGGGGTTGCAATGCAGGACACAATGATACAGCATGAGAATATTTCTTCCTGAGGTAGGATCATTATCAAGATTTTTAAAAAGTTTTTAATTTTTATATTTCAATAGGTTTTTGGAGAATAGGTGGTGTTTATTTACGTGAATAAGTTCTTTAGTGGTGATTTCTGAGATTGTGGTGCACCCATCACCCGAACAGTGTACCCGACCCTTTTCCCCAAGCCCCCAAAGTCCAAAGCATCATTCTTATGCCTTGGCGTCCTCACAGCTTAGCTCCCACATATGAGTGAGAACATACGATGTTTGGTTTTCCATTCCTGAGTTACTTCACTTAGAATGACAGTCTCTAATTTCATCCAGGTCACCGTGAATGCCATTATTTCATTCTTTTCTATGGCTGGCTGACTAGTATTCAATGGTGTGTGTGTGTGTGTGTGTGTGTGTGTGTGTGTGTATATATATATATACACACATATATACATACATACACGTGTGTGTGTGTGTGTGTGTGTATATATATATATATACACCACATTTTCTTTATTCAGTTGTTAATTGATGGGCATTTGGGCTGGTTTCATATTTTTGCAATTGCAATTTATTTTTGAGGTTCATTCATGTGGCAGTGCAGTTAATTTTAATTGTGAGTAGTACTCTATGGAATGGATAAATCACATTTTGTTTGTCCACTCACCAGTTGATGAATAATTATATTTTTCCAGTATTGGGCTATTAATGCTGCAGTAAACATTTGTGTATATTATTTGTGTGGACATATGTTTTCACTTCTTTTGGGTATATACCTAGGCCTGGAATTGCTAGGTTGTATGGGGATCGCTTCAGAGTCTGTCTGCCATATCACCAAACTGTTTTCCAATGTGTTGTAACATTTGACATTACTACAAACAAAACACGAGGGTCCCAGTTTCTCCTCATTCTCAATAACATGTTATAGGATTTTTTTTTGAATAAAGCCATTCTAGTGGGTATAAAGTGGTATCTCATTTTACTTTAATTTGCATTTCCTTAATAACTTGTACTGTTGGCCATCTTTCATGCACTTATTAGCCAGGAGGATATCTTCTTTAGTGAAATATCTATTCAAGTCTTGTCTCATTTTTTTAATTGGGTGGCTTGTCTCCTAATTATTTAGTTATAAGGGTTCTTTGTATATTCTGGATACAAGTTCTTTAATGCATATGTAATTTGCAAATATTTTTTCCAGTTCTGGGTTTATTCATTTTCCTAATAATATATTTTGAAGTCCAAAAGTTTTCAATTTTGATGACATTCATTTATCTATATTCTCTTGTATAAATCATGCTCTGTTGTCACGTTTAACTCTTTGCCTAATAACAAGTTCTCCATGATTTTCCCTGATGCTTTCTTATAATAGTTTGATAGTTTTAGCTCTTACATTTAGGTTTATAAGTCATTTTGAGTTATGTTTGTGTATGGGGAAAACTAAGGGTCTAAATTCATCCATAATACTAACAATTTGTGCCTTCACTCTTTTTCTTGGTCAGTTTTTGTTAATTTTGCTCTTTTTTTATTGACTTCACAATCAATAAAACCAATATTCTTTGGAAAAGAAATCTAATGTTTTCTTATATCTATTTAATCTACTTGGTCTCTAACCTTTATTGCTTTCCCTTTTCTGTTTGCTTTTTGTTTTGTTTTATTCTTTTTGTAGTTTCTAATGGTGGAATCGTAGGTTATTGACTTCTGATTGTTCTACTTTTCTAAGATAGGGTTTTAAAGCCATAGACTTCTCACTGAGCATTGCTTTGTGGTGTCCTGCAAATTTTTATCTGTTGTTTTCATTTTTATTTAATTAACAATTGTGTTACTTGTAATTTCTTCTTCAGCCTATGTGTTATTTAGAATTGTATTATTTAATTTGCAAATATTTGGAACTTTCCTCATTTTGTCCTATTGTTTAATTATAATTTAATTCTGTTGTGATTGGAGAATTTACATTGTAAATCATTTTGCATTGGGACTTGTATTATGGACTAGCATGTAGTTTATCCTGGAGAAAATTTTATATTCACTTGAAAAGACTGTGTTTTTGCTCTTATTTGTGAAGTGTTCTATAGATTTCAGTCAGGTCAAGTGGGCTGATGGTGTTAATTAAGCCTTCTTTATTCTTGTTGATTTTCTGTTTTGTTGTTACATCAATTATTGAAACTAAGGTATTAATGTCTTCAGCTGTTATTGTTGAATTACCGTTTTTTTTCTCTCAATTATGGCAATTTTGTTTAATCTATTTTGGGCTTCCTTTATAGATACATATGTGGTAATATTATTATATTTCCCCAATTAAATAACACTTTATCACTATGGAATGTTCCTCTTTGTCTCTAGTATTTTTTTGAAATTGAAAGATTATTTTATCTGATATTAGTATAGCCATTCAAATTTTTTTATGGTTATAGTTTGTGGGGTATAACTTTTCCCATCCTTTTACTTTCAATCTATTTTATAAAAGGCAATGTAATTTAATAATAAAAATATTCAATAAACTAGGAATAGAAGAACTTCCTCAACCAGCTACAGAATATCTACAAAATCCCCCACAGCAAACATCATACTTAATAATGGAACAGTGGATGTTTTCCCCTAAGACCAGCAAAAATATTGGCCACTCTCACCACTTCTATTCAGTATTGTGCTGGAGGGTCTAGCCAGGGCAATTAGGTAAGAAAAAAATTTAAAAAGACACTGAGACTGGAAAGTAAGAAGTAAAACTATCTCTATTTGCAGATGACATTATCTTATGTATAGAAAATCCTAAGGAATTTACTTAAAAACTATTAAACTAATAAGTTTAGCAAACTTGAAGGATATAAGATCAATGTACAAAAATCTGTTGTATTTTTGTATAGTTATAAGAAGATTCCAAAAATGAAGTTAAGAAAGCAATTCCATTTACAATAACATCAAGACATAAAATAGGAATGCATTTAGCAAAAGAAGTTCAAAACTTTTAACAACTATAAAATGTTGCTGAAGAAAATTTAAGAAGATTAAAATAATTGGAAAAACATCACATGTTCATGGATCTGAACACTTAATATTGTTAGAATAACTCTACTTTCCAAATTGAACTACAGATTCAACGAAATCCCTATCAGAATCTCAGCTGACTTTCTTGTAAGTATTGCCCAGATGATTTAAAAAATTCATATGGAATTGCCATGGACCCAAAATACCCAGAATAATTTTGACAAAAGAAAACAAAATTGGGGCACTCACACTTCCTGATTTCAAAACTTACCACAGAGCCGAAGTAATGAAGATATTGTAGTACTGGCATAAGCATATAGATCAGTGGAATAGAATTGAGAGTCCAGAAATAAACCTGTACATCTGTGGTCAACCGCTTTCCAACAAGGTTGCTAAGACTATCCAACAGAAAAAAAGGCAGCTATTTTTCAAAAAATAGTGCTGGGACAATTGGATATCTACATTCACAATATAAAGTTGGGCTCTTACCATATACAAAAATTAACTCAAAATGAATCAAAGACCTAAACATATTAGTTAAAACTATATAACTTAAAGAAAAAACCTTAGGGTTAAATATTCATGACAAAGAATTTGACAATGGCTTCTTAGATGTGAAACCAAAAGCATGAAAAACAAAAGAAAAAATAGATGTATTAGACTTCACCAAAATCTAAAATTTTTGCATAAAAACACTAAGAACATAAAAAGACAACCCCAAAAAAGACAATAATTGCAAATCACTATATAATAAAGTATTTATTCTAGACTATACAAGTAACTCATACAACTATTAATAAATAAAACCCCAATTAAAAATGGGCAAAGTATCTGATTAGGCATTTTACAAATGAAAATATACAAATGGGCAATAGGCACATGAAAAGATGGTTGACATCCTTAACCATAGGGGAAGAGCAAATCAAAACCACAATGATATACCACTTCACACACATTAGGATGACTGGAATCAACAAGTCAGATAATAGCAAGTGTGGGTGAACATCAGGAGAAATCAGAATCTTCATACACTGCTGATGGTAGTGCAAAGTGGTACCACCACTTTGGAAAACAGTCTGGCAGTACCATAAACAGCTGAACATAGAAGTTATAGCAATTACACTCCTAGATATATACCTGAGAGAAATATTGACATACATGCACACACAAACTTGTACATGAATATTTATAGCAGTATTATTCATAATAGCCAAAAGATAGAAACAATTCAAATGCAGATCAACTGATGAATGGTTAAATGTAATGCAGAATGTCCATACAAGTGAAGATTGACCATAAAAGGAATGAAGAAGTACATGGTACAACATCTATACTTTCTTCCAAGATAAACATGGATGAACCTGAAAATATTAAGTGAAATAAACCAGTAAAAAAAAAAAACAAACCTAGATATTATATAATTTCATTTATATGAAATGTCTAGAATAGTCAAATGTATAGAGATAGAAAGTAGATTAAAATGCTTAGGACTGAGGGATGGGTAGTCTGCGGGATAGGAGGTGATACCTAAAGGGTACAACATTTCTTTTTGAGGTGATGAAACGACTCTAAAATTGACCATTGAGGTGATGGTTGCACATGTTTGTGACTATACAGAAAAAAAACACTGAATTGTACATTTAAATAGGTGACTTATACATTATTTGCACTATATCTCAATAAGGCTGTTAAAAAGTTCTTTATACATGGTTGAAAAAATTTCATTGAATATATTTATAATAGCTACTTTAAAGTTTTTATTTGCCAAATCTGACATCTGTACCCTACCCACCAAAGATAGTGCCTATTGGCTATTATTTTCCTGAGTATCAGTGACACTTTCCACCTTTTTGCATGTCTCACATAATTTTTGTTGAAAAATGATCTTAAATAATATAGAAATTCTGGATTCTAATTTTTTAATATTTTCTTTAGTTACTTACTTGAACAAAATCTGTATTGTCTGTTTCCCCCCACCCCTGCCAGTATGCATTCACTAATGTTTCTGCTCAAAAATTTTTTTGTTCTTTTTTGTAAATCTGGATTCCAAATGGTCACTCCTGTGTGAACGCAGCCAATGACTGAATAGAAATCGTACTGAAACATTTAGATCAAGTGAGCCTTCCATCCTCCATATGAAATCTGTGTGTGGATTGGAGAATAAATGCACATCTCAGGCTACTACTTTCCGTTGGTTCCTCTTGAATTTCCCTGCATGTGCACATGGTGTCCAGCCAGGGGTAAGTGATGGCTAGGGCACTTTCTTACCTCTTCTGTGCATGCACAGAGCCTTGCAAATGAACTCTGCTTTCTAAACCTGTCAGGATATGGGAATGCTTATCAAAACTCCCTGTGTCTATCCCATCACTTAGCTCTTCCTGTTAAATATCTAGCTACTCTGTCATTCCATTGCTTCCCCCAATCAGAACTGCAACCTCAAGTTAGCCATGCAGTTGGCCTTTCCTGTTTGTTACTGAGATTGCTACTGTTTATGACCACGTGCCTGAATGTTTTTCTGCTTTCTGCTCCAAACCTAGTTAGCTGGCAGCAACGCTTGACTTGCCCTGCCATTATAGAACTACTGTGGTGACGAATTTGGTCACCAATTTGGCAGTGTCAGCAGAGAAGCTTCCTCCAAGAAAGCTACAGACTGTCACTGTTTTTTGCCGAAGGTTTAGTAGTTTTTCTTGAATAAGTGCTTCTAGATTTTTCCAAGGCTTTGATTGATTTCCGAAGTCTTGAAATGGTTGTTTGCAAATTGTATTGTTGCTTTTTGGAGAAAGGATTGGCAAGTTCTTTTCTTTATGCTAATCACATTTGGTTTCTTTAGTCTTGTAGAGAATGGCTATACGAAAAGTTTTTTTAGTTTGAGCGTCAACTGTTAGCAGCCCAGAGAACAGACAGAAGTTTGAAATTTCGTCCTTCCTTTTTTCCCTGCCAACAAGTCTCTAGAAATGGAAGGAGGGAAATACTCAGATAAGGTATCCCACGCTTATGTATTATTTGTTTCTTACACTGTTCTGTAAGTTCCACCTTCTCCACTAGGATTTTGAAGTGAATTTCTGGAATAAAATTCTCACTAGACACATCTTCTTTACAGCTATAAGCAGCAGACAAATTTCAGAATTTCATCATATGCTTTTTGGATTAGCTATTTACACAAGCATTCATGGGGTGGCTGAAGTACATTTAATCTAAATGTCATGTAGCAATCAACAGTTTTACTGCCTAAATAATTCCTTTATAGCTCTTTTCTTATTCTTCTCCAATGGCATTTTTAACTTGTGTCTTATCTTAATGTTAACTATGTGTCTATCTTTTCAGGTTTTGAGCTCCTTGAGGCTCTGTGTCTTATTGCCCCTGCATCCCTTGCATAGTTCCTTGAATATAAAAAGATGCTCAATAAATATCTATTGGAAATATGAAAAATATCAAAGTTAGTACTTCAGTATTGTCTTTATCACAAGTTAATTTCTGTCACTTTCTTTGTTCTCTGTCAGCTAGAATATTATTAGCAAACAGTTTGGCATTATTTAGCAACACAACAAACAATGACATTTTTATTCTCAAGGAAATGCGCTTGTTTTCTAAACGTGGTTGCCATAGCAGTGTGGCACAGATATTTATTAAGATGTCCATTTTCCAGAAAAATTTAACCTATCCAGTTTGTATTTGTCAACTTCATGTCAAGAAAATTAAAATCTTTTTATTTTTCCTGAAAGTGATGATGAAATAAGCTAAGCACAAACAAAAAATTACAAAGGATGATGTTAGTCCCATTACAAGGACTCAGATACCATTTTGCTTTCCTCTCTTATTTTTATTTCAGAGTGTGATCCACTTTACAATTTAAAGGATAATTAATTGAATATGGAAAGCAACTGGAATATTATATTTCATAGCAAATTATGCTAAATATGAACTATAGATTTGAGAAACTGCATGACACATGCAAGTTCAGCCTTCAAATTTCAAAATCTTTTTTTAAGAGATGATACCAGTGTTGGTACAAAATGGCAACATTTTAAATAACAAATTCCAGTAGCAATGCCTTCTGTTACTTCTCTTGGAAAAAATGAGGAGGATTGCAAATTTTGGGAGGATCTGTGTAATAAGAATAGGAGTTATATATGCTGTTTTTCAATGCAAAATAAATTGACAATAAAATCACAGCCATATTTTTCTATTTTTACAAAAGGAATTTTAGATTAGATACAATTAGGTTGGCAAAAAAGATTGTAAATTAAGTCTAAATGTTTGTTTTTGTAGAAAGCTTGTTTTGAAGTGTAAGAGATTGTTCTGACATTGTAATGTCTGAAATTTGTGAGCTAAGGAACTTTTATTAAGTTGTTTTACTTTTTTAGCCTCGGTTTCTGTATAAACTAAGAATAGTAATACTATAATATTTGAACCAATGTCTCCTCTTTTAGCAGGCATGGACTTTTGGGGATGCCCAAATAATTTGGGGCCTTCCCTTAAATTTTCTGTTTAGCTCACTGAGTTTATTTGTCATTTATTTGTCAACAACCTCACCTTCAACATCTAGTTCTCTTTAGACTAATACTGGCAGTGAGCATTAAGTGATGTTATTGAAAAAAGGAAGTATTTGACAAGCTTCGAAACCCTATTATTATTTTCTGTGCTAATTGCTCCTTGTTTCCATATATTGCAAAATATGAATATAAAAAAAGCTGTTTACTTGAGATGTTCACGGAGAACAGACAAAAGCTTTGGAATTTCAACCATTCCCTTTTCCCTGTTCCACTAGTCTCTAGAAGGCAATATAGAGATAAGGTATTCCATACTTATGTATTATCTTTTCCCTACTCCAGTCTTACACTCATCCAGAACTAGAAGCAGCTACCGTTTAGCTTTTTTAGAATAATTTTTACTCTGCTATGTAGCAAGATGCCTTAAAACTCTGAATGATCAGTTAGAACATAAATGTCTTCATTGGAATCTGTCTTTTAATTTTATTCAATTAGATCTCAAATTAGAATGAAATTAGAAATTAGATCTTAAATTAGATCTAATTAGATTAGAAAAATTAGATAATACTGTCAATAAAGCTTTCAAATGGCACGAGTTTGCTTTTATTGTGTAACAAATCAGCCCAAAATGTAGTTGCTTCAAAAGTACAATCATTCATGAAATTGTGATTACAAAATAGCAGTGTAGAGCCAAACTAGCTTCACTCCCCCTCACAGAAAATCAAAAACAAATACACAGTGCTGAGATTTTCGTCAGCAACAACCTGGAACTCAAATATGAGGATGAGAAAATTCCCGGGGCCACAGAGAAGTAGAAAAACTGAGTAGACAGCAAGAGAATTGGACCTCCACGTCCATGATGCCCCTCCCCCTCATTCAACCTGGCACCAAGTATGTGAAAATTTTTTCCCCAATTCATGGTTTCTACATTGGAAAAAGTGAACTTGAGGTGGTCAACCAGCTTCCCCATCTTCGTCCTTTCCCTGGCAGACCTGTCCTCATCTTTTCCCACAGGAAGCATTGTGACTGCCTAAAGAAGGAAATACCCATAACGATAGCCATAGACAAAAGAGGAAGGCAGGACTCCCATTCTCAGCCTTGGAAATTTTATGTTATTTTATTTTATTATTTTATTATTTATTTTATTTTATTTTATTATTTTATTTTATTTTATTTTGGAGACGGAGTCTCGCTCTGTCGCCCAGGTTGGAGTACAGTGGGGTGATCTCGGCTCACTGCAAGCTCTGCCTCCCGGGTTCACGCCATTCTCCTGCCTCAGCCTCCCGAGTAGCTGGGACTACAGGCGCCCGCCACCACGCCCAGCTAATTTTTTGTATTTTTAGTAGAGACGGGGTTTCACCGTGTTAGCCAGAATGGTCTCGATCTCCTGAACTCATGATCCGCCCGCCTCGGCCTCTCAAAGTTCTGGGATTATAGGCGTGAGCCACTGCGCCCAGCCGAAATTCTTTTCTGTAACTCAGCCAAAAAGAGGTACCTAATTGGAGTGGCTGTTGTGCAACACCATGCTGTAGCAAGTACATTCTGCAGGTCCTCTGAACACAAACCCTTATCCAGACTTTCCACACTGCTAGGATAATTCCTTTGGGACTTCCCCCATTTCGGACAGGCAGCACTCTAACCATTTACTAGAGTTGAGGTGAACCTGGGCTTAAGATACCACCTACAGCCAAAAAGGAGGCAGCAACCTAATGACCAAGATTTGCTAAGTAAGTATATTCAATAAAAACCAAAATAAGGCAGAGAAAACTGGAAAAACAATCATTCAATAAAAAGATACAGATGTAGATGCACAAGAAACAACAGCATTAGGGAACTATGACCTCCCCAAAAGGATAAAGCAAAAATCCAGTGACTGATTTTAATGAGATGACAATTTGTGAGCTTTCTGACCAAGAATTCAAAATAACAGTTTTAAGGGAATTCAGTGATCTCCAAGATAACACAGAAAAGCAATTTAGAAATTTATCAAAGAGACTGAAATAATAAAAAACAAATTTAACAGAAATCTTGGAACTGAGAAATATATTTGCTGAACAGAGGAACTCTTTGGAGGGTCTCAACAGCAGAATGAACCAAGTAGAGGTTGGAATCAGTGGACTTGAAGATCAGCTATTTGAAAATACAAAGCCAGAGGAACAATCTCTCACACTTCAAAACAAGCTTTCTAAGAAAACAGACATTTACAATCTTTTTTTGCCAGCCTAAGTAATTGTATCGAATCTAAAATCCCTTTTGTAAAAATATAAAAATGTGGCTGTGATTTTATTGTCAATTTGTTTTGCATTGAAAAATAGCATACATAACTAATATTCTTATTACGTAAATCCTCCAAAAATTTGCAATCCTCCTCATTTTTTTCCAAGAGAAGTAACAGAAGGCATTGCTACTGGAATTTGTTATTAAAAATGTCACCATTTTGTACCAATGCTGGTATCGTCTCTTAAAAAAAAAGAAAATCTATGGGATATGGCAAAAGCAGCACTAAGAAGCAAGTTTATAGCAATAAACACCCCTCAAAAAAGTAGAAACGCTGCAAGCAAACAACCTAACAATGAATCTCAAAAAAGTAGAAAAGCAAGAACAAACCAAACCCCAAACTAGTAGGAGGGAAAAAATAATAAAGATCAGACAAAGAATGAATAAAATTGAGAATAAAAACACAATACAGAAGATAAAATGGAAAGTTGGTTTTTTGAAAAGACAGACAAAATTGACAAACCTTTAGATAGACTAAGAAAAAAAAGAGAGAAGACCCAAATGAATAAAATCAGAAAAAAGGAGCTGTAACAACTGAGACCTCAGAAATATAAAGACTCATTAAAGACTATTATGAACAACTATATGCCAACAAACTGGAAAACGTATGAGGAATGAATAAATTCCTGGACACATACAACTTACCAAGAAATGAATCATGAAGACATAGAAAATCTCAGCAAACTAATGATGAGTAATGAGCTAGAAGCTGTAATAAAGTCTCCTGTTAAAAAAAAGAAGCCCAGGACCTGATGCATTCACTGCTCAACACAACCACAAAATATTTTTCTGGTCAGATTTTGCCAAGTAAGTCACCATCAAAGCTTTGCCTTCTAATAATTTCTCACAATACTACCAAACTTTTCACTCCTTAACAAATTGAAAGTGTGCAGGATTTGAAAAAATGGGCTTCATATGCTTTGGAAGAAACTTATTCCCAGGGATAATTGTAGTTAATGATTTACTATCGAGCATTTCAGGACATTATCTCTAAAGATCACATCTATATTCATTGTCTACACTGATGCTTCTGGAAAAAGTTGTTTGTTTCTCTTATGTCCGAGGTCTGAAACTGCCATTCTAATTTGGTTTTAGAAATTGGTTGGACTGTTGAATTTCTGGTGAAAAAGGAATATAAACTACTGGAAATTGAACAAGTGGAATGTACTCTTTCCTGAACAAAGAGACTTCCAAGAGCCTCTGGCTTTATATTATTGACACTTTGTTTCAGCTCCTGCATATCACCTGGGAAATGGCTCAAGCACAGTAACACACTTTTTAAACATTATGCCCCCTTTGTATTCATTATATTCATGCAGGCTCTGAGCATACAAATTGATATAGCAAGATATCTTGGCCTGAGGAACCAAAACAATATCCAAAAGTTTCTGAATTTTAGCTAAGGTGTCCTGTGGTCGGGCCACATTTAATTGTTAAGAGAAGTTACAAAAACAGTGAAAGTTTTGTTTTTGGACTTTTGCTATTGTCATCACTGTTATTCTGTGCAAGATTAATACATTTGAATTTGACCAGCCACTGCTCTTCTCCAGTGAAAACTTCTAAATTTACAAGCTAAAGAAGTACATTTCTGCAAATACCCTAAATAAATAGTATCTTGAAACCTAATCCCTATTTTCATAAATTGTGGAGTTTTTGGTGCATGCTATTCACTTCTGAAGCAATAAAGTTAGCACCTCTTAAACATAAGATTATCAAAAAATCCCTCAGTAGTTTTTTGTCTACAGCAACAATTTGCCAACACCCCCTCATTCATTAGCAATTTAACATTTCCTATATGTGCTCCATAAGTAAATTCTATGAGCTTTATTCACCCTTCAAACAAACAATGGATTCTAAACCAAAAATATCCTCAAAAGTGTTTTTTAAAAGTCTTATTTTATGTATTTTTTAAAGCAGAGAGAAAAATGATAATTATTGTCGTTGTGAGAGAAGACAATTTTTCTTCTAAAAATAAATACATAAGATAAAATTAAGCTTAAAAGTTCTCATTTCCAAAAATAAAGGTTCTGAGTGCTTTTGGCATTTTGTAACTATAGAATTCAAATAATTAATCACCCTGTGTTTCTGTTTCTACTGTCTTTTTGCTGTTTCTGTTTCACTATGAATTAATTTTATTTTTTAGCTTGCCTCGTATTTTTTTTTTTGTCACCAGATATTGAAGATGAAAAATTGTAGAGGAGGGTAGAGTGCCAGTGGACTACTTTAATCCTGTTGATCAGGGGTAACTAAACTATGTTCCATGGGCCACATCTGGTCTCCTGCCTGTTACTGTAAATAAAGTTTTATTAGAAAGCAGCTGATTTATATATTTTTATGACTACTACTGGGGTTTAGTAAAATAGACCCCAAAATGTGGTACTTTGGCAGGCTGAACACTTTGAATTAAAAGAAATTATAAAACCTTAGAAGCTGCCTCAGAACCAAGACTCTCTCATCTTCTCTTGCTTCTTTTCTCCCTAAGCACAAGGAAAGACTCTCTGGAATTTTCTTAACTGACCGAGGGCACTTCTTTTCAAAATAAATGCAATTGTCTTAAGACTACCTCTCTAGGAATCTCATCAAATAATCGGGAAAGATTAACCACCAGAGATAAGAAGGGACTCAAAGTCATCACCCTGACCAGATATACTTTTCATCTAATCTTCCGAGGGCAGCTTTGAGAGATTACCTGAGAGACTTTATATAATAAGGAAACCATCGTCCATGGTGCAGTTATATCTCTCACCTTCTCAAATCTTGCTGGTCCCATTCAGTTTCCTAAGAGAATCACTTACAAGATCATGTCTGCCTCTTCAGTTTATTCAATTTCCCTAACAATAATATAGAACCCCTCAAATTGCCTACATTTCTCTCATCTCCCTCTCCCCTAGGTAGAGAGTATATAAGCCTCAACCATCTGGTCCTTCTTCTTTGAGTGTCATATTTGTGGAATTCACATGTCCATGTGCAAGTTAATAAATTTATATGCCTTTTCTGCTATTGTCAGCCATATCAGTGAACTTTCAGAGCGTGGGAAGGAAGCTTTCTCTGCCCTAACACTGCTTTCATATTACAGCAGCAGAGTCATATGTCTGCAAAAGAGTTCTAAAATATTTACTATCTGGTCCTTTATGGGAAAAGTTTGCTGACTCACAATCTGTATCAAATTGTTTAGACTAAAGGTCTAGACCAGAAAGTTTTAAAATTTCTGTTTTTATTTGGATACATCATTTTCTTATAGTCAAGTTTTCAGAATAATTGCAGTTATCACTTTTAAAAATAAGATGGGAAGAGGGTGGAATTTGTTGTATTTGCCCCAAACACCATCTTTTCTTGATGGTCAGGCACACATTTTATGATAAGCATGGTAACTCCACCTAACTGGTCTATAATGCAAGGGTATAACTTTAATTAAAATGATTTTAGCAACTAGTAAGACATAACATAAAAGAGCAAGAAAAATACATCCTGGGGACTTTGGAATACAGTCACAAAATAACATCAACAAACAGAAAATGCAGGTTCACAGTTACAATTTTAAGGGAGGTGTGGGTCTGCCTGAGTGAATGACTTTTTCACATACTAATAAACATTAAAATATGATGGACCATTCTCTGTAAAAAGTTAAATTCCAAGGAAATAGCATACCTTCTGAGAAAACCAGACATGAGTAATTTTTTCATGTGTCTTTCATTTAAGGTATTTACAAAGGACTGAGTAGATATTGGGTACTTGGAGCAAGACAGATCATGAGGATACAAACATAAATTACCATTATCTACTCTGAATAATTGACGTTGAACAGAGAAAGGATGGAAGTAAAAACTGTTTACAGTAATGTAGCCACTCTTCTGCTGCACACAATTCTGTCTGCATCCTGCAGTAGAATCTTATGTAGCCCAGAAGACAGAGGGGCCAACAAACCTGGTGTATGTGGAGAGTCTCAAGAGATGTGGGCTTTATACTTGGAAGAAAAGTGAGGTGAAGACACTAGAGATAGAAACAACAGCATTAAAAATGAACAGAAATACAAAAAAGCATGCCAGAAGTAGGAAAGAACATGGTGTTTTTGCAGATGTGTGAGCTAGCGGGCACTCTTAGTGCGTATCCTATTTATATTCAGGCTGGTGGCTCCTTAAGCTCTGTCTGAAGGCCCCTCTGACCATAGGAACCTGTACAGCCTGCAGGCTGGAAGTGTTGGAGAGGGCAAATGAATGTGCTCTGGAGCTGCTCTCAAAGTGTGACAGATGGGAGTGAAAAATTAATATCCCAGCATCCTTGCTCTTTGGATGGAGTAACTCTGAAGTGTGTTCCACACGGCCACCCAGTATCTGCTGGGGAATTGTGTGCATCTGAGCCCACAAAAGTAATCATTTATTAGCAAACTCTAATCGACTTTCTTCTCTTGACTTTCTCAGTTTCACACTTCCTTACTGGTGCTTTTTGGGACCACTTTCCTGATAAAATTCTTGCCATTCCATCCTGTTCCAGGGTCACCGTCTTGGGAAACCTAACCTAGAGGAGGAGTATAATGGTGTAACTAGAATTTAGTCATCATGAGAGTGTAGCTGAAAATGGTAAGAGAGACTTATATTCCGATGCCTTCAGACTTTCTCTTATAAGTGATGAGAAGTCATCAGAGGAGTGTAAGTAGGGAAATGACATGGTCAGTTTAGTACCTTCAAAATAATTCTAGCAATAATAGAATGCAAGAGTGATTCCTCCTATCTGTAGCTATTGTAATAATTTAGAAAATAAATAATAAGGGCCTAAACAAGATATAAGAGGTGATATTAAGAGAAGCCACAGAGTTAAGAAACTCTGTGATAGAAGAAATGGCAAATTGTACTGACTAGGCTGAACGTAGTAGGCAGGGGTGGTTCCAGGGCAACACTTGAAACAAAAATTGGCACTTGGATAGGTAATACTATTAGCCAAGACAAAGAACAGAGATGGGCTGGATTTACTTTTACTTACAAGTCACAAGTGAACTTGTAGGCATCTACTCTAATTAAATAAACAAACATCTTTACTTACTTCACTTAAGAACAAGAAGGAGATGAGCTTTGTTATACGTCTATAGCATCCTCTCTGTTGCCACACTTGTGTGTCTCTTCCCTACCCTAACATCTGTTAATATCTAGTTACAAAAATAGGGAGCTATATTGACTTAAGAAAATTTATTCTGATAATTGGGTTACCAACAAGGGCACCATTGTTATTGAAAATACAAACCACAAATTAAAAATAATATGTTAACTCTATGTACCAAAAAATCCTAGTCACTTACTGTTTTATAAGGAAAAAATAAGGCTTTAGCTCTGTGACTCACTTAGCAAACAGTTTGATGTTCACTTGGAAAGTAGACTACAAGAGGGAACTGACCGGCATCAGAAGGGTTGATTCTCTGCCCAGCAATTCAGGAAATAAAACTCTGCTCCCTTTAAGGCCAGTATAGCTCTGTATTTTTGTGATTAGATATGAATAGATGTTGGGGTAGGGAAGGGAGCACACGGTGTGGCAATAGAGAGGATGCTATAGAAGTATAACATAGTATCCTATAAGTATGTTATAAGTATAGAAGCTCATCTCCTTGTTCTTAAGAGTACCACTGAAATGACCTTTGGCTTGGGGATAGAATCCATTTTCTCACTTATCCTCAGTGTTTCCCTGTGAATTAGAGGAGGCTGAGAATGATGGCAAGTTTGAAAAGAGCAGCTGCTACCATATGTGTTGCACAGATGGAGAAACTGGAGCATGGACACGACATGGATTTCCTGGGGCCCCAAGATGAGTCAATGGTCATTATTAGAACCCCACCTTCTGAGAGTTAGCCCAGTTTGTTATACATAGTAAGTGAAGTAAGTGAAGATACTTGTTTATTTAATTAGAGTGGATGCCTAGAAATTGGTTGTAGCATTAAAATATTATAACAAGGGGGGACTAAAGAGCTTGTTCAGTTGAAACTTTTCCATGCTCCTTCAACTCTGCTAGATTTAGTAGACTGTGACAGGCTACTGGCAAATTGATTTCATCCAATGGCTTCAAGGCTCCCTTGATAAATAGTTGTCCTTTGACAGCACATATACTTTCAACACATTTAAAACTAAGTCTGTGAACCTTGTCAATTGGTAAATTGAAATCAATAGTGGCCGGAGAGAGAGATTCACTGCATGATAGATCAATACACATCTCTCCATTGCAAATAGACGTGGACCATAGAGGGAAGAAAATTTTATTCCATTCTAGGAGGCTAGGGATTTTCTACAAATTTTATTGCTTTGTAAAATGTGCTACACACTTTAGCAAACATTATTCAAGGTCTTCTGGACTATGGGATTTGCACTATTTGCTAAGTGAGCCACAGAGCTAAAGTCCTTTGTTTTTTGTGCTAATTATGATAATAGACACTTAGGTCAAAGGTCCATTTTACACATTTAGAAATTCTATTTGAGAAACTGAATGCCAAATTTAAAATTTTCTGTGTGAAACCAAGGTCAGGAGTGTTGGTTCAAGCTATAAACATAAACTTCCTACAGCCACAATCTAAAGATAACAAAAAATTTATTCAATAAGAATTTATTAAATGCATGCTGATTTTAAATCATCATACATATTACTTCAGTAGACGCCAAAATTCCTTCACTAGCCTCACAGTTCCTAACTTTGAAAAGTTTCTTACTTAATTGGTTCTTACAACTGTGTTGCTAGTGATTTAGCATAATAGTGAAATGAATTAGAATGCTTTAAACTTGCTCACCTGAATGATCAGTGAGAGAGTGTTTTGCTTCATATATTTTTTTCTTATAAAACACTAAGTGACCAGGATTTTTTGCTATATAGAGGTAACATCATTTTTAATTTGTGGTTTGTATCTTTTCCATAAAAATGATGCCCTTCTTGATATTCCAGTTACTAAAGTAATTTTCCTAATGTCACCCAGTTATAAACCCCTCTTGCTTTGCACATGGTTTTTTTCTCTCTCTTTGATACTCATGACATTTCCCATTGTATTCGGCTTTCTGTTGCATTAATTGTGTGTAATTTTGTTCACCAGGGATACTGTACATAATCTATTAGAATAATTTATTTTGCTTATTTTTGAAGTAATTTGTTAAGGATAAAAACATGCTCTGCCAGTAGTCTCTGCCAGTTCTAAACCCAGGAGCTTAGACGTCTTTGATTGCTTGGTTCAAAGGATTGTTTCTTATCATGGAAGGCCTGCCAAATAACCAGATATTCTAGCCCCTTCTTTCTGGCTAATGACTTTTAAGGACTAGAGTCTGCCATTTGTATTGTGAAGCCAAATATTACTCATGAAGCAGACACAGGCTTTGTTATTATAGTCTATACCCCTGCCTTTCAGTAGGAGCACCCCCTTCTCCAGGAGATAATTAGCAATTAAAGAAAAGTTACAGCACTTTGAGAGGCCAAGGTGGGTAGATTGCCTGAGCTTGGGATTTCCAGACCAGCCTGGGCAACATGCCGAAACCCTGTCTCCACTAAAAATACAAAAATTAGCTGGGCATGTTGGCACATGCCTGTAATCCCAATTACTTGGGAGGCTGAGGCACGAGAATTGCTTGAGCCCGGGAGGCGGAGGTTGCAGTGAGCCGAGATCGCGCCGCTGCACTGCAGACTGGGAGACAGAGGGAGACTCTGTCTAGAAGAAAAAAAAAAGTTAGTCTATCCTGACAACTTGGATTCACATATAAGTATTTTACTCGAAGGTGGCTTAAGAATTTCACTCCAACTTTCAGTGGAAAAATTCATTCCCCTTCACCTCAGCAGTAAAATCTGTGAAGGATATGGTTTTCATCATTGGCCACTTTTAATAACACATATAACTGAGGTCATTTTATGAAAAAAAAACCCTTCTAGATTTATTAATCCAGATTTGTACTTTGAAACTTTAATTCTTAAAACTAAGCCATCCTACTTTTTTCAATTAATAAAAGTGAGATTCTGGTACAGTCCAAGAGTGCTCACAGAAGAGCAACATAAAGCATTAAATGTATAAAAATTTATAAATACATTTATATATGAAGAAAAATTTGTCTTCTAAATTCCTCAGAACAGATATCTATGATGTTGTGAAAACATAATTTTTAATATGTTTACTCAACCAAACATATCCTGTGTTTCTTCACCTGAAAATGAAGAGAATAACAAGAATACATAATTCAAGGGTTTTGTGAGGAATAAATAACGTAAATCCAATAAGTACTAACCACAGTGCTAAGCATATAATACTCATTTAATAATGGTTCATTATTATAATGTTGGCTTTCGAATAAGTTAATAGTCCCAGAGTCAGTTTTTTACTTCTATTATTGCTAAAAACACCTTTCTGGTGAGAGGCGTATAGTCATTCATAGCTATCTTTATACTCCTTTGTACAGACCAAATTTATAAAGCTTGATCAACATGACAAATATAATCTCAATTAAATGTATATTTCCTTTTTCCTAAAAAATTCAGTTGCATATTCATCCCATTATATTGATTGCATATTTGTGTTGTCTATTGTTGATGCTAAAAAATGTATGAGACATTTTTGTATAAGTTATAAATGTATAAGTTTGGTGCCCAAATTTATGAGACTTCAATTTACTGGAAGACAAATTCATATTAAAAGCGAACATAATACAAAGCAGAGCATGATACATGAGCCAAGAGTGGTGCAAAGTGCTCTGAAAGTTCAGAAGAGGGAGCCATCACTTCAGTCGGGGAAATCAGAAAACATTGAAGAAATGAGGTGGTGTGTGGGTCCTTTAAGAAGAATTTAGATTTCAACAGGATGAGATGGAGGCAAATGGACATTACAGGGAGAGAGAAGAGCATGAGAAAAATAAAGGGTCGGCAAGTGCCAGTACCATTATGGGAAGTTAGTGGTCCAATTTTGCCCTAGAGGGAGGGAATGGGAACATGAAGATAAAAAGGCACATGAGAGAGTAGAGCCAAGAAATCCTTAATTGCTAAGAAATTCAAACTTTCTCTAGAGGTGGTAGAGAGTTAACTGAAACAGTAAGAAAGATCCATGATCAGAACAGTGAGATTGAGAAATCAAGGTGATTGCTTTGGATGCAATTGTAGCCATCCTTGCAGGAGGCATAAAAGTGCTGAGAGAAGGTACTGCCAAGAAGGGTATAATGGACAGGGGTCAGGAAGGGCCAAGTAACTCCACATGAAGAAAGAAAAGAGAAGGCCCAAAGATTTAATTCTTCCTGGAGGATTGGGAGAAAAGCAAAGATATTATCCAAAATAGGGAGATCTCAAAACCCACCACACATGCACTTGCCTAAGGACATTTGCATTGACCTTTCTTTTTGCCTAGACTGTTTTCCCTCCGGATATTCAAATATGGCTCACTTCCTTACCTACTTTAAATCGTTTTTAAAAATTTCACTTTATCAATGAGGGGTATCCTGGACATCAGATTTAAACTGTATCCTGTACCATTCCCACACCCTGTCCACCATTTCTGATGCCCCTTAATTAGCTCTACTTTTTCTTTTTCCCATATCATTTATCACCTTCTAAAATACTGGATAATTTTCTTACTCATTCTTTTTACTGTTTATTTCCCTTTCCCCTCTCCTATTTTTTTATTCATGGGTGTATCCCAGGTACCTAAAAGATGACAGAGTATGTGCTCAATAAATATTGATTGAACAAAGTATTGTTTATAAGTGTTTCTTAGAAGATACATTTTAACAAACAAAAGCTATTGTTAGGGTACAGAGAACAAGATCCCAAAGTATGGGGCTTTGGCATTCTGAGCATATTAGAATTAGAAGGCCTTAGGGGCTGCCTCAGCAAAAACATTCTAATCTTTTATTTCTTCTTCCCTCAAGGGCAGGAATAGGCTCTCTCTGGCATTTCCTTATCTGACAAAGGAAACTTCTTTTTAAAAGAAAGGCAATTGTCTTAAGACCCCCTCCCTAGGAATATCATCAAATAACTAGAAAAGATTAACCACTGGAGAAGAGAAGAGACGAAAAGCTATCACCATGCTGAGAGAGACTTTTCAATCACTCTTCTGAGGGCAGCTTCAAGAGATCATCTGAGAGACTTTATCTACATAATAAGAAAACCTTTGTTCACAGTATAGCTCTGCCCCTCACCTTCCCATAACTTGCTGTCCCATTCAGTTTCCTAAAAGAATAATTTACAAGATAACATCTACCTCTTGGATTTATTCAATTCCACTAAAAATCATTTAGAACCCCTCAAATTGTCTATATTTTCCCTTCTCCTTTTCTCTTATGAAGAGGGTATATAAGCCTCATCTACTGTGTATTCTTTGAGTTTCATATTTTATATGGCTTCCATGCTTATGCACATTAACAAATGTCTATGAATTTTCTCCTATTGTTTCTTGTCAGTCATTGCAGTGAACCTTCAGAGAGCAGCAGAGGGAGGGGCATTTTCCTTCTACCCTACAGTTCTAAACTGTACTTGTTATATGTATGTTTGTAGAAGGTATTGTTGGTGTTTCTGGAACATGATTTGTTCATTAAAGCATTTTAAATGTTTTGAAACCACCTTTGCAAAATTATGACTGAGACAGTGAAAGAGATCTAACCTAACTGACACCATCTTGCTTCTAACATTTAAGCCTTCCTGGGTGTAAGCTGAACTAACTTTGGGAGGTACTTAGTTTATAGTTTAAAACAAAGATAACAGTGCTTTCCCAAAACAAACCTCCTTCTATCTTGGGGATTAGACTACTAACATCAGCTGCAAGATTAGAAATTACAGTTTAGGAGTCATGCAGTTGGAGGCTACAAGATTCTGACCCTCCCTAGACTGCTCCTAAGATCAGCACTTGAGATATTTTGGAGACCCTACACTTGATGGATCAACTGGCACCACCAGATCAATAAACTGGCTCATCTGATCTTGTGACCCTCATCCAGGAACTGATTCCGCAATAAGACAGTAACGCCCTATGATTCAATCTCCAACCCAACCAATCAGCACTCCCTGACTCACTGCCCTTCCCCGCCCACCAAATTGTCTTTAAAAACTCTGATCCCTGAATGCTCTGGCAGACTGATTTGAGTAATAACAAAACTCCAGTCTCCCGCACAGCAGGCCCTCTTTCTATATCGCAATTCCCTTGTCTTGATAAATAGGCTCTGTCTAGGCAGCAGGCAAGGTGAACCCATTGTGCAGTTGCAGTCTTTCCTTACAGTCTTGTTTATAATACTTCAAAAATAGAGGTACAATTTGCATAGGAAACGTAAAATATAACTTATTTCTGTTTAAATGTTTGTATTACTAATTGACAAAGTTTAAAGTGATGGAAAGTTATCGTAAGAAGAATAGCATTTCTGAATAAGGAATAGAATTCCAGTTTGTGTTATTGATGTTTTCACTCTCTGGTGAGCATGTGAAAAACTCATTTTGTTATCACTCAGCCTCTAGAGATACTTAATTTAAGCCCAAAAGATACTTTCTTTAACAATGTCCTTCATTATACTTTAGATGCCAATCCCTGAAGAACATTCTTATTATAACTCTTCAGGAAAATGCAGATCGAGAACTGCCGTCATGACCCATAAAACTGGCATAGACTTATAGAAAATTCTTGGACAAATATATTCCTGCTAAGAAAGTATTTTCCTGAATGATTCTGCTAATCAGTTACCATTCAATTTGTAATAAATATATATAAAATAACTAAGATATTTCCAGCTTAAACTAATTTCATTTACAGTTGATTTATAGGGCAGTATTGTGATCTCAATTTAATATTTTATTTCAGAAATTATTCTCAGAATGTTCAGAATTTTTTAAAAAAGCTTTCCCTTGAGAATCACTGTGACCTCAAGGACAGTAAAAAATTATAGATACAACTATGATTTTATTTTTGAATATGATATATCATTTTTGGAATCTGGACTTGATGGAATACAATGAGGTAGAATGGTGAACCAGGTCTTTTCTAGAGGGCTTTAATTTTTACAGCAAGTGAAAATTAAGCAGCCTAACATCTAAACTAAGTTTCATTTTTTCTCCTTGTTTCTAACTGTTCTTTTCCTTGGTATTTTCTTTGTTTCTCTGATATCACAATGAAACTAAATTAATAACAAATGAAATATATTGAAGAAATCCTCAACGGATGAATGGATAGACAAAACATTGCATACCTGTACAATGGAACACTATTTAGTCATAAAAAGAAATGGAATATTGATTGGTGTTACACAGGGACGAATCTTAAAAACATATGCCAAGAAAAAAAAGCCAGACACAAAAGGCCACATTCTGGGTGATTCCATTTGTATGAAATGTTCAAAATAAGCAAATATATGGAGACAGAAAACAGATTAGCAGCTACTAGGAGCAAAGGGGAGAAAGGAATGAAGAGTGACTACTAATGGGCACTGGATTTCTTGCTGAGATGCAGGAAATGTCCTGGAATTATAGTGGTGATAGTTTCACAGCTTTGAAAATATCCTAAAATCCACTGAATTGTACATCTTGAAAAGATGTGTATTTTTTGGTATTGGGTGAAATGTTATATCAATTCAGTAATTTTGTTTGATTGTATTATTCAAGTCTTTTATATCCCTATTGGTTTCTTATCCTCTATTTATTAGATTATTTCATTTCCATTATTTTATTATTTATTTATTTCTCAAGACAGAGTCTTGCTTCGTCACCCAGGCTGGAATACAGTGGAGCAATCTGCAACTTCCGCCTCCTGGGTTCAAGCAATTCTCCTGACTCAGCCTCCCAAGTAGCTGCGATTACGGGCATGCACCACCACATGTGGATACTTTTTTTTTCTTTTGTATTTTTAGTAGAGACTGGGTTTCACTATGTTGGCCAGGCTGGTCTTGAACTCCTGACCTCAAGTAATTTGCCTGCCTCGGGGATTACAGGCGTGAGCCACTGTGCCCAGCCTCATTTCCATTCTTTAAAAATTCTCATGTATATATCTGTACCTTTTTTTGATTTCATTGGTTTTTGCTTCATATATTTTGATGCTCTGTTTTCAGGTGCATTCATATTTAGGATTATTACATCTTCTTGACGAATTGAACCTCTTTATTTTTATTTACTTATTTATTTGTTTTTTCTTGAGCTGGAGTCTCACTCTGTCACCCAGGCTGGAGTGCAGTGGCACAAACTAAGCTCACCACAACCTCCGCTTCCTGGGTTCAAGCGATTCTTCTGCCTCAGCCTCCCGAGACTGGGATTACAGGTGTGCACCATAATGCCTAGCTAAATTTTTTTGTATTTTTAGTAGAACGAGGTTTTGCCATGTTGGCCAGGCTGGTCTCGAACTCCTGACCTCAAGTGATCTGCCTGCCTCGGCCTCCCAAAGTGTTGGGATTACAGGCGTGAGCCACTGCACCTGGCCAAACCCTCTTTATTTCCAAAGAAAATTACGCCTGGCACATTTTAATCAAATTGTTGAAAACTGGCAACAAAGAAAATATTAAAATATTAAAAGCAGCCAGTACTGATAAGAATGTTCACAGACCTTTTGTCAGAAACTATGTAGTTCCTCTTTATCTCTGGCAATACTTCCTGTCCTTGTCCTTGTCTACTTTGATATTAATGTAGCCAATCCTGCTTTGTAATTTATGTTTATATGTTATATTATTTTCATTCCTTTTAACCCATCTGTGTTGTTATATTAAAAATGCACTTCTAGTATACAGCTGCCCTTTTAAACCAATCTAACAATCTCTGTTTTTTATGTATTTATTTATTATTTATTATTATTTTTGACAAGAATCTTACTGTGTCACCCAGGCTGGAGTGCAGTGATGTGATCTCGGTTCACTGCAACCTCCACCTCCTGGGTTCAAGCAATTCCCATGCCTCAGCCTCCTGAGTAGCTGGGATTACAGGCGCCTGCTATCATGCCTGGCTAATTTTTGTATTTTTAGTAGAGACGGGGTTTCGCCATCTTGCCCAAGCTAGTCTTGATCTCCTAACCTCAAGTGATCTGCCCTCCTCAGCCCTCGAAGTGCTGGGATTACAGGAGTCAGCTACCGTGCCTGGCACATCTGCTTTTTTATTGGTGTGTTTAGACTATTTCCATTTTACATAATTAAAATTTTATAACATCTTTTTTCCTGCTGTTTGTTTCATTTGTTGTTTTCTCTTCCATTTTTGACTTTTTTTTGAATTTACTAGTTATTTTAAGTATTCTATTTTATTTCCACAATTGGGTTTATTAGTTTATGTCTTATATTTACTTCATTAAAATTTGCTCTAGGGAAGTGGTAATGAAAGTTTTTAATTAAAAAAATGAGAAAATAAGTATTTTATATTTACCTGTGAATTTACCATTTCTGACATTCTTCCTTCCCATGTAGATCAGGGCAACACACAAGAAAGTGTGCCACCTGCTTTTGTAAATAACTTTTATGGAATGCAAACTCATTCATTCATTCACATATTGTAGGCTGTGGTCTGAATGTTTGTGTCCCTCAAAAACTCATGTGTTGAAATCCTAACCCTCCAAGTGATGGTATTTGGAGATGGGGTCCTAGGGAGGTGATTAGTTCATGAGGGCTCTGCCTGTATCAGTAGAATTAATGCCCTTGTACAAGAAGTCTGAGAGAGACTTCTAGTGCTTTCTGTCTGCCATGCGGGACATCATCTATGAATAGGAAATAGGTCCTCATCAGATACCACATCTATTGGCACTTTGATCTTGGACTTCTCGACCTCTAGAACTGTGAGAAATAAATTTCTGTTGTTTAATAGCCACCCAGTCTATGAGATTTCTATTGTACCAGCATAATACAGACTAAGATATTGTATACAGCTACTTTCATGCCACTATGGCAGAGTTGAGTACTTGCAGCAGAATCTGTGCAGCCCATAAAACCTACTTTTTAACTATTTACTGATTCTATATGGAAAATGTTTGCCGAACCCTGGTGTAGATTCAAGCTTTCAATTTATTTATTTACTAATTTTTTTGCCAAAGAACATCTCTTAACAATTTGGACTGTAGGCCTACTGGTAATGATTTCTCCCAGCGCAGACCTACAATGGTGTAGGCCCAGGCCAGTAGTTTTCTGCCTTCTCCTTAGCATAGAGGACATCTTCTCTTCTCTTTCCCCACCTGCAGTAGATTTTAAGCTGTGGGGATAACAGTCTTTGCTACCCTTCCTTTGTAGTCCTAAGGCTTTTGTTCCACAGGGAAGAAGGATCTGGACAGGGTTGCTTGACTTACCTGCTTTTATTGATGCCCAATCTTGATCTTTGATTACCATGTAGAAATCTGCAGAAAAGATCCTGCGAGGGGGTGCAAACTCTCCTTGAGTCTGTGGATGCAGGAGTTCTAGTCTCTCACACTCACCTGCATGTGTGGCCTTTAGTACCTTGCTAAAACTTTTAGCTTACCCGCTTGTATGCTGGTTCATATATCTCCTGTGTTCTGCTCCTGATGAGTCAGTTCTCATGCCCAAGCATTTCTTGGAAGTGCCTGACTTTCCTTAGATTTTTAGTCTAGTTGATTTTGTGGAACTTTAACTCTTCAATTGGTTCATTAAACAGTATGTTTTTGTAGATTTTATACAAAATAGCCACCTGGTCTATGATATTTCTGTTATAGCAGCATTCTATAGGCTAAAAGGATACAAACTCCCTTTGCGTCAATGGGTCCCAGGAGTTCCTCTGAAGTTCCTGTGGATCCTAGGAGTGTCTCAGAACTCCAGAGGACCTCCTGGGACCCAGAGATACAAGGGGAGTTTGCACCCCCAGTAGGCTCTTTTCTGCAGATTTCCACATGGTAATCAAAGACCAGGATGGGGTATCAATGAAGTCAGGTCAAGTCAGGCAGCCCTGTCCAGATCCTTCTCCCCTGTGGAATAAAAGCCTTAGGACTACAAAGGAAGAACAGGAAAGACTGTTATCTTCGGGCTTCTTTTTGTTAGGGCTAAAGCAAAGTTCTTTCCAGATGTCGACCACCTAAGCACAAGCAAGAAGCCCAATTATTTCTTCATATGTGTTTTTTCCATTCTCCTCCTTTTCTCTAGTCCTTCTAGGACTCTAATGACATGCATGCTAGAAAATGTAGTATCTTTTCCCAGGTCATTGCTTTACTCTTTTATTTTTTTCTCTCCGAACTTGATTTTGGGTAGTTTCTGTTATTTTATAGTTCCCTGATCTTTTGTTCTACAGTGTCTAATCTATCTGTCCTGTTCCTTGAGATTTTTGTTTTTGGTACTTCCTGTTTTCTTAATTTTCCATTTTTCTTGTTTTTATTCTATCTGTTTTCACACAGTTATAGTCATGTGCTGCACAGCAATGTTTTGATCAATGACTAAGCAAGTATATGACAGTGGTCTCACAACATTATAATGGAGCTGAAAAATTCCTATCACCTAGTAATGTTGTAGCTATCTTACCATTGTAGATCAATTGCTTTGTTATTTTATAAATTTAGTGTAGCCTAGGTGTACAATGTTTATAAAGTCTAAAGTAGTGTACAATAATGTCTGAGGCCTTCACATTCACTCACCACTCACTCACTGACTCACCCAGAGCAACTTCCAGTCATCCAAGCTCCATTCTTGTAAGTGCCCTGTATGTATAGGTATATCATTTTTTAAATCTTTTAGACTGTATTTTTACTGTACCTTATCTTTTTTTTTTTTTTTTTTTTTTGAGACGGAGTTTTGCTCTTGTTGCCCAAGCTGAAGTGCAATGGTGCAATCTTGGCCTCTGCACTGCAACATCCACCTCCCGGGTTTAAGCGATTCTCCTGCCTCAGCCTCCCAAGTAGTTGGGATTACAGGTGTGTGCCACCATGCCAGGCTAATTTTTTGTATTTTTAATAGAAATGGGGTTTCACCATGTTAGCCAGGCTGGTCTCGAACTCCTGACCTCAGGTGATAAACCCACCTCGGCCTCCCATAGTGTTGGGATTACAGGTGTGAGCCACCACATCTGGCCTACTGTACCTTATCTATGCTTAGATATGTTTAGATACACAAATACTTACCATTGTGTTATAATTGCCTATACTATTGAGTATTACAGTAACATGCTGTAAATGTTTATAGCCTAGAAACAATAGGTTATACCATTAGCCTAGATGTGTCATAGGCTATATCATCTAGGTTTCTGTATGCACACTCTATAATGTTTGCACAACAATGAGGTCTAATGGTGCATTTCTTAGGATGTATTCCTGTCAATAAGTAATGTATGACTGTACCTTCTTTTATTAAAAAGTCAGGTTTATTAAAATATAATTTATATACAATTAATCTTATTCTTTCAACATGCTCAGTTCAGTAAGTTTTGACAAAGGTATATAATCATGTAATTGCCACCACAATCAAGAAACATTTTCACAAATTAAGAATGCTCTTAAGTCCACCAAAGTCCAAAGCGATTTAATCACCTTGCAAAGTTTTTTCCTGCTCCATTGCAACAAATTCCCTATCTCTACCTCTGGCCCTTGGCAACCTCTGATCTGTTTTCTGTCCCCATAATTTTGCATTTTCTGTCACTTTAAGTACAGGGGATAATGTTGTGTGTAATCTTATGTGTCTGGCTTCTTTCACTCAATGCTTTGGTGATTCTTGTTACGACATGTATTAGTGATTCATTTCCTTTAATTGCTGAGTAATACAATAGGTATTTGAATGTCCTTGTCTGCTAATTTCATCATCTCTGTGATTCCCAAATCTCTTTTTATTTACTGATTTTTTTTTTCTTCCTGGAAATGGGTCACATATTCCTTCTTTTGTTGCCTGAGTGGTAATTTCCAATTGGATCTCAGACATCGTAAATGTTGTCCATATGTATAATGTGTTGTATTTACTTAGATAGCCACTATTGGCCTTCTGCCCTGAAGGGAATTACAGTTCTGGCATAGCCGTTTCATTTAAAGCCTTTTTAAGGACATGTATGTTGTAGTCTTTACACTAGGGCTAATTTAGCTCCCCCACTACATTACTGTTGTTTAGGGTCTCTACTTTAAGCTCCATGTATTTGGCAAGGTCTCTCCATTCTGGCTTGTGAGGCCTTGGATGAGTCCAAGCCTTGTGTGAGCCCTTGGAATTGTTTGGCTTATAGCTCTCCAGAATATTTTCTTTTCCTGAAAATTGTTCTTCACCTGCCTATTTTACCCTCGGAGTGAACAACTTAGTATTTGGCCAAAGACTCCAAAGGTCCACAGATGTATGGAGATTTTTCTCTGTGTAGTTCCTTCCTCTTATTACTCTGTGCTGTAAGTTCCCACCTTATTAGCATCTCCATCTCCTCTACTCACTGAGAGACCATCAGGTTCTCTTTGCATCCCACTTCCTTGTCTAAAAATTGCTTAGAAGTAGAAATATGGGGTAATCAAAAGAATGATTTCATTTTTTTCTCTTTCTTTTAGGGATTTTAGTTAAGTAGTACTTACAGTTTAATGGCTGCAAAGAGTGATTTCATATGCATTTGCCCAGTTTTCTAATTGTTTATGGTGTAAGACACCCCTCCTGACCTGTGACAGAAGTCCTTTATGATGTTTTTTGATAAGCAGAATTTCTTATTTTTAATATAGTTAATATCACTCTTTTTCTTCATGATTTTTGCTTCCTATGTCGTATATAAGATACTCTGTTTTCTTCTAAAGGTTTTAAAGTTTTGTCTTTCACATGTATGTGCCTATCACTCTAATATTGATTTCTATGTGAGGTATCGATTCCTTATTTTTTCACTATAGATTACCAATTATCCTACCACTATTTCTTGAACAGTCAATCCTTTACTTGCCATTCTGCAATGCTGGCTTGGCTGTGTATCAGATTTCTGCGTGTACCTGTGACTATTTCTTAACTTACCAGTCTATTGCATTTGTTTCTTTATCTACTAATCTATCCTATTCCTTCACCACATTGATTTAATTACTGAATTTTATATTGAAGTCTTGCATCATGTAGGGGAAGTCCTTTTGTTTTCTTTCATTAGTGTCTTAGAAATGCTTTAATCTTTATTCTTCCACATTTTAGAATTACTATCAAATTCCATAAAATATAGTGTTGAAATCCCATTTGGAATTGCATTTTGGGTACATTGCTTTTTTTTTTTTAACTAATTTTTATATCAATAAACATGGTATGCTTTGCCATATATCTAACTCTTCTGTAATATATTTTTTTCACAGTTACATACAGGTCTTGTACATGTTTTGTTTGATTATTCCTGGGTAGTATATCTCTTTGTCACTCCTAAAAATGACATCATTTAAAATTTATTTTCCAATTGTTTTCAGCTAATGCACAAAATATTCATTATGCTTTTTATCCTATATGCAGAAACCTTGCACTTATTAATTCTAATATTTTATGTTTACTTTTTCTGAGCTTCCTGTAGACAATTATATCATTTTTAAATGATTACAGCATTGTGTATACATTGACAATTCTTATGATGGTTTTTCTTATTCCATTTCTAGAACTTCTAGTATAGTGTTGTAGTGAAGTATTGATAGTGGGCATCCTTGCATTCCTCATATTTTAAAGGAAATGTTCTTAAGACTCAACACTGAGTTTAAAATTCGTTGTAGAATTTTCATCATTTTTATTGAAGCAGAACATATATTAAGAGAAGTTCTCAAGTGATAATTGTACAGGTGGATAATGTTTACGATATGAACACATACTTGAAAGTATCACTCTTTATAATTATTTTTGTTTCTGAGTCCATAAATTGATCCCATCGAGTTCATGAATATATTCTTCTAAAAGCTTTATTATTTTACTTATTACATATAGACTCACAATCTTTCTGATATTAATTTGTTATGGTGTGATGTACAGTTTATTTTCATTTTTCCCACATGAACATATAAATTATCCAGCACCATTTATTGGAAAGACTCTATTCCTTCCCTACTATCTGCACTGTCAATTTTTGCCATATTTCGAGTGGTCATGTATTTATGGATTTGTTTCTAAACGCTTCATTCTGTTCCATTGATTCATTTGTCATTTTGCTTGGACACCACATTGTTGTAATTACTACAACTTTATGAAGAGTCTTAATATCCTCTAGAATACTTCCCTCCAGCCCCCAGATAGTCTGGGCTATTCTTACCTTTTTCAGAGAATCAGGTTGTCAGTTTCTACAAGTATCTGTGCTAGGGTTTTGATGGGAATTTTCCTGAATTTATGAAGCAATTTGGAGAAAATTAATTTTCACAGATTGCTATTGTGAACAGTGCTGTGATGAACATACTAGTGCATGTTTCTTTTTGTTAGAATAATTTGTTTTCCTTTGGGTATATACCCAGTAATGGTATTGCTGGATCGAATGATAGTTCTGTTTTAAGTTCTCTGAGAAATCACCAAACTGTGTTCTACAGAGGGTGAACTAATTTACATTCCCACCAGCAGGCCATAAGAGTTTCCTTTTCTCCACAACCTCATCATCATCTGTTATTGTTTGAGTTTTAAATAATAGCCATTCTGATTTGTAGGAGATAGTATTTCATTGTGGTTTTGATTTACATCTCTATAATGATTAGTGATGTTGAGCATCTTTTCAGATATTTGTTGGCTGCATGTACATCTTCTTTTGAGAAGTGTCTCTTCTTATCCTTTGCCCATTTTAAAGATGGGATTATTTGTTTCTTTCTTGTTAAGTTCCTTATAGATTCTGGATATTATACCTTTGTCAGATGCATCGCTTAAGAATATTTTCTTTCATTCTGTAGGCTATTTACTCTGTTGATAGTTTCTTTTGCTGTACAGAAGCTCTTTAATTAGGGCCCACTTGTTGATTTTTTTGTTGCAATTGCTCATGGGGACTTAATCATAAATTTTTTGCCCAGGCCAATGTCCTGAATGGTATTTGCTAGGTTTTCTTCTGGAATTTTTGTAATTTGAGGCCTGACATTTAAATCTTTAATCCATCTTCAGTTAATTTTTGTATGTGGTAAGAGGAAGGGGTCCAGTTTTACTCTTCTGCATATGGCTAGCCCGTTATCCCAGTGTACTCCCACCACTCACTATATACAAAATTGGGAGTCTTTTTCCCATTGCTTGGTATTGTTGACTTTGTTGAAGATCAGACGGTTTTAGGTGTGCAACTTTATTTCTGTGTTCTCTGTTATTCGATTATTTTGGATTAATTCTTTGCATGCAATCATATAATTTACCAACTATGACAGTTTTATTGCTTTCTTTCTAATCTTATTTCTTTCTAATCTAATCTTTCTAATCTTATCTTTCTAATCTAATCTTTTCTAATCTTTCTTTGTAATCCCTTTTCTTGTTTTATCATGCTGATTAGGTCCTCCAATGCAATGTTAAAGTGATAAAATGTGTCATTACTCATCTCAGTGAAAAGCTTTCAATATTTTACCATTAAATATTGGATAGGTATTTTGTACATTTTATCTAAGGTTGTTTACTTTTATTCCATGTTTTTGTAACATAACACATTGAATTTTATCAAGTACGTTATACATTTATTGAGACATTTAACTTTTCTTGTTTGTTTTGTAAATGGAGTATATTATACTCATTGATTTTTCAGTGTTAAACCAAACATATATTGTTTGATGGTAATGTGTATATGTAATTTATTTGTGAATTTGAGGAAGTTTTTATCAGTGTTCCTGCCTTGGTGTGACTTTATTTATCCTGCTGAGTTTGAACCACATTTCTGGAATCCTTACCTTCATATCTTTTATCAGTTTGGAGAAAATCTTTTTATTATCACTTTATACATTCTTTTCCACATATTCTCCTTTCTTCTTGGACTTCAGTTATACATGTTAGACTTTTAATCATGTCTCATATATCTCATATTCTTTACTCTTTCTCTCATATTTTGTCTTCCAATGCTTCAGACTTAATATTTTCTTATGACTTTCTTCTATCACTTACTCTTCCCTAAGTTGTTTTTAATCTATAATGGAACCCAACAATTTAGTCACAATATCTGTTATTGAATTTTATAACTCTTGAATTTCAATTTTTCTTTTACAGTTATTATTTGCTAAAAATTTTTTATTTATTCACAGTTTCTTGGCCACATTAGTAACAGTTTTTATAAAATCTATGTGTCTTAACTCTAATAACTAGGTTCTCTATGATTTTTTTACAGATTTGTTTTTTCCTTTTAATTTTTCTGAGTTATAATTATTTTGTAATTGTGGTTATTTTTGATTGAATGCTGGGAATTTGTATGAAAACTTTTAGGATAATTTGGATCTGTGACTCATGTTATCTTTTTCTAAGGAATATTTACTTCTATTTCTGGTAGGTACTTAGGATAGAGGTAGACCACCTAATCCAGAGACTGGGCTTTTTTGTAAATGCTGATCTCCTTTTTGGGTATAGTCTTTCCACAATTTCAAATGAAAGTCAGAGATGTTTACAAAAAGCCCTCCTTGGCATGTCCTAAAATCAATTTTTTGTCTCTCCAGCCCATGAAATTTAAAAATCTCTGTTCAGATTCTCAGTCACTCTGCAGGGACTTTCATATGTACAATTGCCTCAAGGGGAATAACTGAGCCACACATCTGGCCTGCCTAAGTGGTATTTATTTACCCCTGAATTTTAGCTACTCACATTCTTACTGCCTTGTTAGCTTTTTGATACTTGTAAACAGATGTTTGTAAATATTGTTTTCATCTTTTTTGGTTATTTTTATCAGAAAGGATTAGTTTGAAAGAAGCTTATCTGCCTGATATTCCATTAACATGCTGCAGGTTTTTAATTTCATTACATTTTCTTCTCTCTCTCTCTATGTCTCACTCACTCTCTCTCTCTCTCTCTCTGTGTGTGTGTGTGTGTGTGTGTGTGTGTGTATAGGTAGACCTTGAAGATATTGTGGATTCAGTTCCAGACCACAGCAATAAAAGTGAATATTGCAATAAAGTCACACAATATTTTTGTTTTCCCAGTACAAATAAAAGTCATGTTTACACTGTAGACTATTAGGTGTGCAATAGGATCAACTCTTAAAAACGTATATACTGTAATTAAAAAATACTTTGCTAAATTGCTAAATAAATTGCTAAAAATACTAATGATCATTTGAGCCTTAATTGAATCATAATCTTTTTGCTGGTGGAGCGTCTTGCCTCGATGTTAATTGCTGCTGATTGATCAGAGTGATGGTTGGTGAAAGTTGGAGGCCTGTGGCTATTTTCTTAAAATAAGACAACAATGAAGCTTGCCACATCAATTGAGCCTTTCTTTCACAAAATATTTCTCTGTAGCATGTGATGCTGTTTGACAGCATTTTACCCACAGTAGAACTTTCAAAATTTAAGTCTATTCTCTCAAATCCTGCCACTGCTTTATTAACTGTGCTGATGTAATATTCTAAGTCCTTTGTTGTCATTTCCACAGTGTTTACAGATTCTTCACCAGGTGTAGATTCCATCTTAAAAAAAATACCTTTTTTGCTAATCCATAATAAGCAACTCCTCATCTGTTCAAGCTTTATGAGATTGCAGAAATTCAGTCAGATCTTCAAGCTCCACTTCTAATTCTAGCTTTTTTGCTATTTCCATTACCTCTGCAGTTATTTTCTCCACTAAAGTTTTGAATCCCTCTAAGTTATCCCTGGGGGTTGGAATAAACTTTCAAAACTCCTGTTAATGTTGATATTTTAACCTCCTCTCACAATCTCAAATGTTTTTAGTGGCATGTAGAATGGTGAAACTTTTCCAGAGGTTTTCAATTTACTTTTCCCAGATCCATAAGAAGAATCAATCTATGGTAGCTACAGCCTTACAAAATGTATTTCTTAAATAATGAGGCTTGAGTGTTAAAATTACTCCTTGATCCATAGGCTACTATATGTATGTTTTGTTAGCAGGCATGAAAACAACATTAATCTTCTTGTGCATTTCCATCACAGATTTTGGGTGTTCAGGTTCATTGTCAACAAGCAGTAATATCTTGAAAGAAATCTTTTTTCCTGTAGGTATCAACAGTGGGCTTAAAATAGTCAGTTTATATCATGGTATAAATGTGCTGTCATTCAGGCTTTGTTGTTCCACTTATAGAACACAGGCAGAGTAGATATAATTCTTAAAGGCTGTAGGATTATGGGAATGGTCAATCAGCCTTGGCTTCAACTGAAAGTCACCAGCTACATTAGCCCCTAATAAGAGAGTCAGCCTGTTCTTTGAAACTTTGCAGTCAGGCATTAATTTCTCTCTAGCTATGAAAGTCCTAGATGGTATCTTCTTCCAATAGAAGGCTGTTTCATCTACATAGAAAATCTATTGCTTGGCTGGGTGTGGTGGCTCATGCCTGTAATCCCAGCGCTTTGGGAGGCCGAGGTGGGCGGATCACCTGAGGGCAGGAGATCAAGACCAACCTGGCTAACTCGGTGAAATCCTGTCTCTACTAAAAATACAAAAATTAGCCAGGTGTGGTGGCATGTGCCTGTAGTCCCAACTCAGGAGGCTGAGGCAGGAGAATTGCTTAAACCCAGGAGGCAGAGGTTGCAGTGAGCTGAGATGGTGCCACTGTACTCCAGCCTGGTCAACAGAGCAAGATGCTTGTTATCAACGATGTTAGCTAGACCTCCTTGAATACTTGCTGCAGCTTCTACATCAGCACTTGGGCTTCCTCACCTTTTTCAGCCTTCATAGAATTGAAGTTAGGGCCTTGCACTGGATTAGGCTTTGGCTAAAGGGAACATTGTGGCCAGTTTGATATTCCATCCAGACCACTAAAAGTTTCTTCATATCAGTAAATAAGCTATTTCATTTTCTTATCATGCATGTGTTCAGTGGACTAGCACTTTTAATTTCCTTTAAGAACTCTTTTTTTTTCCGTTCACAACTTAGTGTTTGTTGCAGGAAGCCTGACTTTGGCCTATCTTGGTTTTCAACAAACTTTCTTCATTAAGTTTAATCATTTCTAACTTTTGATTTAAAGTAAGAGACTTGTGACTCCTCTTTTTACTTGAAAACTGAGAGGCCATTGCAGGATTATTGATTGGCCTAATTTCAATATTGTTGTGTCTCAGGGAATAGGGAGACCTGAGGAGAGGGAGAAAGATAAGGGAATGGCTGATCAATGGGACATTCAGAACACACACATTTATAAATTAAAATTTTCATCTTTTATGGGCTCAGTGTGTGGCACCCCAAGACAATGACAATAATACTGTCAAAGATCACTGATCACAGATCACCATAACAAATATAACAATGAAAAGGTTAAAATATTGCAAGAATTAACAAAATGTGACACAGAAACATGAAGTGAGTACATGCTGTTAGAAAAATGGCACCAATAGATTTGCTCAATGCAGGGTTGCCGCAAACCTTCAATTTGTTAAAAAAAAAAAACTACAATATCTGTGATGTGTGATAGAGCAAAGCACGATAAAATGAGGCACGCCTGCATATGCTTACAGATACATATACACACATGCACACTCTGCCTAGTTACATGTAACACTTTTTTATACATCTCTTAATTTAACTTTCAATTCTTTTATGATATTAGCATATGCATTTTATGTTCTGTAGCCTTCAATTTCTGCAGTCATTGCATATCTCATGCCATTGTGGCTTTTGTATGTTCTTGCTCAAGAAGGCTTATTTTCTCATTTCTTTTTGTGTGTATGTTTTCTCATGAGTTCACGATTTTAGCAATTTTGCCTATGATACTTCTTTGAAGTTTAAATTTTTCACATGGGTTTGAATTATAACTTCAAACCCATATGAATATGTGTTTAAGGGGAACTTATTTTTTTCTTTCTCTTCATTCATAGACAATGCTGACATAGGAAACTATCCATTTTAGCACTTTTTCTCTAGTGTGTCATCCTTCCATGGCCCTATTTTTATGTGGATGTCTTCAATCTAACCTCTCAGCATTCTCAGTCTTCAGATTTTGTCTCCTGTCCTCCCATCCAATAAACACTTTACAACTGAGGTTATGGGCCACTGTAGATTCCCAAGTTCTCCTAGACAAATTGCAGGCTCAGATCTTCTTTTATTATCCCTGTAGACTTCTAGACTTGGGTCATTTATTCCCCTTACTTGTCTTTCTTAATGCAAGCTACTTTTAATATCTTACATATCTTTTTTGTTTCTTATGCATTATAATATGTCTCCTTCTACAGCAAGTCCATTATATTACCAAATGTATACACTTAAGTGCTGTCAGATTGATTCTGATAAATTTCAAATAGAAACCATTAGAAGTATTTATTTAGCAGGCAATATGACAATGTGTGCTCTCATGGGTAAATATCTTAAAAAGAGCAGTCTTTTAATCTTCATGTTGGCAAGTAAACTCAGCATGTTAAATAAAATATATGCTCTAAGTATTTGAGTATAGTGTTTCATCATTACGTTTTAGGGGTTGATGAAAGTAATTCAGAGTCAAGATCCTTATTTAGATTTATGACATAGACAATGACAACAAATTAGCTAAAATATATCTAGTTATTTATTTAGCAGATGATACACATATATTTGAAAAACAGGAGAGAAAAAGTTCTGCCAAATTCTGTAAATAAGTAATGGCTGTAAATACTTACTCCATCCTGTTTTTAAATTTTATGTGAAGACTTTAGACCCAATTCTAACCCTACTTGTGATCTGATACTTTATGACTGTCTCAGTTCTTAGAAAGGTGTGTGAATGCATGGTCAATAAGCTATGCAGAATAAAAAGTGATTTAAAGTCATTTAAATTTGCATAGCAGTAATTATCTTCATGAAGGATAGTTAACTCTTCTTGTTGAATTTAACCCTTTACCATTATGTAGTGTCCTTCTTTGTCATTTTTTTATTTTTGTTGGTTTAAAGTCTGTTTGTCAGAAACTAGAATTGCAACCCCTGCTTTTTTCTGTTTTCCATTTTCTTGGTAGATTTTCCTCCATCCCTTTATTTTGAGCCTATGTGTGTCACTGCACATGAGATGGGTCTCTTGAAGACAGCATACTAACGGGTCTTGTTTCTTTATCCAGCTTGTGACCCTGTGTTTTTTAATTGGGGATTTAGCTCATTTACATTTAAAGTTAGTATTGACATGTTTGGATTTGATCTTGTCTTCATGATGTTGGCTGGTTATTTTGCAGATTTTCCTATGTGTTGGCTTTGTAGTGTCACTGGTCTGTGTACTTCAATGTGTTTTTATAGTGGCTGGTAACAGTCTTTCCTTTCCATATTTAATGCTTCCTTCAGGAGATATTTTAAAGCAGGTTGGTTAGTAACAAATTCCCTCAGCATTTACTTGTCTGAAAGGATTTTATTTCTCCTTTGCTTATGAAGTTTAGTTTGGCCAGACTTGAAATTCTGGATTGGAATTTGTTTTCTTTTAGAATGTTGAATATTGGGCCCCAATCTCTTCTGGCTTTCAAAGTTTCTGCTGAGAGGTCCGGTACTAGTCTGATAGGCTTACCTTTGTAGGTGACCTGGTCTTTCTCTCTGGCTGCCCTTAACATTTTTTTCTTTTGTTTTGATTTTGGAGAATCTGATGATTATTACTCTTGGGGATTATCTTCCTATGGAGTATCTTACTGGGGTTTTCTGCATTTCCTGAATTTGAATGTTGCCCTGTCTATCTAGGTCAGGGAAGTTCTCATGGGTGACATCTTGAAATATGTTTTCCAAATTGGTTCCCTTCTCCCCATCTTTTTCAGGTACACCAATCAGTCATAGATTTTGTCTCTTTACTTAATCCCACATTTCTCAGAAGGTTTGTTCATTCCTTTTTATTCTTTTATCTATTTTTGTCAGCCTGTCTATTTCAAAAAGAGTCTTCAAGCTCTGAGATTCCTTCCTCTGCTTGGTCTGCTCTGCTATTAGTGCTTGTGATTGCATTATGGAATTCTTGTATTGTGTTTTTCAGCTCTATCAGTTTAGTTACATTCTTCTCTATACTGGCTATTTTGTCTGTCAGCTCCTGAAATGTTGTATCATGATTTCTAGCCTTGCATTGTGTTACAATGTGCTCCTTTAGCTCAGTGAAGTTGGGGGATTTTATCCATATTCTGAATTCTATTTCTATAATTTCAACTATATCAATCTCAGCCCAGTTCCAAACCTGTGCTGGAGAGGTGATGTGGTCATGTGGAGGAAAGAGGCCACTCTGGCTTTTTGAGTTTTCAGTGTTCTTGCACTGATTCTTCCTCATCTTTGTGGACTTATTTACCTCCAATCTTTGAGGTTGCTGACCTTTGGATGGTTTTTTGTTTGTTTGGTTGGTTTTTTAACAGTCTGGCTGCTTTTCCATAAGGCTGCTGCAGTTTTCTCAGGGTCTGCTCCAGTCCCTAGTCACTTTAGATTTTCCAGTACCTAAAGGTATTGCTAGCTGTATTAGTCCATGTTCATGCTGCTGATAAAGACATACCTGAGACTGGGCAATTTACAAAAGAAAGAGATTTATTGGACTAAAAGTTACACATGGCTGGGAAGGCCTCACAATCATGGTGGAAGACAAGGAGAAGCAAGTCACATCTTATGTGAATGATGGCAGGCAAAGAGCTTTTGCATGGAAACTCTGTTTTTAAAAACGATCAGATTTTGTGAGACCCATTCACTATCACAGGAACAGCATGGGAAAGACCCACCCCCAGGATTCAACCATCTCCCACCAAGTCTTTCCCACAACATGTGGAAATTATAGGAGCTACAAGATGAGATTTCGGTGGGGACACAGAGCCAAACCATATCACCAGTGAAGGCTGCAAAACAGCAAAGAAGGTGGCCTGCTCCTTCCTCTGAGAGCTCTGTCCCAGGGAGGTATGGATTTGTTGCCAGCCAGAATGCACCTGTAGGATATGGCTGGAGACCCTGCTTGGGAGGTCTCACCCAGTCAGGGGAAACAGGATTGGAAATCTGCTTAAAGAAGTAGTCCGGCCACACTTTCATAGAGTAGCTGTGCTGTACTAGGAGATTCCTTCTGCTCCCAGTCAGTTTGGATTCTCCAAAGTTTGCTGGCTCGAATAGCTGAGTTGCCCAAACAGCAAAGATGGTGGCCCATCCCTCCCTCTGGGAACTCTGTCCAGGGAGAACTCAAATTTCTATTAGCCTGAGAACACCGGCAGGGTTGGCCAGAGGCCCCATTTGGGAGGTTCCACTCAGTGTGGAGGAACAGTTTGGGGACCACTTAAATAAGCAGTCTGGCCACGTTTTGGTAGAGCAACGGATCCCTTCCATCCCCAGTCAGTTTGGACTCTCCAAAGCCTGCAGGCTGGAATAGCTGAGTTGTCCAAACAACAAAGAAGGCGGTCCACCCCTTTCCTCAGGAATTCTGTCCCAGGTAGGGGTGACACTGTTGCTGGTAGTTGGCTGGAATTCCAAACCAGTGGGTCTTACCCTGTGAGGTGCTGTGGAAGTGGGGCCAGCAGACCATCACCGCTTAGCCTCCTGGATTCAGCATCCTTCCTAGAAGTATGTACAGAGGTACAACTTCCCACCTTGCCAGAAATGCAGTCACTTTTGCCAGGAAGACTGCAGCTGAAGTATGTAAAGCTCCTGGGTCTCTGCATGTGCCTAAGCATCTGCTCTGCTGAGACTCTACACAGTTCTTCTGTTTCTCAAACTGAAGGCCCTGGTGGAGTGGATTCACGAGAGGATCTCCTGACCTGAGGGTTGCAAGGATCCATGGGAGCAGTGTGGCTTTCCTGACTTGTACATTCACTTACCTCTTCCCTGGGTTGGGGAGGTTCCCCTGGCTCCATGTCACTCCCGGGTGAGCCATCATCCTGTCTTGCTTTTCTTTATTCTCCGTGGGTCGATATTTTTCCTTGATTAGTCCCAGTGCAAGTACCTGGATGTTTCAGTTGATGGTGTTGCATTTATTCACCCCTTTTGTTCCTCTCCATGAGCGCTACATACCATTGCTGCTTCTAGTTGGCCATCTTGGCCCAAATCCAATGTCTATTAATACATGCATATAATATACTTAAGAAAAAAATTACTCTATTATAAAATATGTGTATATTCATTTTGCAAAAGTAATGCCATGTTACTTTCCAAACTAGTTAAATTAATTTACAATTCTGCCACAACTCACCATTGTTACTAATTCACCTTTTCATTATTTTACCGTCCATCCATTTATAAATGACTTCTATTAATTTATATGTAAAAGGCAGAGCTGAGGGAGGCTGAGGCAGGAGAATCACTTGAGCCCAGGAGGCAGAGGTTGCAGTAAGCTGAGACTGTGCCATTGCACTCCAGCCTGGTGACAGAGTGTGACTCTGTCTCAAAAAAAAAAAAAAAAAAAAAAAAATAGAGCTGAAAAAGAGCAAGTTCCATTTCCTAGTGGAATATAACACTTTGGAGCAGGCATATTCTTCCTTTGAAACAACTATTCAAGCCAGAAATTTTACAAAAATTATACACATAAAAGTAGGACTAGAAAAATTTAAATTCTAGAGAAGGGAGAAAGTTTTGGAGGTTATGAAGTTGTCCATATGGGTATTAGCCAACCTTGGGTTTAGGGTAAACACTACAAATAAGCTCAAGCTTTAGTTTTGAGTATTCTTATTGCTGTACAGTTTTGCTAATGTTTGATCATAACTATATTTTCAAATTTTAGAGTGTAATGAAATGCCTTTAGTTTGCCTATTCTGATCTTTAATAAGATGGATTATCTTTTCATATATTTATTTGACCTTTGCATTTCCTCTTCAATGAAAATCTGTCCATATTTTTGCTATACTCTCTATTAGATTGTCTTTTCTCATTTATTCATAGAAATTCTTTGTACATGATATAAAGTATTATTTTTTATATATATGCAACATATACAAAAAGTGCAAGCTCCAGTTTGTGGACTACATTTTCACTTATTTTGAGATGTCTCTTGAGGAATGGAGTCTTATTTCTAACGTAGTTATATTTAACAATCTTTTCCTTTATGGTTAATCTTTTTTGTGGTTCATTATTGCATTTCTATATGTTTGATGTAGATTTGTTTTATCAGGTAAGAACATTTACATTTATTCCTAAGTTTTGAAGGGCTTATATCATATATGTTTTTCAGAAATTGGCTATCAGATAGAAGCTTTCAATGCATATATTTAAATAATTTTAATTTGTTACCAAGGTAAATTATGTCAACACATTGAAAAATATTAAACCAAGATTATGTGTACATATATATATATATATACACACACATATATATATATATATTTTTTTTTTTTTGGGGGGATGGAGTCTTGCTCTGTCACCAGGCTGGAGTACAGTGGCATGGTCTCAGCTCACTGCAACCTCCACCTCCCGGGTTCAAGTGATTCTCCTGCCTTAGCCTCCCAAGTAGCTGGGACTACAGGCACACACCACCATGCCCAGCTAATTTTTGTAATTTTAGTAGAGATGGGGTTTCACCGTGTCAGCCAGGGTGGTCTTGATCTCTTGACCTTGTGATCCACCTGATTATATTTCTTATATAATCCCAACTTGAGCAAGAGCTAATACTTTTATAAACAACCGATTTTGGTTTTCTAATATTTTATTTACGATTTTTGCATGTATAGTTAGCTCTGAGATTCTTCTGTAATTTTGTCTCATTTGGTCCTTTCTAAGTTTTTTTATGTCACTGTTATTGTAGGTGCATAAGATGAATTGTATAGTTTTTTCCTCCTTTTCTATTGACTGAAAGATTTTGTATAAGTTTGGAATTAATTATATAGTAGGTAAAATTTACCACTGACACTATGTGGGCTTTCTTTGAGCATATTTAACTATTCATTTTATTACTTATTACAAGATTATTCAGCTTTTCTACTTCTACTTAAGTCATTTTGTTAAGTTATATTGTTTTAAAAATATTTAAAATATTTTTAGAACAATATAAATGTTTTTACGTTTAAGTTTTAAAAGCTGAGCTACAATTTTCATAATTCTCTTATTTTAAAATTTGATTTTTCTTATAAGAAACTTAATTGGAGTTGCATCAGAGAATGTAATTGGATTACATCTGATAGATTTTGTAATTTGCTATCATGCTTTATGGGAGTAATATTTTAATAGTCCCCTGCCTCTAGAGTATAGTCTGCACTTGTTAGATGCAGTGTCAAGTATATGTCTATAAGAACAACTTTTTAGTATATTGCTCAACTCTTCTATACCTATATATTTTTATGTGGTTTGTTAATTACTGAGAGAAGTATGATTATGTTTTTTAATATCACAACTATCTTAGTCAGCTTAGGATGCCATAACAAAATACCATAAACTAGGTGACTTGACCAACAGACATCCATTCCTCACAGCTCTTGAAGCTGGGAAGTACAAGATCAAAGTGCTGGCAGATTTGGTGTCTGGTAAGGTCCTCTTCTTGCTTGTTGATGGCTATCTCTTGCTGTTTTCTCACATGTCTGGGAGAGAGAGACAGAGACAGAGAGAGAGGGTGCTCTGGTCTCTTCTTTTTTTTTTTAATTATACTTTAAGTTTTAGGGTACATGTGCACAATGTGCAGGTTAGTTACATATGTATACATGTGCCATGTTGGTGTGCTGAACCCAGTAACTTGTCATTTAACATTAGGTATATCTCCAAATGCTATTCCTCCCCTCTCTCCCCACCCCACAACAGGCCCCAGTGTGTGATGTTCCCCTTCCTGTGTCCATGTGTTCTCATTGTTCAATTCCCGCCTATGAGTGAGAACATGCGGTGTTTGTCTTTTTTGTCCTTGTGATAGTTTGCTGAGAATGATGGTTTCCAGCTTCATCCATGTCCCCACAAAGGATGAACTCATCATTTTTTATGGCTGCATAGTATTCCATGGTGTATATGTGCCACATTTTCTTAATCCAGTCTATCATTGTTGGACATTTGGGTTGGTTCCAAGTCTTTGCTATTGTGAATAGTGCCGCAATAAACATACGTGTGCATGTGTCTTTATAGCAGCATGATTTATAATCCTTTGGGTATATACCCAGTAATGGGATGGCTGGGTCAAATGGTATTTCTAGTTCTAGATCCTTGAGGAATCGCCACACTGACTTCCACAATGGTTGAACTAGTTTACAGTCCCACCAACAGTGTTCCTATTTCTCCACATCCTCTCCAGCACCTGTTTTTTCCTGACTTTTTAATGATCGCCATTCTAACTGGTGTGAGATGGTATTTCATTGTGGTTTTGATTTGCATTTCTCTGATGGCCAGTGATGATGAGCATTTTTTCATGTGTCTTTGGCTGCATAAATGTCTTCTTTTGAGAAGTGTCTGTTCATATCCTTCGTCCACTTTTTGATGGAGTTGCTTGTTTTTTTTCTTGTAAATTTGTTTGAATTCATTGTAGATTCTGGATATTAGCCCTTTGTCAGATGGATAGATTGCAAAAATTTTCTCCCACTCTGTAGGTTGCCTGTTAACTCTGATGGTAGTTTCTTTTGCTGTGCAGAAGCTCTTTAGTTTAATTAGATCCCATTTGTCAATTTTGGCTTTTGTTGCCATTGCTTTTGGTGTATTAGACATGAAGTCCTTGCCCATGCCTATGTCCTGAATGGTATTGCCTAGGTTTTCTTCTAGGGTTTTTATGGTTTTAGGTCTAACATTTAAGTCTTTAATCCATCTTGAATTAATTTTTGTATAAGGTATAAGGAAGGGATCCAGTTTCAGCTTTCTACGTACATATGGCTAGCCAGTTTTCCCAGCACCATTTATTAAATAGGGAATCGTTTCCCCATTTCTTGTTTTTGTCAGGTTTGTCAAAGATCAGATGGTTGCAGATATGCGGCATTATTTCTGAGGGCTCTGTTGTGTTCCATTGGTCTATATCTCTGTTTTGGTACCAGTACCATGCTGTTTTGGTTACTGTAGCTTTGTTGTATAGTTTGAAGTCAGGTAGCGTGATGCCTCCAGCTTTCTTCTTTTGGCTTAGGATTGACTTGGTGATGCGGGCTCTTTTTTCATTCCATATGAACTTTAAAGTAGTTTTTTCCAATTCTGTGAAGAAAGTCATTGGTAGCTTGATGGGGATGGCATTGAATCTATAAATTACCTTGGGCAGTATGGCCATTTTCACGATATTGATTCTTCCTACCCATGAGCATGGAATGTTCGTCCATGTGTTTGTATCCTCTTTTATTTCATTGAGCAGTGGTTTGTAGTTCTCCTTGAAGAGTTTCTTCACGTCCCTTATAAGTTGGATTCCTAGGTATTTTATTCTCTTTGAAGCAATTATGAGTGGGAATTCACCCATGATTTGGCTCTCTGTCTGTTATTGGTGTATAAGTATGCTTGTGATTTTTGTACGTTGATTTTGTATCCTGAGACTTTGCTGAAGTTGCCTATCAGCTTAAGGAAATTTTGGGCTGAGACGATGGGGTTTTCTAGATATACAATCATGTCATGTGCAAACAGGGACAATTTGACTTCCTCTTTTCCTAATTGAATGCCCTTTATTTCCTTCTCCTGCCTGATTGCTCTGGCCAGTCTCTTCTTATAAGGACAGTAATCCCACCATGAGGCTCTACCCTAATGACTTCATCTAAACTTAATTACTTCCAAATATCGTTACATGGAGGATTAGATCCAGTTTCAGCTTTCTACATACATATGGCTAGCCAGTTTTCCAAATCATATACATTTGGGAGGAGGGGACACAAACATTCAGTCCATCATAAGAATAGCTTATTGAAATTTAGTTTGTATACCATAAAAGTCATTCATTTAAAGCATACAATACAATAATTTTTAGTAGTTTTAGAGTTGTACAACCATCATAACAATTTTAGAACATTTTTATCACTCGGAAAAGAAACATCAAGCCTATTGGTAGTCCCTCCCGATTTCCCCCTTCCCCTCCTTCCCTAACCACAGTACTAGGCAATCATTAATGTACTTTCTGTTTCTATAAATTTGCCTATTCTGGACATTTTACATAAGTGGAGTCATGAAACATGTGGTGTTTTGTGTCTGGATTCTTTCACTTAGCATATTGTTTTCAATGCATTCATGTATAACATGTATCCATACTTCATTTTTTCTATGTCCAAATATTTTATTATATGGATACACCACATTTGATTTATCCATTCATCAGTTGACAGACATTTGAGTGTTTCCCACTCCTTGGCTATTATAAATAATGCTGCCATAAATATTTACTTTTTATTTTTTTTTTTATTTTTTAAATTTTTATTCTTTTAATTTTCTTGAGACGGAGTCTCACTCTGTCGCAGGCTGGAGTGCCGTGGTGCTATCTCTGCTCACTGTAACTTCCATCTCCCTGGTTCAAGTGATTCTCCTGCCTCAGCCTCCTGAGCAGCTGGGATTACAGGCATGTGCCACGGCGCCTGGCTATTTTTTGTATTTGTTGTAGAGATGGGCTTTCACCCTGTTGGCCCGGCTGGTCTCAAACTCCTGACCTCAAGTAATCCACCCGTCTCGGCCTCCCAAAGTGCTGGGATTACAGGCATGAGACACTGCACCTGGCCCATAAATATTTATATACATGTTTCTGCATGGGTTTCTCTTGGGCATATAGCTAGAAGTACAATTGCTGGTCATATGATAACTCTAACCTTTTGAGGAACTGCTGGACTATTTTCCAAAGGAGTTGCATCACTTTACATTTCGACTAGTAGTGTGAAAATGTTCCAATTTCTCCACATTCTCACCAATACTTACTGTATTTTTGATTCTAGCCATCCTAGAGGGTATAAAGTAGTATCTCACTGTGGTTTTAATATGAAATTCCCTGGGGCTAAGATTATTATTTTTAAATTTCTGTTAATTTTTTATATATTTTGAAGCTCACTTCTTACATGCATACCTCATTAGAATGCTCATATATTCCTGGTAAAATGAATATTGTATTATTATGTAGTAATACTATATTTCTGGCTAAATGCTGCCTAAATGTCTTATTGAACTACCAAAATACTTGATAGTGATTATTTTATTAGTATTTCTTGAATTATTTTTGGTAGATATTTATTTTTATCATTGTAAGAAATCTTTATTTTTCTATAACTGCTTCATTTTCCTAATAACCTATTCTTATTAATGATAAATTAATTATCCTTTTGATTTTCACTGAAATTACAAATTGTGTATTTTAAAAATATCATCCCTGCTTTTCAACCAAACCTTTCTAAATAATCAATATATATGCATTTTTTACATTCAGGCTGCTGATTATCATTCGTTGTGAAATTATTTTCTATTTCTTCTCACTATAAAAAATGACAGCTTGGGTTGATCAATATATTAGACCATTATAGGCTAATCGATACCATAAATATCAGTAACACACACAGCAAGATACATTTTTTGGCCACATGAAGCATGTTGCAGATGTTCCTGGCCAAGCAGTTCTTTGATTTATGACTATCTCAGGTAAGAAAAAAATACGTAGAAGTATAGAAAAGTAGACCTATTCACTCTGAGGCCTGTGAACTCCAAAGAAACAGTCAGAGGGCAGTCAAGATTCAAGAGCAGGCAAAATAGACTTTGCTTCTCCATTAAGAGGAAAGCAGCCACTTCTTTGTGTATTAAAACTGCCATCAGCTGCAGGTGACAGCTAACGTAGCAGTAACACAAGGCATAAGTGGATGGATTAGGCTCACAGCCTTAGGGAAGATACATGACCACTAAGTAAGTTGAAGATCTTTCTGGGCCTTAGAAAATGCATGGGGTTTGGAGGGCATTAACAAAGCAGAGGCCTGTGAGAGACTCTGCTGAATGTGAGGATGAGGCCGCTCAGCCCTCATCCTGTGGTTGCATGGGACTCAGCAAAGGCATAGGGTGTAGTTCAGATAAGTTTGACCAATTCCTTTGCAGGCTTGGCTGATGCAGAACTATCAATTATACAGAAACTAATTCTTATGTATATAGGCTCTTGATGCTTTGGAGAGAGCATTGTTTGTTGCTTTTACTTTTCAAAATTTTGTAGCTCCAACTGTCCCACAGAGAAAGCTAGATGCTTTAATTTACTGGTGCTAGATTGGCAATGCTCATTAGTTACCCTAAACTCAATTTTGCACTTAGGGCCTAGGAATATACTAACTTTGCATACATGTAGCTTGCTCTACAGACCCAAGAGACACTGCCTCCTACTACATTATGTGGTCTCAAGTTGGCTCAAAACTTGCTAATTGTCTGAAGAATGATGAGGTTAATAAATCTGAAAAGGAGAACTTTGTTTCTCGTACAGGTTTGCAGCCTGCAGGGTGGTTGTTCTGTTTTTTGTTTTTTGTTTTTTGTTTTTTGGGTGGGGGGGCATCAATCCATAGATTCATTCATTTATTTATTTATTTTTTCTTTTTTTGTTTTTCTGGATTTTTTTAAAATTATACTTTAAGTTCTAGTGTACATGTGCACAACGTGCAGGTTTGTTACATAGGAATACATGTGCCATGTTGGTTTGCTGCACCCATCAACTCGTCATTTACATTAGGTATTTCTCCTAATGCTATCCCTCCCCCATTCCCCCCGGCCATGACGGGCCCCGGTGTGTGATGTTCCCCGCCCTGTGTCCAAGTGTTCTCATTGTTCAACTTCCACCTATGAATGAGAACATGTGGTGTTTGCTCTTCTGTCCTCGTTATAGTCTGCTCAGAATGATAGTTTCCAGCTTTATCCATGTCCCTGCAAAGGACGTGAACTCATGCCTTTTTATAGCTGCATAGTATTCCATGGTGTATGTGTGCCACATTTTCTTAATCCAGTCTATCACTGATGAACATTTGGGTTGGTTCCAAGTCTTTGCTATTGTGAATAGTGTCGCAATAAACATACATGTGCATGTGTCTTTATAGTAGCATGATTTGCAATCCTTTGGGTATATACCCAGTAGTGGGATCGCTGGGTCAAATGGTATTTCTGGTTCTAGATCCTTGAGGAATCACCACACTGTCTTCCACAATGCTTGAACTAATTTACACTCAGGGTAGTCGTTCTGACAGGCTGGGAAATTATAGCCTCTGACCAGAAGCTGGAAACAGACACTTTGAAGAAGGGGCAAAGGAAACAGGAATTTATGCTGAGTAGGGTGGCCAAATATTCATATTTAGTAAGCTATAGGAGAAGTCATCAATATTTATGAAAGGAGAAACAGGTGTATATGCAATTGAGTTTCATGCCCCTTTATAAATTGCATGTACAAAAAATGGCATCATCGGCATCATCCATGGGTAGAGTTTTTGACCTTTTGAGGTCAAAAGGTGAAGCAGAGGAGAGGAAAACTCTCACTGCACATCCTCCATAGACTGGTCAGAACCCCTCCGTGGTTGGAGGTCTCCTACTAGGAAGGAATGCTGGTTGGTTGTTGTGTCAAAACTGCAAAAGGGAGGGGCAGGGGCAGGTGGTTGGTTTATATCAGTGGTGGATTCTTTCAAAAGGGCTGGTTTTTGTTTAGCCCTTAGAGCAGGAAGCCTAATGACAGTTAGTGAGGGAGGGGATATAACAAGGCAAGGTATGTCTGGTTTCCCATGCTGTCGTGACTGGAAATTCAGCTTCCAAAGTTTCTCTGGGGTCCCCTTGGTCAAGAGAAGGTCCATTCAGTTGGCTGGGGGGCTTTGGATTTTATTTTTATTTCTCACAATTATACTTGAGTGAGAGAACGTCCTTATGAAGCAGGTTTCTCAGGACTGAGCACTTCCATAGCAAGAGACAATGGAGCAGCCACTGTAGCCCAGAACTGCTCAAGAGTGAAATGGCTGTGTCACTAGGGAACGTCCACACTCAACTCACAGGACCCAAAGGCAAGATGGAAGTTAAAACATTTAAAATCTATTGTCTATAGAAAAACAGTATGTTAAATTAGACCCAGTATGGGGCCACTACTTTGGCAAATATCTAACTTTGCCATAAGTCTGCAGTCTCAGATTCCATGCTCTGAGAAAAGTGTGTATGAATTTATTCTCCATGAGTGTTAAATGCATAGTGCCCAAATTAACTTCTTGCTAAGAGATTTCTCCCAGTAGATTTTAGGATCACAGATAATGGATTCTGAAAAAGGGACGGAGATTTATTGGCATCCTGGGGAAACTGAAACCAGATTTTCTTTGTTGATCTGCACCACTGTCAAACCTACTGAGTCTCTGCTGTAGTCTGTCAACACTTAGTACTGGCAGTACTTAGGACATAATCCTGGGATAACTGCCTTGAGTGGGGACGGGGAGGGTGGAGGGTCAGTGGGGGATCAGTGCTCTCATAATCTTGCGTTTATGTACTTGAAATCATGCAGTCATGACAATTTGCCACAAAACTAATACAATTCTTGAGAGCTGACCTTAAAGTAACTACACACTTAATGATGAGAATCAGCCCAGGCTACTGTTGCTGAAAGAACACTGAGAACCCCTCTGAAATGTGACTGGGCAAAACAAGTTGGGATGGAATAATTTTGAACTTCAGCTTTTTTGAATTTTAAATTACAAGAGAAAGTTAATTTGCTTTCGGATCATACTTCCCTTGGACTTCATACTTCCCTTGGACTTTAACACACTTTACCTTTAATTTAAAAGAAGATTTAATTTTTAGACTTGATTTTATCTCTGGGAGTTAGATACGTGGAGGAGGTTTACATCCAAATTTAGGACATTTCTATTTTGACATCTTTTTTAACTTGAATGTATTAATGTTGAAATTTAATCTCATTAAATCTCTTGTGGGCTCTACTGGACAACATGGCTAGACATAATTTGAAATGGGAAGTGAATAGTGAATACATATTTAGCCTTGAGTTAAGAATAGCTTGGGACTGGTTTAATTAATGTCTTATGCTTTCCAAGGCATTGCCTACTGGGTTCCTGAAGAATATTCCATTGGGGCAGTGGTTGGTATTGGTTGTATAGCATCACAAAGGGTTTGTGGTGTGGGGAGAGGAAGCTGACCTACTGGAAACTACTGATATCCTTCACTGATGGGAGACAGATGGATCTCTCGTTGACTAAAAGCTTAATGGTTAAGCCCAATGGGCTATTAGAAGAAAAATTGGAGGAACGGCTTTTGGGGAATTTTTATTGCCTTATTTTTTTTCCCTCAGTGTGAAAAGGGTCCTATTAGTGCAGCACTTCAACCTCTATCACCTTATGCATTTTCCCCCTGAGTGGAAGGGAATAATGGCATGTCTGGTGATGCTGGAAAGAAAAAAATAGGCTTGCATACCTGAGGCCCTCATCCTTCTTTGGGAAACTAGGTGGCTGCAGGGAGTAAGGTTCTCTTCTACTACTCTGACTCAGGAAGTCTACAACTGTTAAGTGTGCCAGTCTTCTGTTTGTCCCTTTAGAAAACTATTTACCCTTCTTAACCCTGGTTTCTGCTTCAGGAGGCTAAGTGTTGGGGTCCATAACAGGCAACCTTTATCACTGACTTCCAGTTGGGTTCAGTGAAAGGGAGGCCTTGAGAGGAGATCAGAAAGGAGAGTGAGGTCAAGGTATTTATTCCTTTAGGTCTCTCCTCGTTAGGTTGCCATGAACTGCATGTATCCCTTGAGTGAGGCTTTGCTCAAGGTAGTTCCTTCAGTAGGCAACTCTCTCCTGGATTTTGGTTACTGCCTACTCTCCTCCCTCTTCAGTCCTAGGGGCAATACAGCTTCATTCTTTCTTGTTCCTAACTATTGTCTTTTATCCCTTGTTGGTTTATCCACATTCAGACCACATCTTTTGAAAACCCCTTTGGTGGATCTTGACGGGTAAAGCAATTTATTCTAATTCTGAGACTCAGTACTAGAAAGTCTACTTGGCTGTATATTAGGCTATGTACTCCAGCCTAAATTTTGCAAGTAACAAAGGAGAGATTTTGACCTCGTTATGTTGACTTTTGTCTTATTTTTGAGTTAGTACAGATGGGAAGAAGGGGCCTAAAAAGCCCAAGTCAAGAAAAAAAGAAAGTATATGGAATGCCTTTTGTTTTTATGTATATTTTAAACTACGTTAGTTTGCTCTTAGTTTTGTGTCCCCCTTTTTAAGGGGTATGTGTATGCATGCTATGGTTTGGATATGGTTTGTCCCTACCCAAGCTCATGTTGAAATTTTATCCTTGGTGTGGTAGTATTGGGAGATGTGGCCTCATGGGAGGTGCTTGGGTTATGGGGACAGATTCCCTCATGAGTGTCTTGGTGCTGTTCTTGGTGGTGAATGAGTTCTCACTCTTCCAAGTCTGGAGTAGTCCTCATGAGAGTGAGTTGTCATAAAGCTAGGATGCCCCTCAGGTTTCCCCCTCTTTCATGTGTTCACTTCCCCTTTGACTTACTGAACTATGTTGTGATGCAGCAAGAAAGCCCTCACTAGAAGCCAGGGCCATATCATTGTATTTCTCAGCCTGTGGAACCACAGGCGAAATACATCTTTTTTAAAAAATAAGTTGCCCAGTTTCAGGTATTCCTTTACAGCAACAAAAAATGGACAAAGACAATGTGTGTCTGAATTTTGTAGGTGTGTACGGTATGTGAGTGTGTTTAGTAGGGTAGAGGTGAGTGTGAAAGGAATCAGCATATGGGCCATGTTTTAATTTGAAACCTGCTTTTGATGCTGGTAAGAATCCTTCCCCATCTATCATAATTACATTTTCTAATTTTTTTTAAAGGATGTGATGGTGACACACTACTAAACCCATTTTAATCAGAATCCCTGTTGTATGCCACGGTAGGGAAGTTTCACAACCTTTAGCCAGAGATACCTCTACAGTAGGCAGACAATCTCTGCTTAGAATACATCTAATGAAGAAAACTTTTACTATCACCAGAGGGGAAAATGTTTCCATCTAATTTTTATCCAAAATATTTAAGTAATTCATTTAATTTTCAAAATATTGTCTTTATTTCCCATGAACAACTTACTAAACATTTGTTCATTTCAATTAAAAAATTATCAATTGTCTTTTTATTTATTACATACAAATACAATCTAATATAATCTACTTACTAATGGTAAATTCATGATTAACACAGAGATCAAACATGATACTGATAACAAACTAGCTTTTAAGAATGAAGAAAAAATAAATCCATAATTTACCTTTGGGGTGGGCTTTATATTTATTCAAGGGCTGTTAACTTTATTTTCTGAGAAAACTGGGTCTAAGTCCATTTTGTGTTGTTGTAAAAGAATACGTGAAACTGGGTAAATGAACTTTGTTCTGGGTCCTCAGGTCTAAGACTATAAATGCACCTGGGCCAGGCCACATTAGTCAGGAGAGGCTGAAAGTGATAGAGGAACAATGCTGGTGCCTGGATGTAAGATAATGCATCACACTCTGTAATCATGGTTTCTATTGTATAACCCTAAGAATAAACTATACCTGGCTGAGATCAGGTGCTCTCTAGATTAGAAGGCACAAGTTCTTTAGCCTTATGAATATGAGATTGGGTTTAGGGGGAACAGCCGTCCCTCCTGAATGCATTGTGTGACTCACTCACTCAGATGTTGTCATCTGCAACTGGGCACGTCGATCCTGATGAGAATCTTAGGACAATGGAAGGTTGTGCTTCTACTTCCTTTTGTATCTTTTAGATGAGTACATTTTTATATATTCAAGTACTGGTCTTGTCTAGTCTTTCTGTTAGCATCAGTCCACCATTAACATTTGGCAATGTAAGTGTCACAAGCTTTTCTTTATTTTATAATATTAGGTAATAAGTCTCTAAATGATACTTAGAAAATTTTTGAGTTTTATTATATGTTTTATAATGTAATACACATATCTAATATCATATATTTTTATATTGTAAATTAGAATCATTTCATACAAAGCCCTTAGATTTTAATTCTCTAATTCTCTGGAATTCTATTTGCCATTTTAAGTTTCTGAAACTCACCCAATACTTCATGATACTGGAGGCTCACTAACCTTCCCTCATGGCCAAATCCTGACTGCAAGGCTCATTTTTAAATTGATTCCAAGCAGGATGAATATTTCCTAAACTTTAGTCCAAGATAAAAAAATTTTGAAAACCATTATTGTTAAGGGCATTTCTCATAATTCTTTCCTTTACATTTGTTTTTGTCTACATATGACTTTTAGCTTCATTACTAGAAGGATTTCATTTTAACAAATACAATTATTCTTGTAACCAAATAAGTTAATAACTAAAATCATGGCACAAATTATAGCAACACTTAAACTTAATTACCTCAAGTAAATAATAACTTAGTTACTTGGGAAATGTGGATAATCCCAGAAATTATAAAATCTATACATTTTGACCTGCTTTGTACCCAGCTGAAGTATTTCTCCAGGCTACACTCACATTAATCTTTTAAAAATGTACCAGGTTAGGTTTATGTTATTAATACGTCTTTTAGTTGATGCAGCTGATTCTGATTCATGAATATGTCATATTAAAGATGGTTGCAAATTTTTTGACACACTGGGCAATAAGAGCCCTCTTTAATTTGCCACATCTGTAGATTTGTTTTGTGTTTTCTCTTTGTTTTGGGTCCCTGTTGATTTCCTTTACTTTTTTGAAAGCTCAGTTATGCAATTAAAAGGATATTTAGGATTTTCAGCTTCTGCTTAGCATGTAGTAAGCTGAACAGAGCATTGCTCCCATATTCACAACAAAAGAAATTATTGAATATTCTGCAAAACCAAAACCTTTTTTGAATTTGTCAGTGAGCTGAGGTCACAGGGAAAAAAATCATTCCTGAAATCTGAAGGAAAACACCTTCCTTCAAGGAGAGAAAATACATAAGCACTTGCTTATCTGGGGCAGATTCCTGACACTCAAAATCATACAAACTTTTTAGAATGCAACAGAATTTCTTTAAGTTTTCATTTGAACTAATTTTATTCTTACAGAAAAGTTGAAAAAAATCATACAAATAGTTCCCTTTTGCCCTTCACCCCTCTATCTATAATATTAACAGTATATATAACCATTGTACTATTATCAAGAGCAGAAAAATAACAATGGCATGATATTATTGACTAAACTATAGACCTTATTCAAATTTCACCAAGTTTTCCATTAATATCTGTTTTCTCTTACTGGATCCTATCCAGTGTTGCATATTGAATTTTGTTGTTATTTCTTTTTATTCTCCCCCATTTTTAATAACTCTCAGTGTCTCTTAGTTTTTCATGACCTTAACATAGTTGTAGAATATCCCTCAATTTGGAGTTTTCTCATGATTGGAAAGAGGTTATGCATTTGTGGGAAGAATGTCACAAAAATGCTGTGTATTTGTAATTATATTGTATCAAGGGGTTCATTATGTCAATATGTCTCATTAGGTGATGTTTATCTTGGGTCTTGTGTGTCACTATTATAATTGTGGTGTTTGTTTAATGGTGATGCTCTATTTTATTCTTCTTTCTATATTAATTAACTTGACCTGTACTTTAAGAGCTATCTCTTCCTATTTATTTTTCATTCATATTCATAGATGTTTATTTTAATCTATAGATGAATATTTTAATACAGATAAAAACAAGTAGTTGTTATTTACAGATGAATACTTTATAGATTAAAATCCAATACTACCATTATTATTTGCCATTGCTGTTGTTGCTCAGATAGTTCCCACTTTGGTTATCAGGAAGTCCTTTAGATTGGTTCTTTGTTTTTGAGCACTTCCTTGCTTTTTTGTATAGTGAGGATGTTCGGATGTTTGAGGCTCATTTTTTATTTTCCGTGCCCCATCTCTGGAATCAACAACTTCTCTGAGGAGCCCTGCTTCCTCTCTCTTTTTTGGAAAATGATACTTAACTATCAAGATCTGGGTTTTAGGTGTGCTCATAGAATCTGGGTCATTGCTTCTAGGCCTGAGCAGAGAGGACTAATAAATATGTGTATTTATACAAATCTACAGATACACACATCTGTATTTCCTGTTAATTGGTACCTATGTTAAAAGCCATGAGTTTATACCGCTACCTCAGATTCTATCCCAACACCACAGGGTTTAAGGCCCTCTTCTCCCAGGGCTTAAGATTTATAACATCTTTCTCCCACACTGAAAACTTGGCTCTCATTATCTGTAATATATTTACTTATTTGTTCTATTATGGTAGTTTTGAAATTGCTAACCTATATCCCTGTGGGAAGCACTTTTACAATTAGGTTACAGCTTTTATACACAGCTGCTCTTGTCTTTAGCTGTATGATATTCAGTCAAGATACTGTTTTCCACAAGTACTTACAGTAATTTTCTTCTTCCACTCCTCCACTCTTGAGTGTGGAGATTGTTCCACAACCTAAAATAGTCAGGCTTGTTAGATAGTAAAGTAAAGATAGCTTTACTTCATTTATTTTTGGCTCATTCTTTTCTATTTGGCCTAATTGACTTATTTGGCCTAATTGACCTATTTGGCCTAATTGACCTATTTTCAAATATTTACAAAACTCCTAATGAATGCCTAATGTTAGTGTTTGAATCCCACTTTGGATTGCCTTTATAAACTTAGTGTCTACTTTTTTGTATGTGAAGAGTATGTGAAATATCACTATGATTTCTAAGAGTCTATATACATAAGATATACTCAAGGAGTGTTAGTCCTTCTTCTTTCTTGCCACTCTCTTCCCATCTCCCCCTTTTCTCCACTCTTTCCCACCTGCTGCATGTAGGTTACCAATCTCCTTGATTTCTGTTTTCTGTTTTCTGTTTCCTATGTTTCTTTTGCCAAAATCTTTTGCACATGAGCAGATACATGTGTATTTTTTTTTTTTTTTTGGCTTGAAAGATGGCAAACTATGGATACTCATGGAGGCTGGGACTTTTTCACTTAACAAGATGTCTGGAAATCACTGTATTTCAGTTCATAGAGATCTTCATCATTTAAAAATATATAGCCAAATAATAATCCTTTGCGTGGCTGTACATAGTTAATTCAAACACTCTCTTATGGGTGGGCCAGTAAGTTGTTTCCAGTATTTTTTACAATATAAACAATGCTACTATAGCTTTGTGTATATGTATTTTCATATGTTCTGAAGGTATGTCTACAGGATCTATTCTGATAAGTGGGATGCTGGGCCAAAAATAAATAAATATATAATGTTATTATTAGATATTGCCAAGTTACCATCCAGAAGGGCTGTACTCATTTGCTTGCCCATTAGCAATATATGTTAGTGTCTGTTTCCCACAGCTTCACCAGCAGAAAGTATTTTCATAGTTTTGAAATGTTTGCCAATGTGATTGATTAGAATGGCATATCATATGTTGCTTTAATTTGTATTTCTTTAATTATGAGTGAATTTGGATATTTTTATATATTTGAGAGCAACTTTTGTCTCTTTTTAAAAATGGTCTGTTCATGTCTTTTTTCCCCCATTTTTCTATCAGATTTTTGTGGGGTTTTTTTTGTCCCTCAATTTATAAAATTCTTCATATATAAGTGACATTGGCACTTCTTCTGTGGTACATGTTTCAAACATTTTCCCCTAGTTTGCCAGTTTACGTATGGTGCTTTTTAGTGATGTAAATTAAAAAAAATAAGTTGGCTGTATAGGATAATTTCTAAGAGTCCATATACATAAGATATACTCAGGGAGTGTTACTCCCTCTTCTTTCCTGCTACTCTGTTCCCATCGCCCCCTTCTTGCCACTCTTTCTTACCTGCTACATGTAGATTACCAATCTCTTTAGTTTTTGGTTTCTCTTTCCTGTATTTCTTTTGCCCAAATCTTTTGTACATGAGCAATGATTTTTTTACATGCAATATCGTGTTTACATAGACAACTATATTGATCTATTCTTTTATTGACTCAAATTTGAGTTATAGTTAGAAAGCTTTTCCCCACACACAGTTTAAACAAAAATTTACCTGTATTTTCTTCTAGAAATTACATGGTTTCCATTTTTACATTTAGATTACTAATCTATTTGGAGCATATTCTGTGTATGGTATGAGCTATGGATCTGATTTTTCCAAATGGCTACTCAGTTTTCTTAATACCATTTATTAAACATTTCATCTTTACCTTCAGCAATTTGTGATATTGCCTGTATCCTACGTTACATTTATATACAAATGTAAGTCTAATTTGGAATTAATTCTATTCCATTGATCAATTTGTCTATTCACATGTCAGTACAACATTGTTTTAATTATAGGGCCTTAATAGGCTAATAAATACTAATCTTTGTATTTTATTAATACTAAGATTTATTAATAAATACTAATAAACCCTTTTCTGATGTTTTTATGGCCACTCTTCCTTATTTATTTTCACATATAAAATTTAGATTCAACTTCTCTAATTCAATAAAATAATGTGTCTTTGTTGTCACTGGGATTCCATTGACTTTATAGACTTAGACATCTGACATCTTTATAATATTGAGATGTCCTATCCAAGAACAGGGTATGTCTTTCAATTTGTTTAAGTTATTCTTATCTTTCAAGAGGGTTCTTACATTTTCTTCAAACAGATTTTGCGTATTTCTTGTCAACTTTATTGCTAGAAATATAATCTTCTGTGTTTCCCTTATAAATGAAGTTTACTTTATCAAAATGGTTGTTTGTGTACGTGAAAGCTATTTCATATGTAAATTTTTTAATCCTAATACTTCACTGCATTCTTTTAATGCTTAAATTAATTTATTATTCTTTGGGACATTCTAGGTATATTATCATGTCATCCTTTGATAAAGATAGCTTTACTTCATTTATTTTTGGCTCATTCTTTTCTATTGACCTATTTGGCCTAATTGACCTATTTTCAAATATTTATAAAACTCCTAATGAAAGCCTAATGTTAGCCAATGCTTATGGCATTTTAATTCTACTGGTGTGAAAGCAAATTAATACACATTTTGGAAGACATGATATTGGAAAAGTAAGTTCATTTTAAAAAATAATAGCAAGTATTTGGAAATAAATGTCTAGTAGATGAAGAATGGTCAAATAAATTATGGTCTATGCAAACAAAGCAATACCATGAAATCATTCTAACTAAATTATTGCTTAAAATAACATTTCCTAGAAGACGTTCTGACAAACAGTACTCCAAGAGAAACATTTCAGGTAGAGAGTGGAGGGTCATGATGATTGATTAATTTTATGTGTGTGTCAGTATGACTAGGTTATGAGATACCCAGATAACCTGTAAAAAATGATTTCTGAGTATGTCTATGAGTGTGTTACCAGAAGAGATTAACATTTGAATCAGTGGACTGAGTAAAGAAGATCCGCCCTGACCAATGTGGGTGAGCATCATCCAATATGTTGAGGGTTCTAATAGAACAAAAAAGCAGAGGAAGGGACAATTCTTGATCTCTTTTTAAGCTGGGACATTCATCTTCTCCTGCCTTGGACATTGGAGCTCTTGGTCTTCAGGACTTTTAATTCTAGGTCTTACATCAGATTTCCCTCAACCTTCCATTCCAACTGGTTCTTAGGTCCTCAAAATATCACTGAATTGTACTGCAGGCTTTCCTAGTTCTACAGCTTGCAGACAGCAGATCATAGGACTTCTTGGCTTCTGTAATCATGTGAGCCAATTCCCATATGAAATATCTCTTTCTCTTCTTTGTCTCTCTCTCTCTCCAAATATATATGTGTGTGTGTGTGTGTGTGTGTGCATGTGATCATGTATATATCATACATACGTGTGTGTGTGTGTGTATCATATTGGTTCTGTTTCTCTGGAGAACCCTGACTAATACAAAAGGGCCATGACCAACATATCTGGGAAACAAATCTATCATTTGGAGAATCAATGCAGATTAGCTTTGAAAAGCTGAGATGTACTGCAATAAATAAGTATGGTTAACTCCATCTAACCTGATTTCTCCCAAATGCATTCTACTACAGAATGTTTGGTTTTCAAATAACACATTGTCACATAATTTTTGTTTTGCAAGTATCATACTTTATGAAAATGAAAAACTGCCTTAATAAAAATTTGATGACATGGGAAAATATGCATGCTATTCGTTAAGTTGAAAGGCAGACTACTAAAAAAAAAACCAATATTGTTCTATTGTTCTACTACTTGAAAACATGCTTATATATGGACATGTGGAAGTATGTACATCAAAATGTTAGCTAAATATTTACTGAGCAGTGGGCACCTATCAAATTTTAATTTTTGTATTATTTTAAAATTGATGATATGTACTATGTTTTTCTAACAAAAACGTATTTTTCTGATAGCATAAAATTGTTTAAACACTAAATATTTTAATGAAAACATTAAATATTCAATGAACATTAAATTATAATTTTCAGGATTGTTTAAAATTTGTAAAGTGAGCATATATGTATTTTTCAAGGGGGGAGGGAAAGGATTAGTTGTTAGAGAAGGCATTACATAATTTTGACACTGTCTGAAGATGAAAGGAAATTATTTTTAAAAACTTAAAATATAGAAACTTGTTATTCAAATGAGCAGGTATATTCTAATTGTAATTAATTAAACCATGTGACTTAAAAAATCCTGAAAGCAGATGACATTATCTTATTGAAAATGTAAGTCTTTATCTTTTTATTAACTCATTTTCTGTTAAGTTTTTGGCATTTTAAAAATTGTACTTTGGCACAAGGAAATCCAGATTTTCTTTGTTGACTGTAGCATTAAGAATGAGACATATGAAGCCAATTTGAATAAAGATTTGTTGAAAGCTTAATTCCTTCTTTGCAAAAATAGCAACAATATCATGAAAATAATGTGCAAACAGAAACAGAATCCCTGAGGCTTCTACTAAGAAAAACACAGAGAACCAGTATTTTTACCAGCAATTCAGGTCACAAGAAAGTTCTGTATGTTATAGTTCAGGGACATTTGCATAAATCTCTCATCTCAGACTATTTGCACTTTGTAGTGGTAAAAAATTACTTATCCTAAGACCTCTTTTTGTACAGAAAAACATTTTTTTCAATTCTTTTCCATTGTTTTCAATTTAAATATGGTGCCTGTTTAAACAGTAACTTTCTGCATATGAAACAAGAGATTTTGTTAAAACTCTGGTACTACTACAATATTTCTTAGAGACATAGAAAATGATCATCATGATGATGATGTAATACTATGGATGAAACTGAGGTCTTCCATGTGCCAAAAACTCTTTTAAGGACTTCACATGCATTAATTTATTGAATCTTTATAAAATCCATATGAGAGAGGAGCTATTATTACCTGAGCTTTACTGAGAGGAAAATTGGGATGTATAGGGAAAATGAACTTGCTCAAGGTCACATAGCTAGGAAGTGGCAGGGCCCAAACCTAAACTCCTAACTGAGTCTCTTACGATAAAGAGAAAGTGGTGTAATGACCTACCTACCTGAATATTGTGAAACTATAGAACTGCTTTTAATAGAAAAGGGAGTTTTTCATTTGAAATTTTAAAATAAGAGAAATAGAAATAAATGAAGTATAAGTAAATTTATACTCAAGTGTTTTTCTTTGTCCAGGGCATGCTGTAGTTAATATACTATTTGAAATGTGTCAAAAACATATGCACACACATATATTAAAAAAAAAACATTATGCGACTAGGGCTCAAAAAATAGATGGCTCTTCAATTTGTTAGGTATGTTTGGATTTACTTACATACAACAAGAAAAATAGCAAGGCAAAACAGTATTTTCTAAGTCTCATAGAGATGTGCTATCTGATAAAGACGATGCCAGGAAAGGTTTAGAGGTTTTGAAGAAAGTGCAGGATTTGACCTTACGTTGGACCACTTAGAGGAGGGAACATTCAAGGGGAAGAGAGTAAGTCCATAAACAGTGGCATGACGACGTTTTGGTTGTTGGGGTCTGCAAGGAATTGTAAACATCAGACAAATATGGCTGCTTTGGAGAGTTGTCAGAGTCAGCTTGTGCAGTAGCTTAGTGAAGGCATTAAGTGCCTTGCACAGAGAGCTGGTGTGTGTCCTAGGTATAGAGCAAAATTTAGTTGATACCTTTGTATCTATCTACCACAGCACAGTAAATCATAAGATGTCATCAAGCCCTAACCAGTTATCTTGCTTCTCTCTTAAACTTGGAATCTCCGTTTTTCTTTATCCTGTCAAGGTCATCCTGTTTCAAAGTTGGTGGATACTTTCTTCATGATGTCTCTCAGATCTTCCTTTCTAATTACCTTATTTTTCTAGTATGGTTCTCCATGATCTCACAACCCTGTAAATGGTACAGACCTCTTATTGTGTCAACTTCTATTCTTTAGGGCTTTTAAAGTGAGTTAGTTTAAATGAACAAGGAGAGTTTTTGGCATATGTAGGTAACCTGGTTAAAAAAAGGAGTAAACCTCATCTGGGAGACAAGTGAATCCAAGGACTGGCAAGCTGTCAGATCTCTCTTCCCATCTCTTGATTCCTGTCTATGTTAGCTTCATTCTTATCTTCTGCATACAAGCTAACTTTGTGTGGTAAGGAGCATGGTCTCAGCCTACTTCATATTCATATTTCTGCAGTGTAGTTATCTAAGAGGAAATAAACTCTTTCTTGTCAGTTGTGTTCAGAAAGTAACTTAAGTGCTACAATTGGTTCTGCTTTGATTAAGAGATTGTCGCCAGAGAAATCACTATAGTCAAGGAGATAGGGTACTGGAACTGGGGCTTCCATCAGAACCACTTAGTGGGTGTAGAGTAGTAGAAAATTATCCGGCCTAGAGAAATATGTTTCTGAGAAGATAAAAAAATAAATGCCCACTGCCCTCTCTAATCTCTGAGTAACAGTCTTTAAATATATTTTCAGCATAATACTTTCACATTCAAATTGAACTATCTTTTCTAGCATTAAACTTTTTTTCCAATGGTTGTTATACGATGACTTCTCTCATCATTGTCAATATGTTGATCCCATTTGTTGTGGGTTTAAAACTAGGCTCTCCAATTTACTAGTTAGGTGATCTTAAGCAATTTATCGTCTCTAACCTTGAATTTTCATCCCTAAAGTCGGGATACTAATGTGCTAACTTTATGAGTTAATTGTGAGGAGTAAATCAGCTCACAAAGTACATAGAAGGCACTTAACATTTCTTATTCCTTGGTATGAATAGAGTATGTGTAGGATGAAAGTTGCATGCTGTGTTAAAAAAAGCAGAAGACTAGGTGACACAACCTGTTATTGTCCTTCCCAAAGAGCATGGATAAGGCTAGGGAAAAAAAAAAAAAAGACAAGCTCCTTAATAAAATTTCTGGAAAACATTCATTTCATTCTATCTTCAAAATTCTGGGGATATATTTCCTCAGAAAGCTCCATACATAATGGGCTTTAGGCACTGAAAACATATCAGGGCCTTTGCCCAACAATGGAAAATTCACTACTTCAACCATTTTCTTTAGTATTCTTTAGCAACTCCTTGGTTTAATCACTGGATAATGTTGAAAGATTTGGTGAAAAACACTTGTTTGAAGGGTCTGTTTACTTGAAGTGAAACTAAGGGCCATGAAGGTGATCCAGCTAGCTTTCTCTTGTGTAGCCAAAGACAATTCTAGATCTTCCTGCTGTGTCTGATTTTTGATCAAAGATTGGGATTGGGGAGCAGTGAGTTCAGCGGCACTGAGTTTGGCACCGTATGTTAGGAATGGCGGGGGTCATAAAAAGAGAAAATGGGGATGAGGACATGGGAAGTTCTCAATTCTTGAAGTGGAATTAAAGAAATGTGAAATAACATTACGTGAGAAAATACTCAGGAAATACCAATATAACATACAAATTCCCATTACGCTGTTTCTGGGTAGGTGCTGAGTCAGAATTTCTAGGATAGAAGGAATATTGACGGAGGCAAGCAGTTTTGGTGAAATGATGGCCAACACGAATCTTGTTCAGACTCTTTGTCCTCTTCTATTTTCTCTGTGGAAATTCTCCCCAATGCCCGCCCCTCTCTCTACTCTCCCCTGTAAGCCTTGCCTCCCAGGGTTTGCCCCCTTACATTTTACTGTCAGATATTTCAGATATTTTTATATTTTCATGTAGTGATAGGTGTAATTCTAAGATGGTCCCCAAATTCCTGCCCCCTGGCATGCCCACCATGTATAATTTCATACTCTTGACTGGGGGTGGCACCATTAATATGATTAATGATGCTAATGGCATAGCAAAGTTTGTATAGTTACTCAAGTGATTACATTAAGTTATATAAGACTCCTTCTTAGCATCCTGGAGAAAGATTCTCCTGTTGGCTTTAAAGAATAAGCTTCCATGTTGTGAGAGGGGCATGTGACCAGGACTCAAAGGCAGCTTTTAGGAGTTAAAAGCCACTCCCATCCCCACAGCCAACAAGAAATGGGGATCTCGGTTCCTCCCTCAAAAGGAACTGAATCCTGCCAACAACCTGAATGAGCCAGAAAAAATATCCTAATCTCCAGATGAGAATGCACCCCATACAGCACCTTAATTTCAGCCTAAGGACCCCTGAACAGAGAATCAGCTATACTCTACCCAAGCCCTTGACACACAAAGACCATGAGATAAAACATTTCTATTTTTTTAAGTAAAGTTTGCAGTAATTTGCTATGCAGCTTTAGAAAACTTTAAATTCTAAAGAATTTTTAAAAAATCTAATTTAAATTAGAATTATGCCTTATCCTTAATTAATTTCTTCATACCTTTCAGTGCACATACTTTAGTACTTTGTACAAAGTAACCATACAATTAAAATTTGCTGATGGATTAATTTGTTGATTAGGATAATTATCCTAAAATTTTATTTCCAATGTCTATTTTCCCCCCACCAGAAAAGTCCTTAAAACTTTTTCTAAGTATTTAGTAAATATCATCTTTTTTTTTCCCCTGGAAAATTCCTCCACTTATTAACCTGTCAACATATTCGTGCTGACCCAAACCAAATAAGTAAGCAGTGTAGGTCAAAAGATACTTTGGAAAGGAAGATCATGCTATTTGGGGACAGTTTCAGTGGGTAGTTATAATCAGTCAAGTATTAAATTATGAAAAAATGTCATATGAAGTTTGGTATGAACACATTAGAACTTTAAATTTTTTCCTGATGTTTCCCAATTATGTTAATATACATTGAGAGTAATAAAAATGATAATAACAATAGCTAACTTTTATTAATCACCTCATATGTTCCTGGCAATTAAGAGTTTAATCTGTTAATATATTTAAGCTCTAAAAATATTTGTAACCTCAGTTACTATTACTGTCTTCATCTTATTGATAAGGAAACCAAGGCAAAAAGGTTAAATAATTTGTCCAGGGTCAAATAGATAGCAACAACAGTAATAATAAACTTTTGCAGAGCACTTCAATGGTGCTTTACTTATTACGTTGGCGCAAAAGTAATTGCAGTTTTTGCCACTACTTTAAATGGCAATATATTAACTCATTTAATTTCTACGATTATTGTGTGAATTAAGTACTATTATTCCTTCATTTTAGAGATAAGAAAACAGAGGCTTGCAAATCATTTTAGAGCACTTTTCTTCTCTAAATGCTTCACTGTTATAAGCTAATAACAGTAAACTTATTTTAAAAATCAATTTTTTTTCAAAATTCCAAAATCAGTTCAATACTGCCAGATTAATCTTCCTTGCATACTAGCAGAGTCTTCTACAGGAAACATTCAATGACTGCCTGTTGCTAACTTACGAAATTCCAACAACTTATGATGGCCATTTAGGGTCTTCCATGCTCTCACTCCAATGTGTATTTCTAGTTAAATTTTCTACTATGCCTCAACATGCACCCTGGGTTCAGTCAAATCAGCATAAGTAATGTTCATTACACCCAGGCTTTCATGGCTCTGTGGTTTTCTGATTTAATTTTGGCCACCTGGAAGGCCCTCCTCCACCTCCACTTGTCAAAATAGCATTTCCTTCTATTTCATATCTCAACTTCTCCAGCAACAGTTTAATTCTATAACCAGACATGTTGCTTTCCTTTACTTTGCACATAAAGGAATTATTTAACATATTACAATTATATTTATATTACAGACTTTTCTTTCTTCCATATCTTCCCTAATGACTATATATTTCTTGAACGGGAAAAACAATGCTCATAGGAAAATAACGTATCTAATATTATTTGAGAGTTATATGAATTCATTCAGTATAAATTCTCTTCTAAGGGACTTTGAATTTATTTCTCTAATTGTTTGATAAAAGAATTACACAGAGATGTTGTTTTTTAGATTCTTTCCTCATATCCTGGAAAGTTCATGTCTCAATTTCCCTTAGTTTTCCATTTTTAAGGGCTATGATCTGATCTACATAATAATATAAAAAATGGAAATAAGTAAATTGAAGCTTTTTTAGTGGAATAAGGATATATTACATTATTGAGCATTACTAAGTGCCAGACAACAATCCTTGTCCTCATGGAGCTTAGATTCCAATAGGAAAAAATAAAAAATAAACATATATATATAGAAGTTCTATGATAGGTACTATAAAAACATAGATCAAAGTTAAACATTGGTTGTGGCAGAAGGTGAGATAAGGCATATGTGGTCATGGCAGGCCTCATTGGAAAGGTGATAAGTGAGTAGGAAGAGCTGCCCAAGAAAGTTTTTTCCTCCCTTGAGTGTGGATTATTGAGGGGAAGGATGCTGCCTCTCTATTGATGAAGAGAAAATCTTTTCTTACCTTTGGTTTTATTGAGTGTAATGACAAATGATTTGAAACTGTTTGACATTCCTAGTCACTCAAATAAATGTAGAATTTGAGTAACTGGATCTGACATACACTCTTTAAAGTGTTAAGTCAGAAGCATGATGCTATGGGCTGAATTATGTCTACCCCAAATTTATATATATGTATATGTATGTGTGTACGTGTGTGTATATAAAATATCTTATCTTTCCTGCCGATTTTTCTTCCCTGGTTGAACCCTAAATGACAACTTACAAAAAACAAATGAGACTTTTTTTCTAAGAGTGTACAAATTACCATTTGATTAGATAATTCAATCATATATCAGTAATCAATTTAGATCAATTTCAAAATAGTTAATTTGTTATGTATACACTCTAAGAATGAAAGATTCTATGAATATGTTATACATTTTCCCAAAAAGAATGAATTTCAAACCAAAAGAGTAGCATATGCCTTCCGGGAAAATAAACTGTTTCTGAAGTCAATAATTTATTCTTTGCTCATAGCAAGCGTACATCCTTCCCAACTTAAAATAATCAAAAATTTCAATCAAACTTACTTTCACCTTAGACCCTTTCCTCTTCTTCATTGGTCTCTCAGAATTATAGCTTACACCCATAGTTTCAATTTTTTCACTTTTCATTTACTCCTCAGTCATTAACATTTGGCTTCCATTCTTAAAACTCTACCAAAATAATCCTTGATGATTGCTTTGCCATTAAATGACTGTATTTAATGATCACTTTACGTGACCCCTCAGCATCACTCAATAATATTGTCCCCTTCTTCTTTCCGGGAAATCTTTCTTTCCATTTGCATCAATGACATCACAATCTGGTTTTCCTACTGTTTCCAGATTACTCTTTTTCTGACCCTTTTTCTTTTTTTTTTCATGTAATACCATTTTAATAAGCCATGTATGTTTATTATTTAATTACATGTTTGTTATGCACAAACTGCTCTTATACAGTTCTGTTAGCCAGTATAATAACGTTTTTAACTTTGTCGATAACAAACTTGTATTTGTAATGTAACATATGCTGTGCTCTAGTCTAAAAATTGGTGCTTAAACTGTTCACTAATTTAATTATGTAGGATGCAATATGTTCCAAAATCCAGTGCACTTAATTGTATTTAAATTTGGTTTTCATTTAAGATCCTCACATGCTAAGAAGTAGAGCAGCCTTGTAGAATTGATCCTTTCTCATTTGAAGCCAAGTCTGATCATCTCTTGACACCCAGGTTGGGCTGAATGCAGAGGATGGGTCTTAGTTTTTTTTTTTTTTTTTTATTCAAAGAGCATTGCATCTTTCCTAACTCAAGTAGTTTCTATCCTCATTTCAGACCTCCAGCTTGACTACTCATTAACAGATGAGTTCTGCAGAAACCACTTCTTGGTGGGACTGTTACTGAGGGAGGTGGGGACAGCCCTCCAGGAGTTCCATCTGATCGCCATCAGTGTGCTCAAGAACCTGCTGATAAAGCATTCTTTTGATGACAGATATGCTTCAAGGGTGAGTGGTCCCCAATGGAAGGAATGTGCATTAATAATGTCCTTTATTTTAAGTGGTGTAAAGAAAGTAATCAGTTAGAAAATTCATGGTAACAGCACTAAGATTTTGCTCTGTTTTGGGACTAAAATCAAATATCTGTCTTTATAGGAAGGATCCAAATAAAGGAGATGGTCAGCGCCAACTTAGTTCGGTTCTCAGAATCCTGGGCCAAACTTACCATGTATGTCTTCTTTTCAGAGTCATCAGGCAAGGATAGCCACCCTCCACCTGCCTCTGTTTGGTCTGCTGATTGAAAACGTCCCGCGGATCAATGTGAGGGATGTGTCACCTTTCCCTGTGAACGTGGGCATGGTACGTAAGCGTGGTCACGTCAACTCAGCCTATATCGGGTCCCAGGGAAGCCAGGAAAAGTGCCATAAGCTGGGTGGCTTAGAGCAGCAGCAATTTATTCTCTCCCAGTCAGGAGTCCAGAAGTCCAAAATCAAGGTGTTTCTGACCCTTTTTCTAGCTTATAAATCTCTGATTATACTTTAATGGACTATACATTTCTCTCATGATGAACACTCTAAAAAGGAAAAATTCTAGGAATACATTATGTATTTTCTAAAAAAGAATGAATTTCAAAAAAAGTAGCATACGCCTTCTGGGAAAAGAAACTGTTTCTGAAGTCAATAATTTATTCTTTGCTCATAGCAAGCTTACATCCTTCCAAACTTAAAACAATCAAAAACTTGGATCAAATTTACTTTCACCTTAGACCCTTTCCTTTTTCCTTTAGCTCCTCAAGTTTCAGCCATCTTTTTCCTTCCTTTTTAATATTCTCTTCTTAGGAACATATCACACATGCATGGCTTTCCTATCCAACCATATGCCAATGACTCTAAAATGTGTATCATCACCTAATGTTTGACCTTTTAATCCAACCATGTCTTTAATATCTTGACTCAGTTTTCTCAAAAACACCTCTAATGCAATGGGTCCAAAACGTATCTCATGATCTTCCCCCTAAATCTGCCCTCCTCCAGTATTCCTCAGTTTGGTAAGTAACATAATTATTCATTTGCATAAGTTAAAAATCTGAGAATATTCTTCATATTTACTTTTGCTTCACTTCCTTTTCCCCAGTTCCTCTATCATACTTACTACTATGTCCTACTAATTTTACCATGTAGAATCTGACTTCTTCTCTGTACATTATCCACTCCAATCTAATTTCTAGCCACCTTCATCTCAAAACTAGACTGCAAAAGCCCCCTAATGAATCTCCATGCAATCACTCTTGCTCTACACCCTCCAATTCATTTTTTTTACTGCATGCAAGTCTTTTCGAGCCCTAATTCTTATCTTGTTACTTCCATGCTTAAAAGCATTTAGTAGGTTTTTACTCACATAATTATTGTCATTTCCTGTGATTCCCTCTTAATTTATCTGTCCCAATAATAGTAATCTTTGTTCATTTTCACTACTGAGCCATCCCTTCTCCCACTCTGAGGACTGAACATGCTGTTCTTGGCAAACCACCTCCACTGGCATCCTCACTTACTTAACTTCCACTTATTATAGGTATTTGGATTTTGGCTCAAATGACTTTCCTCGGGGAAACGTTTTCTTATGTCCATAGTCAGATTCTCCTGTCATAACTTCTCAAGCATCCTACATTTTTGTTTAATAATACTTATATTGTGCTTCATGAGGAACTTGGGGGTGCCCATTTTATCGCTTATGTCCAGGTAGCAGAATAAGCCTGATGCGTAGTAGACGATCACAAAGTACTTGAGGAGCAAGTAAATAAATGATTGAAGCATCATTACAATATCATAGATAGTTTCTCCTGTATTAGTTTTGAAATGTGACAAGAATCTGAGGAGTCTGACCTTGAAGATTTCCATACTTATTCTTTCTTATTTACATATACTGTGCATTTTCAGTTTTGAAATCGCAGGCTGATTTTTAAAAACTATTAGAGCTGAGAATCCAGCCTGTGATGTGAACATCAAGCTGTGCGCTCTCTACCTAGCATCATCAATAAACCACAAATTCTGCAATTAAAAGTAAGCTTTGTAGGTGAAGCATGAGAATACCCAGCTTCTCTACCCACAAGCTTTATTGGCTGTATAGATCTACTGGGAGAAAAACATTCTTTGCATTATAAGTTACTGACACAAAAATGCATAGCAAGCAGAAAGAGAAAAAGTTATCTTTTAATAACTCATATCTACTGTTTACATAATTATCAAGCAAGATTTTTATTTATCTAAATTCTGAATTTTTTCTCTTGAATATTCGATGAAGGACAGTCAATAATAATTGCTAACTAACTTACCTTCTAAAATAGAATCTACATATATATGAACTCTTCAGAGTCGGAGTTTTAATGTAGTTGTGTCAGTAAGCAAAATATAAGGACTGGAAGTAACTTGCATATGCATAAGAGGAATCACACATTGAACCAATAAGATCCTAAATAAAAAAAAATTTAAATTTATTTTTAGAAATTTGGTTCAGGAGTACATGTGCAGGTTTGTTATAAGGATATACTATGTGGTGCTGAAATTTGGGCCTCTATTATTGATCCTGACACCCAAATAATGAACATAGTACTCAATAGGAAGTTATTCAGCCCTTTCTCACCTCCTTCCCTCCCTACCTTTGCAGTCCTCAGTGTCTATTGTTCACATATTTATTCCACTGTACCCAATATTTAACTCCTACTTATAAGTGAGAACATACAGTATTTGGTTTTCTGCTTCTGTTTTAATTTGCTTAGGATAATGACCTCCAGTGCACCCACATTGCTGCAAAAGACATGATTTTGTGCTTTTTTATGGCTGTGTAGTATTTCATGGCATATATGTACCATATTTTCTTTATTTAATATTCTGTTGATGGGCATCTAGGTTGATTCCATGTGTTTGCTATCGTGAATAGTGCTGCAGTGAACATGTGACTGGACATCTTTTTGGTAGAATAATTTGTTGTCTTTTGGATATTTGCCCAGTAATTGGATTTCTGAGCTTAACAGTAGTTCTAAGTTCTTTGAGGAATCTCCAAACTGCTTTCCACAATGGCCAAACTAATTTATGTCCCCATCAACAGTATATAAGTGTCTTCTTTCTCCACAACCTCGCCAAAATCTGTTATTTTTTTTCTTTTAACCATTCTGACTGATGTGAAATGTTATCTCATTGTGGTTTTGATTTGTATTTCTCTGATGATTAGTGATGTTGAGCATTTTCTCATATGGTTGTTGGCTGCTTCCATTATCTTCTTTAGAGAAGTGCTTGTGCATGTCCTTGGCTCATTTTTTAATGTTTCTTTTTCTTGTTCAACGGTTTAAATTTCTTATAGATTCTGGATATTAGACCTTGTCAGATGCATAGTTTACAAATATTTTCTCCCATTCTGTAGGCTGTTTACTCTGTTGATGGTTTTGTTTGCTGTGCAGAAACTCTTTAGTTTAATTAGGTCCCAATTGTCAGTTTTCATCTTTGTTGCAATTGCTCATGGGGACTTAATCATAAAAGTATTTCCTAGGTTTTCCTTTGTGTTTTTTTAGTCTGCAGTCTTACGTTTAAGTAAGTCTTTAATCCAACTTGAGTTAATTTTTGTACATACACAGTGAGAGGCAGGGGTCCAGTTTCATTCGTCTGTATATGGTTAGCCAGTTTTTACAATAAAAAAAAATTCTTGATCTTATTTTTGTTTTCCATGTTCCTAGAATTTCAGGCACCAACTGGTTAGGTCACAAGATACATAGATTTTTATTAAAGTCAATAGAATTATTTGAAGAGCTGGATGCATCTTCAGCAATTGCAGGTGTTGTAGCGATATAAAAGTTCAGTACTGTCAAAGTGCTGTGGAGCATCCCAGACCTGAGCTTTGATACTATTTTGATATCATTTTGATGCCAAGCACATAGAGATTAAGAATCTTGACTTTATCTTCTTCCCCTTGTCCTGTAAATCCTGTTTTCAATAAGACAGGGAAAAAAATAGGTCTCTAGTAGCCTGATAGCACTTTGCTTATTTCATATTTGAGTCTGATTTCTCAAACTCTTCAAACTGTTTTATAGCTCCTTTACAGTAGAATTCTAGCAGACAGCATTAATATTTTGTAGGACCAGGTCATCATATGCTACCAGTGAGATTTTTTTTTCTCTCCTTCTCTCTCTCATGTGTGTGTGTGTGTGTGTATGTGTGACAGAGCAGTCATATAACAGGGCTAAATATCCGGCATGAAAAGAGTCCAGCTGTAGGCCACACTTCATAGGGGGAAGTCCATAGACACGAGTCCTTTCATCTCTCTGGGATGCTGGGTTTTCTATCTGACAAGCACAAAACACTGCTACTGTTCTGCCATGCTGCAGGCTTCACTCTGTAAAAACAGGTGTAGACAGGTCATTAAGGCTACAAACTCCTTTCTGGGATTAAGCTTGGAGGAGGCAGGTAGGAAAGGTAGCTATTGAAGTCTAGAGTTAATTCATAGACATTTATGTAAAAATGCAATCAAATGATAAAGGTGGAATATACATTGATTCTAAAAGAGCTCCACTGGACGTCATTTCTGTGGAAAGTGCACTCATTTGGAGGAACCACCTCTGCCACAACCTCAGGAGTAATTACATAGCAATAAGTAGATGTTATCTCAGCAATTTCCACAGTTTTTCTAAGATTTTTAAAAAGCAGTTTGTAAAATGTCCTAGGGTAATTTCACAAATGACTACATTTATTGATGTTTACCTACAGTTATAATCAAGAATTAGGCTTTCATTTTTCTTTCTGAGTTAAATAATAAGGTTCCATGTAATACTGTGAACTTTCTCCCTCAGAGTTAAGAACTCATTATTTTGATTCCTTAGAATGAAGAATAATGTTCTGAAGATAATAGGCACTGCTGCACACTACCTGTTGAGAGAGAGAAAGAATAAGGCACTGGTATTAAGGAGGTACTTACTAACACTTTTTTGGAGGCAGTATTGGATCGGTCTTATTACATAATAAAAGATTTAACCTTGGTCAATAAAAATAAAACAAAAAACTTGTGGAACTAGCCAAACACTTACTTATATTGACTATGAAATTAAATGATCAGTTTGATTAAACACTTCATTTGTCATCATCTGTATTGGTATTGTGTTGAGACAGTTTAAATCAATTTAAATTTAAATTATGACCACTAGCTATTGGATTAAAACAAAATCACAGTACTTTTAAAGTTTACTAGACATTTGGAAATATGCTGTTCTCTAATGTCTAGTAATAAAAGTACATACAATATTACTTATCCCAAAATCCACAAATATTTTTCATGAAGACCAGGATGATATTTTTGATGTGTGTATTTCAGTGTTTATAAAGTATGTGCAGTTTGCGGTTCATACTTAGGGACACTAGCTGGTGGTTAGCCACAAAAATCAGAGTTCTGACCCACTGAGTTAGTGAGGACAGCAGATCAGAGCTAATTTTAGCATCCTGACTACATTGCAAAGAGAAACTTTATATTTCTCAGTTTATTCAGTGTATTAAAGTGTTCTTGTTCATTTTACACCACACTCTGCCCTTGTGGAATTGGGATATTAGCATGATTTCCTTAGGAATTTTGGAATCAGAACTACTCGAGAGTATCAAGGAACTAAGAAAAAGTTTGACAGCATAGAAACACTTCTGAAAAGAGGAAAAAGATAGGTTAGATGGGGGAGGGGGTTGAATTTCTCAATGAGTACCTGTCTTCTAGGATGCCCCCAGAAGTATGAGGTCACTTTATTTATTTGATCAAATGATCTCTGAGATTATATCTAGCTAAGCCATGAGATAAGCCTGGCATTAAGCAAGGCCCTGATTATTAAGCATATACCTAGACACACAAATCTACTTATTCAGAAATGGTCTGATTTAAGTGCCAGAGTGACAATTCAAACGCAAATTTTTCATATTACAAAGATCTTGCTCTGAACCATTGCATTGTAACATGGGATATATTTGGGAAACAAATATATGTAAGGATACACATGTTTTCTGGGCCATCTTTTAATTGTGAGACATTTTTATAGAAATATTAAAATTGTGGAAAAGGTAGAGTTGGGTTAAATTCTTGCCTTAACTTTCCTATGTAGCAGGACAATACTCAAGCTTTTACATGAAAAATAAAACATAAGTCTGATGAGCTGGAAAAGGATATCCATTCCTTCTTCTCATTACTGGTAGTAATGAGTATTTGACTATTTAACTTCCCAGGCAATAAGAAAAATATAGAGGAGAATATTTTCACATTTATTTCCATGCACCAGTCAAGATCTAGACAAATTCACAAATAAGAGATAACTGAACAGTGCTTTAGGAGATTTTTTTTTCAGAGAAAGATCAATAACAATTTAGAACGAGTAATGTACCCATAGAAACAGCATCAAATACAAATCAGTATTATGCACCCTGGCATTCTAGGTCTGTTTCTGATATTGATTTACATTTTGGAAATCACTTAATCTTTTAGTCCCTGTTCCAACATTTATGAAATGAGGAGTGATTCTCTGCATTGTAAATACCCTGGGTGCAGCAATGCACTTCTCCAACTACGGAGCAAAACAAATCTTTGTTTTACTTTGCTGATTCACCAGGGGCAGTAGCTATTGTACCTAGCAAGACAAAGAAAACTATAGCAGTGGAGCTACCACTTATAGAATCTCAGAGAGATTCTTCAACCACCTGGCGATCAGAACTTGGAATACTAGCATACTGAGAGCCATTAAAGAAGAAGGATTATCACACAATAGTCAAGAATAAAATGCCCAGATGAACAATACCTGCTTCCTCAAACTACTATGCAATTATGAAAACTATGTGACATAATTTTGGTGAATAAGCACAAGCTGAGGTCTTCAAGACAGGTTTTGGCTTTCTTGATTCAGAAGATTTCCATTTTCTCCCCATCTTGAATGTGGACATGATGTGTGGAGTGTAAGAGCCATGTTGCCACCATGGAGCAGAACGCTTATGAATAAAAACCAAAGGAAGGTAGAGGCTGGCGCTTATGAATAAAAACCAAAGGAAGGTAGAGGCTGGCCTGATCTTTGATGGTGTCACTGAGCCACCAAACCAGCATGGGACCACATCCCCCTGGACACTTTTGTATGAGGAATGAGGCAAATATATCATTATCTACACCATCATTAGTTAGGATTTCTGTTATGTGTAACTGAACTCTAACTTGTATGTATTAGGAGACACCTCTTCATAGTCTCTGTTGTTTCTGCACATCTTGCACGCAGAAGCATTGACTCCTTTGTTCTGGACTGTCTTTTCAAAGATGCTTGTACTATAGCAAGTAACTAGAAAATAAACATACTGTCTTCACTCCCAGAGCAAAGGGTGGTTTGCTTATGCCAAAGTATAATAAAGATAATGCTTCCTTCAGGTATGCTTATTGTCCATTGTAAAAAGTTCAGATTTTCTAAGCTTGGGGTTCCTCTCCTGTAACAAAACCCACTGTGTTTGTAGCTGTTACCTGGCCCTAGTTATATTATTCTGAAGGAATTGGAGTTAGAGGAACTGGTGAAAATGCTAATAACCATTACTACTATTGGTTTGAGTAAAAAGTACTTTGTCTCAGACCCAGGGGTCTCAAGTCTTCTGCCTGCATCCATGAAAGTGTGGCAGTATTACTTGTCAGTTTGTAGGTACGGTTAAACCTCAGACTCTGAACAGTCCTCAATAAATTGATTTTGAACAAAGTTGTCAAAATCAGTATACACACAAACTCCATTGATAAAGACTTCCACTCCCAACACATGAACTAAAATGCCAACTAAATGGCTATTATGTATTAGATTAAAGAAAACAAAGAAATTCTAGTTAACTTCATATTTGTAAAAGCTAGCAGTGAAACTATATGTACATATGATTTTAACTGGCCACACTTCCAGCAAGCAGAGTAGAACTGGAAAGTGTAAGACATGTTCATAAAGAAATTACCAACTACTTTAGAGTCAGTGAAAAGAACAATAGTATTAATTCTGCATAAAATTAGATCTACATTAACAAGTTTGAGATGCATCCACAATTCAGTGAATCAGAGAGAATAATATATATTCTAAAGACTAAATAGGTGGTATAAAAAACAAATAACTGATGTTCCAAGAGTGAACAGAAAGAGTATTCAAATACAATGATGATAATGTTGATGATGATAATAATAAAAATGCATTATTGAAATGGGAGAAGACCTGAATTTGAATATCAAAATAATCCATAAATTATAAGAAAAAAGAAAGGAAGAGCGGACAATTAGATATTACTTCAGGAAATTCCTGAGATTAAAAAATGCAAAACAGATGTTATAAGAATTGTGAAAGAGTCGCCGGGTGCAGTGGCATGCCTGTTAATCCCAGCACTTTGGGAGCCCAAGGCGGGCAGATCACGAGGTCAGGAGATCGAGACCATCCTGGCTAACACGGTGAAACCCCGGCTCTACTAAAAATACAAAAAATTAGCCGGGCGTAGCGGCACGCGCCTGTAGTCCCAGCTACTAGAGAGGCTGAGGCAGGAGAATCGCTTGAACCTGGGAGGTGGAGGTTGCATTGATCCAAGATCGCGCCACTGCACTCTAGCCTGGGAGACAGAGTGAGATTCCATCTCAAAAAAAAAAAAAAAAAAAGAATTGAGAAAGAAAAAAATATATTTTCACATTGGAGAAAAAAATCAGACCACATACTGTATGATTCTAATTATATGACATTTGGACAAAACAGAACTGTGGTGATTGATAGTAAAAAAAAAAAAGAAAGAAAAAAAACTGTCAGTGGTTGCCAGAGATTAGAGGGGAGGCAAGGATGAACAGGCAGATCACAGACAATTTTTAGGGCGGTGAACATATTCTGTATTTTACTAAAACAGTGAATACGTGTCATTAAACATTTGTCAAAACCCATAGAATGTTCAACACTAACAGTGTATCTTAATGCACACTGTGGATTTTGGGTGATAATGATGTGTCAACATAGGGTCATGGATTGTAAGGAATACTATTCTGGTGCAGGATGTTGATATTGGGAGAGGCTAGCATGGGTGAGGGTAGGAGATTTACATGGTAAATCTCTGTACTTGCCTCTCAGTTTTGCTGTGGACCTATGACCTAAAAAAATCATCTTTTCCAAGAGTTAGACTGTTCTTAGCTATCTGTTTCACAATATTGAATGCCAGAATACCACAGAGCAAAAGTAATTAAAACTCAATTGCACAAGAATAGAGATCAGTTAATAAATTATATCAACTTCATAAAAACACTTTATGACTTTTAAGCAATGATCTAACACTAGTATACTAATGTGGACAATTTTAGAAAATGTCCGTGAATTTAAACTAAAAGAAAAAGTGCAGACTGTGTATTTCTCCCTGTGCTTCATTCTGTACATTTTCTTCAGGTCTGTCTTCATTTTTTTTGTCTATCTTCTTTTCATTCTTCCTGCAGCAGTACCTGTACCAGTGTTTATCCTATCTATTTTAATTCTAATTTCAATAATCAAATTTTTTATTCTTAATATTTTCATGTGGATTATTCAAATATTATATATCCTGACTCCTTTTTTATTCGCTGATTTTATTTGTAAACAGACTAGCATGGACCTAAAATGGTAGATATAAACAAACATAATCTACAAAATTAAAACATAAGAACTATGAAACTTAGAATTAAAGTAATTTAATAATAAAATATTAATGCTATACTTTTAGTCATTGTTAAAACCAGAAATAACCTTTAATGTCACTTTTTCCACTTTAATTTTACTAAGACCTTTGAGATCAAATTTTTTGGCCAATGTCACATAGCTAATTAGTGCCAGAGGTGATATTAGAACCCTGTTCTTTTGATTTCCAGCTTAGTTTAAGTTCCTTCATAACAAGTCCCAAGGCTATAATTCCAGTAGAAGTGTAATTATTTAAGAAGCTCAATGTAACTATGAAATAAATACAATAGTACAATATCAAAAATCAGAGTGTTTCAGCATTATAAAAATTTGACCTATTTAAACCAAGTAGTCTAGAAAAACTAAATAGTAATTAAGAATCTGTTATTTATTTCCTTTACAGCACTTCTGGAAAAATTTAGAAGGTGTTTTATTTTCAAAGTTGACTAGAGATGTCTAAATTCATAACTTTAAATTTTTCCCCTCAATCATAAAAACTAAAGTTTATTTCACTGATATATTTTTAAAAGCCATTGAAACTAGTGCCTCATCTAGCAAATAGCAAGTATTCAATAAACATTGGATGAATGAATTATTTCTTAAGGAAAAGACTTGGACAAACTCATAGGCTATTATTCATGTCTTGCCATTAATTAAATAAATGGACATGACAGGAATACACTCTTATCCTGTTTTTATATCTGTGAAATGACATCTTTGGTCAAGGTCACTGATAGTAAATAGGTTTTCATGTGTTCAATAATTCTGATTGAGAATAGTTTCATGGCACTAACTTTATAATAATTTTGATGCTGCGTTCAGGCTCAGCTAGGAAAAAGCATCATTTTTAGTTAATGACGTTTGTCTTGTACAGAGGATAAGAAGAGGTCACATATGGACCACATATTTTCCCATACATTTGGGAATGTGTAAAAGACATTTCTATTCACCTGTGGGCTAGTTGTTCCATTTCGAAAGTATAGCTTAAAATCCTATAGTTTTGATTATTGATAACTTTGGGGGGTCCTCTTGTTCTTATTTTCTCTGGTTCATACTTTCCAATGCAATGCCCTGAATATGCCATCTCACCAAAGTGCCCAAATCAATAATAAACAATAGCTGTCACATCTCTTAAGGGGAAGCTTAGGAAAACACACACGCAAGAAAAAACAGCCTAAGGGGTATGTGGAAGGAAATAGGCAGTTGGGATACTTTCTTTATTTCGTTCATGGATTTTCAAAATTTTCCACCCCACACCCTGATAAAAACAAAAAAATAATTAAAAGCCTGAAGACCAAATCTCAGTGTTTGCTACAGATTCCTCAGCTATGCAGAGAAATAGCATCTGATTATTTTCAAGTTAGATATATTCAAGCTCAGTAGCTATTTTATTATAAGTTAACTACCATGCATATGACTTCATAAACCAGTTTTTTCTACCTTTTTTTTTCAATAAAGCTCAATAAGAAATAAATAGGAAGTTTGAAAGCTAATTCCTCATAGTATCTTAGAGTTGATGGAAATCTAAAAAACATTGTTTAATCAATGCCCCATCCTCATCCCCATGAGGGAAGACACAATGTTATTTTCCTAACTGCTATAATTTTCAGTGCCTAGCCCAGTGCGCACTCATTAGGTGCTCAGAGGAAGAACAAATATGACTGTTACTTGAATGAATGGACCATCAGGCCTTTCAGTCATCTGTCATTATACTTTATCTATGAAGAACACACTTGGGTTGGAAAGGAAGAGGAGAGGGTGCTGTGGCTCCTGCTGAAATACTCAGCTACTGTATGGATTAAAAGCCAATTCCTCCTTCAAAGTTCAACTAAAATAACACCTTCTTTTTAAGCCTTCTTTAATACATCTGAAGTGTAATAAACTATAATTTCTCTATGTTCCTGTAATGGGTTTCTTTGTCCTCTATTTCATCATGGGTATTCTATATTATAGGCAGTTGGTTGCAAACTCTTACTTCTAAATTTTAAATTAATTGAGGGTAAGGATTGGGTCTTATTCCTTTTTCTTTGATCTTAGAAAAATAATGAGAAAATATTGTTTGTTAATTAATGGAGAGACTCAAAAGGCAGCCATGGTTCAATTAGGAGTAGCTTAAATTGGTCAGAGGGAAACAAGTCAGGGAAGACTGTGGAGACTAAAGTAGGCAGCTGTAGCACCCAAACCACTCCCCACCCAAGAGGCTTTTGAGGCATTTTCTTCATTCAAATTGGAGTATCAAATGAGAGTCACCAGAGTCTGTATATTTTCTCAGAAAAATTTTCACTTTAGGAAATAAGACATGAATTATTCCTATTACCACTGACCAACAATAAATAAATATTTTTGAACTTTAAAAATGTGGAGGCAATGCTTATAATTATAAATAAATACTGATTCCAAGTGTAAACTTAGCAACAATTGTGATTAAATATTAAAGATAGGATGGATCCTGAAGATCATCCAAGTCAATCCAGTGATTTTCTAAGTGGAAAACAATATCCAGAAAGGTTTAGAGATTGGCCTGAAAACAGAAGTAAACAGTACTCAGTCTACAAGGGACTGATCTAAGTCCATCCACGAAGTTTTGAAAGTTAAAGGCACTTAACTAGAAATAACAGACAAATTTATTTATTGTTCTAAGATGAGAAATTATATTTCAAAAATATCTAAATCATTTTAATGTACTATTGCAATATCTCAGGAGATTAAAAAAAATCTTCATTTTGAAAAGATCTTTGCAGCTCGCAAATGACAATAAAAGCTTTACCTCAGACAAAGGGAATAATGAAAACATAAGAGGGCCATGATAATATACAGTCCAGTTTCTGTGGAACACTAAGGCCTCTCTAGTGTGTTGGTGGGTACTTAACAGATATTAAAACATACCTCAGATTTCCCTAAACTTCTCTTTTCTTGCTTTCTTTTCCTTTATCTGACAATAGCTATAAACATATGCTGAAATACATAGTTTCAATCTCTATTATGTAAATAAGCATTTTTAAAAATTGCACATTCTTAAAAAGCAGAGGAAACAATCATCTGGCTTTTTTCTTTAAAAATCCTTAAGGTTCTTTTAATTTGCATATATGTTTGAATTTTTCTTTCTGTGTCAGAATATTTGTAGAAAAAGAAGTTCTTCAAAAGTAGAACAGCTATAATGCTAATTTCAGCTTGATTGTGATTTCTGTCAACTCTGATCTTCATTTTTTTTTTCTATATAAGGACCCTGTGAAAATTTACCTAAGAGTAGAGGAGTCTAGGAGTCCCAAGCAAGCGCTTTATAGAGATGATTTAGTATTGAACTCGAAGAGATATGGATGAACTTTTTCCTTTGTAATTGTAACTCGCTCTGAAGTTGCTTAATAATACGACACAGACTTTAACCCTTTGGATTTCATCTGAAGGGCTTTATGATTAGAGAAATGGGAATGGCCTCAATTAAGACTTCTTCAATTACACCATACTCCTTAGATTTCACTTTATTCTCACAGTTTTATACCACTTTTCTTAAGAACTGAACATTCCAACCCCCGGGTGTTTTGTCATCATTTAAACGCTCTCTACTTCCAGGATATATCATGGGAAAATTGCACCACAGTGCATCTATTTTTTCATACTTTAAGCTGAAAGATGGTTCAATTAATTTTCCCTAGTTGATTACTGCCAGTTAAATATTTTCTTAGCCTAAATTATGTAAAATTCAGATTATCTTCAACCCTAAATATGGTTTATTGCAGGTTCGTATTTCCTATTGGCACTCATCGCTCATGTGATCATTGCTTTCCCTGCCAAAGTTATGCATTTGAATCATGGTCATAATGTATAGTTATTTACAGAGAAAATGAAGATAAAGTAGGAGAGTCTAATTGTCTGAAAAGAGAAGCCAATAATTAGGCTGTAGAAAAACTGGAATTGTTTATAGAGGAAGTTTTGCCTGAATAAGAACTCACAAGTTATTTTTCTAAGTTTTTACTTATTCTTCTTTTATTAAAAAATAGCAATAGCACACCTTTGAACACTAACTCTCTCTAGCTATACACTATTTTAATACTTTACTTCACACAGCTCTGGTGTTGTACACAACTTAGGACTGTGTAGTTACCATTGAATTAGTTTACATAGTTTGTTATAAAACAAATGCCTCAGACCGAAGGCCTCTTCATAAATAAAAAGAACAGAAATTTTTCCTTCAAAGTTCATTCTGCAGGGATTTATATAGCTTCTCCCTTTTCTTTTTCTTACAATTTCCTTCCTGGCTCACTTATATTATAACCCACACAGGCATATGTATCAAAGTGCACAACTATTTATAGCAGTTTGAATCAAATTTAACATAAAGGTTATATGGTGTTTTGATATCAGACAATATTTAAATTACATGGTTTCATTAATATTATAGAGATGAGGCATTTCAGTAACGAAGAAGTTAGATAACTTGTTGAAAGTCAGTTATAGCATCACACACTCCTCAATTGGCTTGGCTCAGTTTGAAAATGTAAGCACTTTCCATGCCTTATAATCTGGAGTCAGTCTCCTTTATTATTAGTTCTCCCAGCTTCCCCACCAGATATAAGTTATGCATCATTAGATAGATATTTTTATTCCATAAATAAATAATATTAAGCTTCAGTGAGATGCTAGACACTTTGCCAGGTTCTGAGGATTCAAAGGTGAACAAAAGAGATCTGATACAACCAAGAATTGTAGACTGGTGTGGATAATCAAATAATCTCATGAAAGAATAATTCATAGTTGTGATAAGTGTTTTGGGGGAAAATACGGATGCTTTCTATGCAGGGGATATGATAACTGAAAGATGAAAAATAATAAACAGGAGTTAGAAGGTGAAGGAAAGTAATCTTAAGCAGATGGAACATAATATTCTCTCTCCAGAGATAGGAGAGAGCATGGGTTCTCCAAGCAGTGGGACAAAGGCAGAGTTGTCAGAAGCAGAGAGAAGACAAGAAAGTGGAATGCATTAGACGCTGAGGACAGAGGCATAGACCAGCATATCCAAGTCTCTGATGGCAGTATTGGAGATTTTCAACTTTATCCCCAAAGTATCCTAAGAGTAATGGGAAGCTTCTGAAAAGATACAATAAGGAAAATAACAAATTGGAATTTCAGCTAAAATGTATTATCTAGCAAAGACATGGAATCAACTTAAATGCCCATTAGTGAAGATTGGATAAAGAAACTGTGGTACATATACACCATGGAATACTATGCAGCCACATAAAAGAATGAGAACATATCTTTTGTAGGAACATGGATGGAGCTGGAGGCTATAATCCTTAGCAAACTAATGCAGGAACAGAAAATCAAATACCGTATGTTCTCACTTGTAAGTTGGAGTGAAATGACAAGAAATTATGAACACAAAGAAGGAAACAAAAAACAGAGTTCTACTTGATGGGGGAAGAGTGGGAGGAGGGAGAGGAGCAGAAAAGATAACTATTGGATACTAGGCTTAATAACTGCGTGATGAAATAATCTGTACAACAAAACCCTGTGACACAGTTCACCACCTTCACATAAACCCCCACACCTAAAATAAAAGTTAAAAAACTAATTTAAAAAGACTATACCATACATAAAAAGGAAAATGAATTGGAAAGAATCAAAATGAAAGCTGAGAAACTAGTTACACATCTATTACAAAAGTCAAAAGACACGGTGGGAGGGTGGACCAGGATGAGAGTAGTAGAGAGGCAAGACATTGATATAAGCCAGTGATATTTGGGTATTAAAAGTGAATAGAGTTCAGGACAGTTGAACATTTCTCATGACTTACTTCATTTCCAGAGAAAGTCTTTTTTTTTTTTTACATTCAGAATGTCTCTTTATAGCCACTAAATCCAGATTTATATGGTCTTCCCAGATGCATGAACTCTGTCTTTTTGTATACTTATCTTTTTGAGTTACCTTCTCAACCAGGTTTTTATCCCTGTTTTTACTTTTAAATAATCACATTATTTCCAAAACCTTCCAGCTTATATATTTGTGGTGAAACAGGCACTGTTAAACACTGAGCTTAGAAGGAGAAACAGATACAACCACTTAAGATGATAATTGGTATTGTGTTCTCATGAGTCTGAAACATGCTTATCTCTTTCGCCTAATAATTTTTCATCTGGGAAACCTTTCTAAAGAAAATCCTAAGGTACACAAGGCTTTTATGGACAAAAATGTTTACCAAAGCATTTTTCCTTAATAGCAAAATTTAAAAATTACCTAAATGTTCAACAATAGTGTAAAGGTTAAGTAAATTATGATATAGTTATCATCATTATACTTTTCTATAATTTTTTTTACAATAAATATGCCTTTTTAAAATAATTAGAAAGGTAATTGTTACTCAATTTCTCAGCAACTCTGTTCATATTTTTTTTTCAGATTTAAAACCTGTGTTAATGGTTTTTCTTTAGTCTGAGTTATCTCGTGGATTGGATGGAGCGTAAAGGGAGGTGAAGGCTTCAGTAAGGTAACCTTGGTGAGAATATTTCATAAACTATACAACAGTAAGCACCAATAATTGAGTATCTTGGTTTGTTGGCCCTGGCCTTGTCTACTGCAAAGTCTGACATTGGCAGTGAACATATGTTAGGCATTCATGCAGTGGTATGCTCTCTTAACAGGTTTTATGGAAAGGCCAAGTAAAGGATACTTTGGTCATAACTGACTCCCAATTTTGAAAGGATCCCCCTTTTAACCTTACCCCTACCAGAGCCAGATATTAGTTAGAAACAATACATTCAAGGAGGAAGAGAGTTGAAGTACATGGGCTAGCTGGAGTCAGCAAGGGTGAGTGAGAGGAACAGTAAGAGGGGCAGGGGCACAATATTTTGCATAGGGCATAATGCATCTCTCCTGTGTGCTATCCTTCCCACCGAGGATTTTTATAGAACTCTATGGGGAAGATGAGGCATATAAAGTGTGTTAAATAAGTAAATGGAACATCTACTGTTTCTGTAAGACAAGACAGGCACAGGCGCACTGCTTTAATGCCCCCAAACTGACTATTAGAGTACAGAAGGAGGGATGACAAAGCTATTAATAGTAAAGTAATAAGTAACGTCATCAGAGAATCTGGTATGGTACAAGATGAATTCAGCAGAACTAGGAAAGGTGGGCCTAAAGTGAGAGAAACTGGCAATCAGATGTTCCAGGCAGGTGTGATACACAGCTTTACTTCTGGGACCCAGAAGAAAAATGATTTTTCTCCTTTCATTGTGGCTTTATGGTATCCTTGGAAGGAGAAACCTGGGGAAATGAGTTAACAAAGCCATTCCATCACCCTAACTCACTCTTAGTTCATAATACTTTGTCCACCTACTAGAGACCCTCAGGTCAATAACAAAGGAGTTCAAAAGGGAAAAAGGTTGGCTGTATTTGTTTGTTTTTCCTTTGTAGCACCTGCTCTAATTTGCAATTATATCATCATCTATTTCTTTAATGTCCGAATCCTTCTTGGACTGTAAGTTCTATGGGATCAGGTATCTTTTTGTTTATTACTCTGCAAATTGTAGCCAGCAGAGTGGATCTATATTAATTGACTAAATGGATAAGTTAGTAGTATGTGATAAGGCAAGGGAATATTGGCTGGGGAGACAGGGAGGGAAAAGGTGGAGTCTGACCCTCAAGGCCATTAAATGTAGGTCCTGGCAGTGCTCTGCTGCCAAGGCAAGTTAAAAGGTCCAAGCAGAAGAGAGCTAGGACCATCACTGCTCCTGAGAGGGTGTGCAGGGGAACTGCCCTTTATAAAACCATCAGATCTTGTGAGACTTATTCAGTATCACGGGAACAGCATGGGAAAAACCTGCCCCCATGATTTGATTACATCTCGCTGGGTCCCTCCCACATCACCAGTGATGTGAGGATAGGAGAGAACTGTCTCAGGAGCCAAGTCCATGTGCACATTAGTAGGCAATGGTTGCAGGAAGCTGGCCTGTTTAAAAGGCAAAGAACATTTGGATACAGGTTAAGAGGAGAGAGAAGCAACCAGAAACCTATTCTTGGTAGGGTCAGTTGGAATGTAGTTTTAAGTAAAGAAAAAGCCATGTTGAGCACATATACTCTATACTCTGAAGTATTTAGTAAAGGAATCTTTTAATTCCTACCATAGAGGGAATGCCTCTGTCTTAAATTATCAGATTAAAAAACAGTAGAAGTGAAGTTGTATGAAAACTTATTTCAAATTTGTACCCCAAAGATTAAATGATATATAAATACAAAATTAATGAAAGCAGATTTTCATGTGTGTGGGGGTATGAATACTGTGGGTTATAAATGAATAGCATTGAAAAATAGTAATTCTTCATATGTATTTTCCCCCTCACTCACCACAACTGTATTAGTCAAGGTTCTCCAAGAAACCAGAATGAATAGAATATATGCATATATATATGTGTATGTGTGTGTGTGTGTGTGTATATATATATATATATATATATTTAAAGAATACATAAATACAATGTTTTACATCTGAAATAATATGGATACACTGAAAAATTGAGTCATTAAAATAATTTTTCTGATTACTAAATAACACATGTTCATTACAAAAAATGGAGAGAGAGAGACAGATATTTATTATAAGAAATTGGCTTCTGTGGCCATGGAGGCTGAGAATTCCCAAGATCTGCAGTCAGCAAACTTGAGACCCAGGAAAGCTGATGGTGTAAGTTCTAGGCTGAATGCGTGTGTGAAGGCAGAAGACCCGTGTCCCAGTTTAAATACAGTCAACTTTGTTCTTTTGGCTTAGGATTGACTTGGCGATGTGGGCTCTTTTTTGGTTCCATATGAACTTTAAAGTAGTTTTTTCCAATTCTGTGAAGAAAGTCATTGGTAGCTTGATGGGGATGGCATTGAATCTATAAATTACCTTGGGCAGTATGGCCATTTTCATGATATTGATTCTTCCTACCCATGAGCATGGAATGTTCTTCCATTTGTTTGTATCCTCTTTTATTTCATTGAGCAGTGGTTTGTAGTTCTCCTTGAAGAGGTCCTTCACCTCCCTTGTAAGGTGGATTCCTAGCTATTTTATTCTCTTTGAAGCAATTGTGAATGGGAGTTCACTCATGATTTGGCTCTCTGTTTGTCTTTTATTGGTGTATAAGAATGCTTGTGATTTTTGCACATTGATTTTGTATCCTGAGACTTTACTGAAGTTGCTTATCAGCTTAAGGAGATTTGGGGCTGAGATGATGGGGTTTTCTAGATATACAATCATGTCATCTGCAAACAGGGAGAATTTGACTTCCTCTTTTCCTAATTGAATACCATTTATTTCCTTCTCCTGCCTAATTGCCCTGGCCAGAACTTCCAACACTATGTTGAATAGGAGTGGTGAGAGAGGGCATCCCTGTCTTGTGCCAGTTTTCAAAGGGAATGCTTCCAGTTTTTGCCCATTCAGTATGATATTGGCTGTGGGTTTGTCATAGATAGCTCTATTATTTTCAGATATGTCCCATCAATACCTAATTTATTGAGAGTTTTTAGCATGAAGGGTTGTTGAATTTTATCAAAGGCCTTTTCTGCATCTATTGAGATAATCATGTGGTTTTTGTCTTTGGTTCTGTTTATATGCTGGATTACATTTATTGATTTGCATATATTGAACCAGCCTTGCATCCCAGGGATGAAGCCCTAAGCCAAAAGAACAAAGCTGGAGGCATCACCCTACCTGACTTCAAACTATGCTACAAGGCTACAGTAACCAAAACAGCATGGTACTGGTACCAAAACAGAGATATAGATCAATGGAACAGAACAGAGCCCTCAGAAATAATGCCGCATATCTACAACTATCTGATCTTTGACAAACCTGAGAAAAACAAGCAATGGGGAAAGGATTCCCTATTTAATAAATGGTGCTGGGAAAACTGGCTAGCCATATGTAGCAAGCTGAAACTGGATCCCTTCCTTACACCTTATACAAAAATCAATTCAAGATGGATTAAAGACTTAAACGTTAGACCTAAAACCATAAAAACCCTAGAAGAAAACCTAGGCATTACCATTCAGGACATAGGCACGGGCAAGGACTTCATGTCTAAAACACCAAAAGCAATGGCAACAAAAGCCAAAATTGACAAATGGGATCTAATTAAACTAAACAGCTTCTGCACAGCAAAAGAAACTACCATCAGAGTGAACAGGCAACCTACAGAATGGGAGAAAATTTTCGCAACCTACTCATCTGACAAAGGGCTAATATCCAGAATCTACAGTGAACTCAAACAAATTTACAAGAAAAAAACAACCCCATCAAAAAGTGGGTGAAGGACATGAACAGACACTTCTCAAAAGAAGACATTTATGTAGCCAAAAAACACATGAAAAAATGCTCACCATGACTGGCCATCAGAGAAATGCAAATCAAAACCACAATGAGATATCATCTCACACCAGTTAGAATGGCAATCATTAAAAAGTCAGGAAACAACAGGTGCTGGAGAGGATGTGGAGAAATAGGAACACTTTTACACTGTTGGTGGGACTGTAAACTAGTTCAACCATTGTGGAAGTCAGTGTGGTGATTCCTCAGGGATCTAGAACTAGAAATACCATTTGACCCAGCCATCCCATTACTGGGTATATACCCAAAGGACTATAAATCATGCTGCTATAAAGACACATGCACACGTATGTTTATTGTGGAATTATTCACAATAGCAAAGACTTGGAACCAACCCAAATGTCCAACAATGATAGACTGGATTAAGAAAATGTGGCACATATACACCATGGAATACTATGCAGCCATAAAAAATGATGAGTCCATGTCCTTTGTAGGGACATGGATGAAATTGGAAATCATTCTCAGTAAACTATCTCAAGAACAAAAAACCAAACACAGCATATTCTCACTCATAGGTGGGAATGGAACAATGAGAACACATGGACACAGGAAGGGGAACATCACACTCTGGGGTCTGTTGTGGGGTGGGGGTAGGGGGGAGGGATAGCATTGGGAGATATACCTAATGCTAGATGACGAGTTAGTGGGTGCAGCGCACCAGCATGTCACGTGTATACATATGTAACTAACGTGCACATTGTGCACATGTACCCTAAAACTTAAAGTATAATAATAAAAAGATAAATAAATAAATACAGTCAAGTGCAAATGCTCTCTTGCTTTGACTTTTTGCTGTATTCAGCCCTTCAAAGAATTGGATGAGGCCTATCCACACGGAGAGGGCCATCTGCTTTACTCAGTCTCCAATTCAAACATTAATCTCATCCAGAAACACCTTCACACACACACTCAGAATAATGCTTAACCAAATTGCTGAGCATCCCATGGCCCAGTCAAGTTGACATATACAATTAGCCATCATTACACCTTTACCCACAGGAACACAAAGGAAATGACTAATATCCTCTCTAATTCTAACTTTCTTACAACATAATTTTGTGGTATTGAAATGAATAATTAGAGTCTTTATTATTAGTGCACTGGGATGCACTAAAATATCTGTACGCTGCTTCTAACAGCTAAGTAAAATGCAACAATCTAGCCAACTAACATTTTATAGCTGTGATATCCACCAGAGGTGGTATTTCATGATTCAACCAGGATGCCAAGAAGTGAGTGAGGTTTAAATTTATAAAGGATTGCAAGAGATTACATTTAATATTGGTTAGACTATTTAGCAGTATAGACTAGAAGTTTATAATATTCAAATTGGGAGTACTTGTATATTAATAATTAGTGTATCCCCCAAATACTGCTTTCCTTTACTGTAAAGGCAAGACATTTTTAAAATGGGGGTTTTATAACTTAGTTACATTCAAATATATATATTCACATTCAAACAGTGCCTTTGGAGAAAATGCATCCAATTAAACAATGCTGCTATTGTTCAAGGGAAGTTCACAAACTACACAAGAAAATATTTCTAGCTATTAGCAATTTTCTCCCATTTCTGAGGCTAGCAGATTTTTAAAATGTAATTTCCTTTTTTATTTGCCTTGGCTTTAGTAACTACTTTTGGCCATTACTTGATATAGAATTCACCAATAAAGGATGATTTAACCTCACTTAAGATATCAAAATATGAACCACAGCATGGAAGTCAATCCAAGAGAAGAGTTCTAGGATAGCACTGGGCATTGGCAGCACCAATGAATAGATGTGCAGCCCCTTACCACCACCTGGATGGCAGGTAGAAGAAAAGAAGGAATGGTGGGATGAGAATCTGAAAATATTATCTCCAATTATGCTGCTGATTTATGATAGGATGGATGCTCCCTGCCCTACCTTCTATGGTACACCTCCTGCTCCTGCATTGTTTGATATCTGAGTGGTTTAAGCTGAATTAACTTACCTCTACCTCCAAGAGTGTGTTCTGAAAAACTGAAACCAGTCAGGTCATTCCAATTTCTCTTGTCAGAGTTATTGTTTGAGAGATTGAGAGTTTACCACTTCTAAGCCAACAAGTGCGTCGTTCTTTTGTAAGCAGACAGAGAAGGTCTCCAGGAACTATAGGGATTTAAGCAACTTGAACAATCAGCTTGTTTTACAGCCTCCTGCCTTGCAGCCTGTTTTTTCCCAAACCTTTCATGAAATACCATAAATACAGTCACCTACTAGGTTGAAACCAACTCCTGGCAACTTACAGATGAACTTATAGATGAACCCCAGTGTCCTTGCCTCATTACCATGCTAAAGTCTCCATCCTGGGAGGAGCTATAGCTTCATTTCCATTACATGGGACCTATATACTGGCATGCTGACTCACCTCAACTGTGCAACTGGGAACCTTCATCTACATAAGACAACACATCCTCTTCCCTCTCCATTGCCCCTTAAAACCGTCCTGTCACATACCCTTAGAGAGGCACAGCTTTGGAGAATACTCTCAGTGCTCTCCTTACCTCCAAATATTTGCCAGATTTACTCAAAAATCTGGCAAATATTAAAGAGAAGGACTTTTGCTCTATACTTGGGGAAAATATCCTCTCTTTCTATTTCCCCCTATTCCTGATCTGGCTGAGGAATCACGTTGCCCAGATTGGGGCTGGCAGCTTTGTTGCATAAGGCCAAATACAAATTAAAAAGGAGAGACTTAATTCTCTCTGTTGAAAATAAGGAAATGACTTTCCTCCTTTCTTTTCCTAGTACACTTACTTTAGAAAACTCATTAAGTTTTTTCTCTGACTCTTTGATATGTAAATTCTTCTAAAAACTAAATAAGACTTTTGCCCATTTTGTGACCCAGGAATGTCTTTTCTCAAGAATCTGAGAGCCATCTCTTTGAGAAGTAATCATTGAGAAAGATAGCACCCCCATCTCACAATTTCTGTGAGAGGTTAGGAGCCTGATTTCACAGGGCACCTCATTCCAAGTTGCCAATTACCTCTTGTTATAAAGATGTGAAAGCCAATTAGCTAATACAGATGACTATCCCAAAAACTAAGTGAATTTAGGATGAACTATGTGTGTGGTAAATGTTACTGTCAAGTCTTCTTAGTTGAGGACTGGTTATTTTTTTTTTTTTTTTTTTTTGAGACGGAGTCTCGCTCTGTCGCCCAGGCCGGACTGCGGACTGCAGTGGCGCAATCTCGGCTCACTGCAAGCTCCGCTTCCCGGGTTCACGCCATTCTCCTGCCTCAGCCTCCCGAGTAGCTGGGACTACAGGCGCCCGCCACCGCGCCCGGCTAATTTTTTGTATTTTTAGTAGAGACGGGGTTTCACCTTGTTAGCCAGGATGGTCTCGATCTCCTGACTTCATGATCCACCCGCCTCGGCCTCCCAAAGTGCTGGGATTACAGGCGTGAGCCACCGCGCCCGGCCAGAGGACTGGTTATTTTTTTCTAAGAACATGTATGTAATGGGTGTATCCGTTTGGCTACATAGAAGAGTGAGATTTCTTTCTGGTTTTGCAATTTCTTGGTGGATTGCCTTGTGATGCCTATGTGCATTGTGATTTAATGCTTATTCAGTAGTAGCATGTTCTTTTCTTTCTAACTTTATGAAGAGTTTTTCTAGGTTGGGAGGAGATTTTGTTTTTAATTATATTTCCCCAACAATTATAACCATGAGAAAAGCCAGCCTGAAGATGAAGCCAACATGTGGAGAAAGACAGAGCTGTGAGCATCCTCACAGAGTAATGGAGATGGAGCCTTGGCTGGAGTATTGCTGCATATTTAGACTTCCTTTAGACTTTCAATTATATAAGCCAAGATATTTGCTTAAGAATGTAAGGCAGACTGAAATAGCTATATTGTTTCTCACAACTGGAAGTGTTCCGAGCTTTTCCTACACATTTAATCACAAATATCTTTTTCCTCATGAAATGCCTAAGAACATCTTGCAGGACTGCTGTTTTATGGAACACATTTTGGGAAACACTTTTCTAAGTCAATTATCTATTTATTCAACATTTTTTTTTTCTTTTTTGAGATGGAGTCTCACTCTGTCACCCAGGCTGGAGTGCAGTGGCATGATCTTGGCTCACTGTTACCTCTGTCTCCTGGGTTCAAGCAGTCTTCCTGCCTCAGCATTCCAAGTGGCTGGAATTACAAGCATGCACCATCATGCCTGGCTAATTGTTGTAATTTTGGTAGAGACAGGCTTTCAACATGTTGGCCAGGCTGGTCTCAAACTCCAGACGTCAAGTGATCCACCTGCCTCATCTTCTCAAAGTGCTGGGATTACAGCACACATGGCCACAACAATTTTTTAATATTAAAAAGTATTTCCTTTGAGAATGTATCATTATTAACAAACTTACTTCCTTGGTCATTATATAACTTACGTTTTCCACCATTATAAGAAACCTGCATTTAACAACCTTGATTTGCTTCTGTTTCCATGTACTTACTGATGACTATATCCTCAGGATAAATTCCTGTATGTAGATTTACTAGGTTGAGAATATACAGATTTCTGTAGCTTATGGAATATAAATTTTGACAGTAAAACAATTGGAGTCTAGTACTAATATTCATAATTGGAATAATGCTTAAGCAACATGACTCAATGGTCTAATAATGTCATTCAGAATAAATGTTGACTATAGTAACATGATCATATACGTTTTACTAGAATAAGAGCATAAATAATGAACAATGATAAAATAATGTATCAAATGACCTCCTTAGCTCTCCTGCATTCAGGAAGGCTGGGTTTGCACTTTTACTGCTGATCCTTCATGTGGGTAGCACAGGCTAACTGGCTAATAATATAATTTATCCCTACCTGAGAAACTGTATTTTTACACAGTTTTCTCAGAAGGAGCTAAGGGTGTAATGAACAGAAAAAGAAGAAAAAACACAGACTTATGCTTCCAGATTAAAAATAAAAATCAATACTTCTGCCCATGTCTTTGTGAAATAATGATTCAGTGATTTCAAGGTTTGCTGTAGCTTACAAGCAAATTTTAAATAAACTATGTTCATAGTGAGCCAATAAAACATGAGTCACATTTTGTAAACAGAATTCTGTACCTTACTTTAGGTTTTGAGAATGGACTTTGAATTAACATATAGCTGTGCTATAAGTTAATTATAATTTTTGTTGCACTTAACCCATCAAGATGTATACTTGAAGTTTGCAGAAAATAGAACGAGACATCTCTTCCTGCCAGATGGGAAATTTTCACACAGAGGTGGTCCAGCAACTGAACTGAACGGATGTAAATATTCAATGGCCAAGAGTTTGGTGGCACTCTACAAAAACAACGACCTCCTGGTCATGGGAACATTCCTTTTTGGTCCTCTTGGTTAATCTCTGTGGATTTGATTTTCTTAAATATATATTATACAAATACTGCACTTTAATCTCTGAGGTCTTTTGTCTAATTTCCAATTTGTTCAGGAGTTCAGAGGAGAAAATGTAAATTATGTCAATACCTACTAGGAAATATTCATAGAGAAGATATAATCTGTGCTCAGTATTGAAGAATGTGTAATGAAAGGTCAGAGATAAATGTATAACCCCTCAGTCAGGAGTAGATGGATAGAACTAATACAAACAGGTAGAAATGCTAGTTAAGCTGGAAAACAGTGAAGAGACCAAGTTATAAAGGCTGAAGGTAGGATATGGATTATTTTAATTTTTAATATTTTCTTGATTTTGTAAAGTTTCAAAATGACCATACATTATTTCCATATGAATAAATCAACAATGACAAAAGTAGTCATTCATTGAGTGTTTATAGTTTGAGAATTTTATTTCAAATCCCATCATCTTGCAAGGCAGTGGTGGTCTTTAAACCAGCAGCAGCATTAGCAGCACCTGAGAACTTGTTAGAAATAAAATTTTAGAAACTTACTGAATCAGACATTCCGAAGGTGGGGCCAAACAATCTGTGTTTTAACAAGGTCTCCAGGTGGTTTTGGTACAACTCAAGTTTAAGAAACATTGCTATAAAGTAAGAATCCTTTTTATTTTTCCTTTTCAAATTTTATTTTAGATATTCAAAGGGTACATGTGCCGGTTTGTTACCTGGGCATATCGTGTGATGCTAAGGTTTGGGGTACAAATGATCCCAACACCTGGGTACTGAGAATAGTTTCCAATAGTTAAGTTTTTCAACACTTGCCTCCCTTCCTCACTGCCTTCTCCAGGAGTTCCTAGTGTCTACTGTTGCTGTTGTTATGTCCATGAATACCTGGTGTTTAACTCCCACTCATAAATGAGAACATGCGGTATTTGATTTTCTGTTCCTGAATTAATCTGCTTAGGACAGTGGCCTTCAACTGTATCCATGTTGCTGCAAAATACATGATTTTGTTCTTTTTTATTGTTGCATAGTATTCCACGGTATATATGTATTACATTTTCTTTATCCTATCTGCTATTGATGGGCACGTAGGTTGACTCCATGTCTTTGTTATTGTGAATAGCACTGTGATAAACATACAAATGCAGGTGTCTTTTGGTAGAACAATTTATTTTCTTTTGGATATATATCCACTAAGGTGATTGCTGGGTCAACTGGTATTTCTGCTTTAAGTTCTTTGAGATATCTCCGAACTGCTTTCTACAGTGGGTGAACTAATTTCACATTTCTACCAACAGAGTATAAGTGTTCCTTTTTCTCACAGCCTTGCCAACATCTGTTTTTTTTTTTTTTTTTAACTTTTTAATAGTAGCCATTCTGACTGCTGTGAAATGGTATCTTATTGTGGTTTTCATTTGCATTTCTCTGATGATCCATAATAATGAGCTTTTTTTCATACGTTTGTTAGCCACTTGATGCCTTCTTTTGAGAAATGTCTATTCTTGTCTTTTGTCCATTTGTTAATGGGGTTATTTGGTTTTTGCTTATTAAATTGTTTAAGTTCCTTATAGATTCTGGATCTTGACCTTTGTTGAATCCATAGTTTGTGAATATTTTCTCCCATTCTGTAGGTTGTCTTTTACTGCATTGATACTTTCTTTTGCTGTGCAGAAGCTTTTTAGTTTAATCAGGTTCTACTTGTCAATTTTTGTTTTTCTTGCAATTGCTTTTGAGGACTTAGTCATAAATTCTTTTCCAAGGCCCATGTCCAGAATGGTGTTTCCTGGGTTTTCTTCTAGGATTCTTATAGTTTGAGGTCTTACCATTAAATATTTAACCTAACGTGAGTCAATTTTGTATATGGTGAGAGGTAGGGGTCCAATTTCATTCTTTTGCATATGACTAACCAGCTATCCCAGCACCATTTATTGAATAGAAAGTCCTTTCCCCATTGCTTATTTTTGTCAACTTTGTGGAAGATTAGATGGCTGTAGGTGTGTGGCTTTATGTCTATGTTCTTTATGCTATTCTATTGGTCTATATGTCTGTTTTTGTACCAGTACCATGCTGTTTTGGTTACTTTAGACTTACAGTATAGTTTGAAGTTGGGTAATGTGATGCCTCTAGATTTGTTCTTTTTCCTTAGGACTGCTTTGGCTATTTGGGCTCATTTTTGGTTTGATATGAGTTTTAGCATAGGTTTTTCCAATTATGTAAAAAATGACACTGGTGGTTTAATAAGGATAGCATTAAATCTTGGGACAGTATGGCCATTTAAACAATATTGGTTCTTTTAATCCATGGCATGGAATGTTTTTCCATTTGTTTGTGTCATCTATCATTTCTTTCAGCAGTGTTTTGGAGTTTAGCTCTCCTTGTGGAGTTCAGCTCTCCTTGTGGAGTTCTTTCACCTTCTTGTTTAGATATATTCCTAGGTATTCTATTTTTTTTGTGTGTGGCTATTGTAAATTGGGTTTAATTCTTGATTTAGCTCTCAGCCTGAATGTTATTGGTGTATAGAAATGCTACTAAATTTTATACAGTGATTTTGTATCCTGAAACTTTGCTGAAGTTATTTATCAGTTCCAGAAGTCTTTTGGTGGAGTTTTTAGGGTTTTCAAGATATAGAATCAAATTGTCCATAAAGAGACAGTTGGACTCCTTTTTTTCCTATTTGGATTTTTTATTTATTTTTTTCTTTTATCTGATTGCTCTGTCTAGGACTTCCAGTACTATGTTGAATAGGAGTGGTGAGAGTGGACATCCTTGTCTTATTCCTGTTCTTTACTTTTTGCTGAAGTTGCTTATCAGCTTAAGGAGATGTTGGGCTGAGGCGATAGGGTTTTCTAAATATACAATCATGTCATCTGCAAAGAGAGACAATTTGACTTCCTCTTTTCCCAATTGAATACCTTTTATTTCTTTCTCTTGCCTAATTGCCCAGGCCAGAACTTCCAACAGTATGTTGAACAGGAGTGGTGAGAGAGGGCATCCTTGTCTTGTGCTGGTTTTCAAAGGAAATGCTTCCAGTTTTTGCCCATTCTGTATGATATTGGCTGTGGGTTTGTCATAAATAGCTCTTATTATTTTCAGATATGTTCCATCAATACCTAGTTTACTGAGAGTTTTTAGCATGAAGGACTGTTGAATTTTGTTGAAGGTCTTTTCTTCATCTATTGAGATAATCATGTGGTTTTTGTTGTTGGTTCTGTTTATGTGATGGATTACATTTATTGATTTGCATATGTTGAAGCAGCCTTGCATCCCAGGGATGAAGCCGACTTGATCATGGTGGATAAGCTTTTTAATGTGCTACTGGATTCGGTTTGCCAGTATTTTATTGAGGATTTTCGCAATAAAATCCTTTTCAGACAAGCAAATGCTGAGAGATTTTGTCACCACCAGGCTTGCCTTACAAGAGCTCCTGAAGGAAGCACTAAACATGGAAAGGAACAACTGGTACCAGCCACTGCAAAAACGTGCCAAATCGTAAAGACCATTGACGCTATGAAGAAACTGCATCAATTAACAGGCAAAATAACCAGATAACATCAAAATGACAGGATCAAATTTCCACACATAACAATATTAACCTTAAATGTAAATGGGCTAAATGCCCCAATTAAAAAACCCAGACTGGCAAATTGGATAAAAAGTCAAGACCCATCAGTGTGCTGTAGAGGTATGTTCCTTTGATGCCTAGTTTCTTGAGGGTTTTTATCACAGGGATGTTGGATTTTATTGAAAGCTTGTCCTGAATCTATTGAGATAATCATACGGTTTTTGATTTTGATTCTGTTTATGTGGTGAATCACATTTATTGATTTGCGTATGTGGAACCAACCTTGTATCCCAGTAATAAAGTCTACATGATCATGGTGAACTAACTTTTTGACATGCTATTTAATTTGGTTTGATAGTATTTTGTTGAGGAATTTTGTGTCTATTTTCATCAGGGATATTGGCCTGTAGTTTTATTGTTTTGCCTTTGTCAGGTTTTGGTATCAGGGTGTTGCTGGCTTTGTAGAATGAGTAAGGGAAGAGTCCCTCCTCAATTTTTTGAGATCGTTTCAGTAGAATTGATATCAGCTCTTATGTGTATGTTTAGCAGAATTTGGCCATAAATCCCTCTGGTCTGGGTTTTTGTGTGTGTGTGTGGTTGGTAGGTTTTTTTTTTTTTTAATTAACTCAATTTCAGAGCTCAATATTGGTCTGTTAAGTGTTTCAATTTCTTCCTGATTCAAGCTTCGGAGATTGCACGTTTTTAATAATTTGTTCTTTTTTTGTTTTTAGACCTTCTTGTATGTATACATAGAGGTGTTTGTAACAGTCTCTGAGGAGCTTTTGTATTTCTGTGGGATTGGTTATGATGTCACTTTTGTCATTTCTGATTATGTTCATTTGGACTGTCTTTTTCTTTGTTAATTTGGCTGGCAGCCTATCAATTGTGTTTATCCTTTCAATTAATCACCTTTTGGTTTTGTTGGTCCTTTGTATGGATTTTTGGATTTTGATTTTATTCTTCTCTTCTGCTAGCTTGGGGTTAGTTTGTTCTTCTTTTTCTAGTTCTTCTAGGTGTGATGTTAGGTCATTAGTTTGAGATTAATTAAATTTTTAATTTTTTTGCATAGTTAAAGATTAATGCATCTTTCCAACTTTTTGAGATAGGCATTTAGCACTACAAACTTTCCTCTTAACACTACTCTTGCTGTATTCTAGAGATTTTGATATGTTTTGTTTCTGTTTTCAAAGAATTTTTTAATCTCTACCTTGACTTCATTGTTTACTCGACAGGAGCAAGTTGTTTAATTTTCATGCTATTGTGTGGTTTTGAGAGATCTTGTTGATATCTATTTTTATTTCACTTTGGTCTGAGAGTATGGTTGGTATAAGGTAAGTGTCTTTAGCTCAACTTAAAAAATGAGGTAAAGGAAGCTCAGTAATAGTAAGTTCCCCAAGGTCACTCAGGTATCAAGGGCTACAGCAAGGATTATAAATGAGTGTTTTTCACTCCTAAGCATATGCATTTTTTACTAAGCCACATTACCTTTAAAATAAATTTATTACAAAAAAGAGAAAAGCAGGGATATAAAAGGTATTATTGGGCTCCTCTAATTTATTTTCACTCTATCTGTAAGTGTATAATTTCTGAAATTGTTGTTAAATGAGGAGTTGAGGTTTACTTATAGTTAGACTATGTACAAAACTCAATAATTGAGTGAACTCCATTGCATCATCTTGTAAATTTCTGAATAATATCATAAAATGAAGTGAGAAATAGCACAAGTTTATACACTGTACAGGGTATCTTTGGGAAACACAAAGAACAAACATTTGTCTAATAATCCCAATAATTCCTTTGACATGCAGGGGCGACAGTAGACCCCAGTATCGTGAACACAAATTTCCTTCTGTGCCTTGAAAGCATGAAGGTAATTTATTTACATGAAGAGCCTTAGAGGTTAAACCTGTGAGTTCAAAATTCAGGCTATTAAGAGTACTGTATCGTCAATATTGGAAAATATCATTTAAACTTGTTTTATTAAATACTCGCATTTTTATTTTGCCTTCATAAAAGTGCTTTAAAAGTAGAAAAATATATTGATGGCAATACTGGTTTCCTTCTAGTACATTTGTTTTGACTCCTTTCCTTTCAATTGTCTTTCTTCCAAGAGTTGTAAAATTGTAGTTGCTTTAGCATCTAAATGTCTTTATGCATAGTAAAAACCTGTATAAAGAAAGCATCATGGGTAAAGCTTGATTTAAGTGTTTCATTTATGTTCCATTTCCTTGTCATGTAAAACCAAATATGTGGAAATTTCTTCCTAACAATTTTTTATATGTGAGTAAAATCCTAAGTTTGGACATTAGAAAGAGTAATGACATCAGATTTTAAAAGAGTTACTACTCATATAACTCAGAGACTTGAGAAGCTTGGGTCCAGTAGATAATTGGAAAATTTTATTGGATTTTGATGCTTATCCACTCTGTTTATCAGCAATAATCTTACTCGTATTCAGTTGACCTTTGAATAACACAGTTTGAGCTATACAACTCCACTTATACACAATTTTTTTCAATAAACATATTGGAATTGTTTTTAGATTTGTGACAATTTGAAAAACATGCAAACTACATAGCCCAGAAATAGTAAAACTATCAAGAAAAAGATGTGTTATGAATGCATAAATAAATGTAGATACTATTCCATTTGATCATTTACTACCATAAGATATATACAAATCTATTATAAAAATTTCAAATTTATCAAAAGTTATGCATACAAACATTTGTAGAACATACATGGGGCCATTTGCAGTTGAGAGAAATCTAAACAAAGGCAGATGTGTGGTAGTAACTATTGACTGCATAAAATGACCTGTAATAAATGCTTTACTACTGTAATAATCTTGTAGCCACCCTCTGTTGCTATTGCAGTGAGCTCAAGTGTTGAGTATCTGTTTAAAACAGTGACATTAATCATCCTGTGAGCAGCTCATCTCTCCAATAAATTGCATACCACAATACAAAGTGACTTATTGTGGTTCTCCTGTATTTTTAATCGCATTTAGTGCTATACCATAAATCTTGAATAATGCCATGGGACCCATACAAAGTGCCACTAATGATGCTGCAAGTGCTCACAAGAAGCAGAGAAAACTCACGACATTACGAGAAAAAGTTGAATTCCTTGATGTATACCATAGACTGAGGTCTGCTGCTGAGGTTGCCCACCATTTCAGACTGACAATTCATCTTGTAACCAGATGGTGTAAACCTACAGTATCAATAAATACAGTACTGTAAATGTATTTTCTCTTTGTTATTATTTTCTTTTTTTAAAATTATACTTTAAGTTTTAGGGTACATGTGCACAACGTGCAGGTTAGTTACATATGTATACATGTGCCATGTTGGTGTGCTGCACCCAGTAACTCGTCATTTAACATTAGGTATATCACCAAATGCTATCCCTCCCACCTCCCCCCACCCCACAACAGGCCCCAGTGTGTGATGTTCCCCTTCCTGTGTCCATGTGTTCTCATTGTTCAATTCCCACCTATGAGTGAGAACATGCGGTGTTTGGTTTTTTGTCCTTGAGATAGTTTGCTGAGAATGATGGTTTCCAGTCTCATCCATGTCCCTACAAAGGACATGAACTCATCATTTTTTATGGCTGCATAGTATTCCATGGTGTATATGTGCCACATTTTCTTCAGTCTATCATTGTTGGACATTTGGGTTGGTTCCAAGTCTTTGCTTTGTGAATAGTGCCACAATAAACATAAATGTGCATGTGTCTTTACAGCAGCATGATTTATAATCCTTTGGGTATATACCCAGTAATGGGATGGCTGGATCAAATGGTATTTCTAGTTCTAGATCCCTGAGGAATCACCACACTGTCTTCCACAATGGTTGAACTAGTTTACAGTCCCACCAACAGTGTAAAAGTGTTCCTATTTCTCCCCATCCTCTCTAGCACCTGTTGCTTCCTGACTTTTTAATGATCGCTATTCTAACTGGTGTGAGATGGTATTTCATTGTGGTTTTGATTTGCATTTCTCTGACGGCCAGTGATGATGAGCATTTTTTCATGTGTCTTTTGGCTGCATAAATGTCTTCTTTTGAGAAGTGTCTCTTCATATCCTTTGCCCACTTGTTGATGGGGTTGTTTGTTTTTTTCTTGTAAATTTGTTTGGGTTCATTGTAGATTCTGGATATTAGCCCTTTGTCAGATGAGTAGATTGCAAAAATGTTCTCCCATTCTGTAGGTTGCCTGTTCACTCTGATGGTAGTTTCTTTTGCTGTGCAGAAGCTCCTGAGTTTAATTAGATCCCATTTGTCAATTTTGGCTTTTGTTGCCATTGCTTTTGGTGTTTTAGACATGAAGTCCTTGCCCATGCCTATGTCCTGAATGGTATTGCCTAGGTTTTCTTCTAGGGTTTTTATGGTTTTAGGTCTAACATTTAAGTCTTTAATCCATTTTGAATTATTTTTTGTATAAGGTATAAGGAAGGGATCCAGTTTCAGCTTTCTACATATGGCTAGCCAGTTTTCCCAGCACCATTTATTAAATAGGGAATTGTTTCCCCATTTCTTGTTTTTGTCAGGTTTGTCAAAGATCAGATGGTTGTAGATATGCGGCATTACTTCTGAGGGCTCTGTTCTGTTCCATTGGTTTATATCTCTGTTTTGGTACCAGTACCATGCTGTTTTGGTTACTGTAGCCTTGTAGTATAGTTTGAAGTCAGGTAGCATGATGCCTCCAGCTTTCTTCTTTTGGCTTAGGATTGACTTGGCAATGCAGACTCTTTCTTGGTTCCATATGAACTTTAAAGTAGTGTTTTCCAATTCTGTGAAGAAAGTCATTGGTAGCTTGATGGGGATGGCATTGAATCTATATTACCTTGGGCTGTATGGCCACTTTCACGATATTGATTCTTCCTACCCATGAGCATAGAATGTTCTTCCATTTGTTTGTATCCTTTCTTTCTTTTAGCAGTGGTTTGTAGTTCTCCTTGAAGAGGTCCTTCACATCCCTTATAAGTTGTATTCCTAGGTATTTTATTCTCTTTGAAGCAATTGTGAATGGGCGTTCACTCATGATTTGGCTCTCTGTCTGTTATTGGTGTATAATAATGCTTGTGATTTTTGCACATTGATTTTGTATCCTGAGACTTTGCTGAAGTTGCCTATCAGCTTAAGGAGATTTGGGGCTGAGATGATGGGGTTTTCTAGATATACAATCATGTCGTCTGCAAACATGGAGAATTTGACTTCCTCTTTTCCTAATTGAATGCCCTTTATTTCCTTCTCCTGACTGATTGCCCTGGCCAGAACTTCCAACACTATGTTGAATAGGAGTGGTGAGAGAGGGCATCCCTGTCTTGTGCCCGTTTTCAAAGGGAATGCTTCCAGTTTTTGCCCATTCAGTATGATATTGGCTGTGGCTTTGTCATAGATAGCTCTTATTATTTTGAAATACGTCCCATCAATACCTAATTTATTGAGAGTTTTTAGCATGAAGAGTTGTCGAATTTTGTCAAAGGCCTTTTCTGCATCTATTGAGACAATCATGTGTTTTTTGTCATTGGTTCTGTTTATATGCTGGATTATGTTTATTGATTTGCGTATGTTGAAGCAGCCTTGCATCCCAGGGATGAAGCCCACTTGATCATCGTGGATAAGCTTTTTGATGTGCTGCTGGATTCGGTTTGCTAGTATTTTATTGAGGATTTTTGCATCGATGTTCATCAGGGATATTGGTCTAAAATTCTCCTAATAGACATCTACAGAACTCTCCACCCCAAATCAACAGAATATACATTCTTCTCAGCACCAGACTGCACTTTTCCAAAATTGACCACATAGTTGGAAGTAAAGCACTCCTCAGCAAATGTAAAAGAACAGAAATTATAACAAACTGTCTCTCAGACCACAGTGCAATCAAACTAGAACTCAGGATTAAGAAACTCACTCAAAACCGTTCAACTGCATGGAAACTGAACAACCTGCTCCTGAATAACTACTGGGTACATAACGAAATGAAGGCAGAAATAAAGCTGTTCTTTGAAACCAACGAGAACAAAGACACAACATACCAGAATCTCTGGGACACATTCAAAGCAGTGTTTAGAGGGAAATTTATAGCACTAAATGCCCACAAGAGAAAGCAGGAAAGATCTAAAACTGACACCCTAACATCACAATTAAAAGAACTAGAGAATCAGGAGCAAACACATTCCAAACCTAGCAGAAGGCAAGGAATAACTAAGATCAGAGCAAAACTGAAGGAGATAGAGACACAAAAAACCCTTCAAAAAATCAATGAATCCAGGAGCTGGTTTTTTGAAAAGATCAACAAAATTGATAGACCGCTAGCAAGACTAATAAAGAAGAAAAGAGAGAAGAATCAAATAGATGCAATAAAAAATGATAAAGGGGATACCACCACCTATCCCACAGAAATACAAACTACCATCAGAGAATACTGTAAACACCTCTACGCAAATAAACTAGAAAATCTAGAAGAAATGGTTAAATTCCTCGACACATACACCCTCCCAAGACTAAACCAGGAAGAAGTTGAATCTCTGAATAGACCAATAACAGGCTCTGAAATAGAGGCAATAATTAATAGCTTACCAACCAAAAAAACTCCAGGACCAGATGGATTCACAGCCGAATTCTACCAGAGGTACAAGGAGGAGCTGGTACCATTCCTTCTGAAACTATTCCAATCAATAGAAAAAGAGGGAATCCTTATTATTTTCTTAATAACATTTTCTTTTCTCTAGCTTTATTGTAATAATTCATTATGTAATACATATACAAAATATGTTTTAATTGACTATTGCTGTTATCAGTAAGACATCTGGTCAATAGTAAGCTATTAGTACATAGTTAAGTTTTTGGGGAGTCAAAAGTTACACATGGATTTTTAACTGCAAGGGGGATAGTGCCCCTAAATTATGTGTCATTTAAGGGTCAAGTGTAATCAAATGTAGATGAGTAGAGAATAAAATATATCTCATTTCCAAAGCACAGCCACTCATAACTAAAACCAATATATTAATTGATATCAGGTCTACTCTTTGTACCAGTTATATCCTCCTCAAACAGAAAGTTTACATTTTTAGGATAATTATTTGTTGGAGTGATAGAAAGGCTGTATTGTACTCTGAGCTATGGCTCAGAACAGTATCTTTATATATGTTGAGCCTACTTTTAGAATATGTTAATGCAGATCCTTCTTTTATAGAGGTTAGGAATATACACACTATGCTCATTTATGCTAATTTATTTTATCAACCAGATGTGAAATCAATAGGTATTGACTCTACTTTCCAACAAATGCTATAACAAATGACTGCTATAAAACTAAAATCAATTTTGTAAAGAGTCTCCAAAATGTATCTGGCTTAAGTTCTACAACTTTTTATAGAAAGTAGCATCATTTTTTTGTATCAATCAGTTTTCATTAAAAATTTTAGAAAAATCTGTAGTGTGTTCACCAGTAAGGTAAAGTATTAAGTGATTTCGAGTGCAATATTAATAGTTTTCTAAGGCAATTGCTATTGATGGCTAATAAGCATTTTGAAATAAGTCAGGTAAAATAATTATGGCCATTTTGTCAGGTGTTATGCTCTTATTCATTGCTTCATGTTGAAAAGACTCAGGATTATTTCCTTAAAAACAATCTTTGCTGTTTTCATGGCTCTTCTTTGACAACTCTCAATGTAAAGAGATGACTATTCTCAGAATATTTCGTATATTCTAAAAATAATATAGCACTCTTTCACTCAGCTAGATTTATAATATGGACTACCTACACACAATCAGCATTACATAATATATGTATCCAGCTCTTTCCCTAAACTGTGATCCTCAAAGATCTACTCAACTTGTTCTCAAAGCCAACCATGAGCATTAATACTCAAGCCATCTGTAAATATGTTTTATGGAATCAATATTTGCACTGACATACAGAAGAAGATAAGAAAATAAAAATTCATGGTACAAATATGACAATCACAATTCATATTATTTGGAGAGGCAGAATATTCAACAATGTATTGACTTCTATTTGCAAAAATGAGAGTCACATTTCCTGACTTCTTTATTAGTCAGTGGTTTAAATATATTTAATTCTATTGAATTTTCACTACAGAAGTTACTCAAGGAATTAGTTAATACTGTCTCCAAAGTAGTCTGCTTGATATAAAAATCCAGGAATAGAATAATTCCATTTGATTAATAGTCCTAACATTTGAGTTACCAATATTTTGTAAAAGAATTTTATTTCTAATTTCCTCAGATGTTGAGAAAGTATTTGAAGGCACCTGACAACAAAACCCTCAGAAGACTCAGGAGAAGGGTCATTAGCCACACTCTCTTACAGTCCTTCTCCTGTTTGGAATTCCAGTTTCCTATACAAAGGTGGCTGCGATGGGCCAGGGCCATGGCTGGAAGAGGTAAGACCTTCAACATAGCAGTCAACTTGGACATTATCAGACTTGTTTTAACACAAAATGGTAAATATCCAATTATCAGATGAGATTCAACATTTTATGGCCTGCCATGTTGAAAACCCTAATGATAGGTCGCATTGTGATCCCTGTAAACTGTCAACCAGGACTGCGAAAAGCACCATGACAAATGACTAAACATTGTCTCTACTAATCATATTTGGGGTTGGCCTGATGTACTAGCTAGAGTTTGTTTATTTTTCGTAAACAAATAAAATAGATAAAGCTCAAGTTTCCTATGTTCTTCTACAAGGCAGATTTTCTTCACCCCTCCCCTCAAAAGAAAATCACTATTATTAATTTTAGTATCTCATTTGTCCAGATTTTAAAATTGTTATTACATACACATATATCCATGAAAAGATACCAAAATACTATGTTATTAATATGTATCCAATAGTATTATATTCTGCATACTATCCTATAACATGTTTTTTTCTACTCAAAATTACCTTTTTGAGTTACCTCATGTAAATTAAACCATTTAGATATAGTGAATCTAATTTATTTATTTTGGTGCTATGTAGTAAGTATTCCAGTGTATATATGTACTATCATTGAATTCTCCATCCCTTTATTGATGGGTTTTTGATTTGTTTCCATTTCTCCCTATTACAAAAAAGGCTAGTGGATATCCCTGTGCATTTAGCTTTACATGCATATGTGAGTATAGAGAGAACAGAACTGTTGGGTTGTAGGATATGCTTATTTTCCACTTCAAGAGTTGCCCTCTAAAAGAAATTGGTATTGATTTACATCCCCACCTGCTGTGTGTCAGCAATCTATTCTCACATCCTCCTATCATTTGGAATAGTTATAACTTTTGCCGTTATAATGAATTTGAAATGGTATCTCATTTTGTTTGGCATTCTTTTTCCCAACCAGTACTATCTGTTTTATACTTACTCACCTGTTACCTGTTTTTTGAATAAATGATACATGTCCTTTGCCTACTTTCCACTGGATTCTCTTTTATCATATTCTTATTGACAGATAAGAATTATTTGAATTTTTCTAATGTCTGCAATATATATTGGTTACATTTTCCAGCTTATTGCTTTTCTTTTAACTTGATAGTCCCCTTTTAATATAGAAATTTTGGATGTTATTATAATTAGGAATTGCTAATTTCTTACTTTATGATTTATGTCTTTTTCAAGAAAAATCTCTGCCAAAATGTTATATTAGTCTTAAGTATAGTTTTAAAGCTTTTTTTTCATGTGTTTATGTCTATATCTTATACATAATAATTTTATGTATGGTTTGACTCAGGTATTAAATTTTATTATGGACATGTATTGCTCTGGCATTGTTTATGGAGTAACTACAGTTTCCCTTCTGATTTTTAATTCCTCCTATAGTGTAGAAAAAGATCCCAGAAAACATTTAGTGTCTTAATTGCTCATCTGTTTCCTATCAATCTATCTTTTCCTGAACAAATATTACAGATCTTAATTACTATAGTTTTACAATAAGTTTTGATATCTGATTAAAGCAAGTTACCCCAACCTATGCTCCTTCAAAATATTGTGCTTACTAATAGTCCTTTAGCTCTTTGGTGTAAATGTTAGAAATTGCTTTTGAAATTACAAGGTGTTTGAGTTGTAATTGCATTTAATTTTGTGATTAATTTAAAAAGATTTATATCTTTAATAATTGTTTTCAAATCTAAAGATTGTAAACATATTTTTCCTTTTTATTCATGCATTCTCTAGGTCCCCATATGCCTTCTATTTTTAAAGTTGGGTGTATTGAGATATAATTTATATAGAAATTATAATAATTTCAGTATATTAACAATATATTAAACCATTTTAAGGTGTACAGTTCAATGAGTTTTGACAAATGTATAAAGTCATGTAACCATTACCTCAGAATATAGAATTTCTATCACTCCTTCTGTGGTTTGAATGTTTGTGCCTTCCCAATCCTAACTCATATATTGAAATTCTAATCCCCAAGGTCATGGATGGTATTAGGAGATGGGGCTTTTGGGTAGGTGATCAGGTCATTAGGGTTCCATCCTCATGAATGATATTAGTGCCCTTGTAAAAGGGGCAAGAGAGAGCTGCCTTGTCCTTTATACCATGTGAGGACACAGGAATAAACCACCATCTATGAGGAAGGGGTCCTCACCAGACATTAAATTTGCTCATGCCTGGATCTTGGAGTTCTTAGAATCCAGAACCATGAGGAATGAGTGTTGTTTACAAGCCACAAAGTTTGTGGTATTTTGTTATGACAGATGAAATGGACTAAGACAGCTCCAAAAAGTTTTGTTGTACCTCTCTGTAGTTAACCCACTCTCCTATCAGTAGCCCTTGGCAACCACTGATCTGATTTCTGTTCCTGTAGTTTCACCTTTTCCAGAGTATTATATCAATGAATCATACAGCATGTATGATTTTCTTTACTTACAACAATGCTTTAAGATACATTCATGTTGTTCTATGAAAGGGTAATTTGCTCCTTTTTAGTTCTAAGTAGTATTCCATTGAATGGACGTACCATGACTTATTTATCCATTTACTTACTGATGAACATTTTTTAAAATTTCCACTTTGTAGTGATTACGAATAAACATTCATTCACAGGTTTTGTGTGAACATATACTTTTATTTATCTTGAATGAACACCTAGGAATTTGGTTGCTGGGTCACATGGTAAGAGTATTTTTAACTTTATCAAAAAGCAGCCTACTTATTTTATTAATGACGTTAGCATTTTGCATTCTTACCAGTACTATGTGAGAGTTCTAGCTGCTATGTAGTATCACTAGCACTTGATACTTTCACTTTTATATTATTTTGGCTATTCTCAGAGATGTGTAATGGCATCTTATTTATGTTTTAATTTACATTCATTTACTAATGAATAATAATGTTGAGCATCCTTTTGTGAGCATTTTTTCATGTGCTTATTTGTCATCTCTTCTTGGTGAAGTGTATAATCAAAATATATGTTTAATTGGGTTGTTTCTTTCCTTGTTACTTTATAACAAAAATTGATCATTTTATTATTGCTATTGTACATAGTATCTTTTCTACTACATTTTGGGATTATTTTTGGTATATAAAATGTTATGTATTTTTGAAGCCTAATCTTGCAGCTAAAAATGTGTTGAGTTTTTTTGTTGTTCTAATAATTTGCTATGGTTTTCTTGAAACTTCTAGATATATAATCCCATTGTCTTTAAAAAATGAGTTTACCTCCTCTTTTTCACTATCTATATGCCATTCCATTTTCTGCACTGTTGATAAGTCTAATAAAATAGTGAATGAAAGGAATTGTATCATTGATTTTCTCTTGCCTGTCATGAAAATACTTTTAAATTTTTACTCTTATGAATAATGCTTACTGTTATTTTTTAGAACACATCTTTTGTCCTGTAAAACATTTTTTTCTATTTCTAGTTTTCTAAGAGATTTTTAAAAATGCATGAACAAGTACTAAATATGGTTAGATATTATAATTCTGGAAATTTGATTTATTAATGTGGTTAATTTTAATACTTAGTTTTTCTGAAAATGAAATAGTTTTGAATTCTGAAAGTAAATTGGATCTGATTATTACATTTGAAAATTGATTCAATCTGGTAATATGTTATTCGGGACTTTTATATGTTATAAGTGAGATTGGTCTATAATTTTCTTTATTTTTAAAAAATATTTCTTGATTAGATTTAATAACATATTTATGATAGATTTAGAAAATGTATAGAATAGCATTCCTTTTTTGCTATTCTCTGAAATAAGAAATATTCTGTAAAATATATTTACATTATATTTCGTATATACTCTTTCACTTTATTAATTTTTAAATAAATTTTAATATATTTTAACATTTGTTTTAAAATACATTGATATAAAGATATTTGAATAATTCACTTCTAAAATAATATATATATATAGTTTATACATTCTATTTTATGTTTCATAGTGTTCATTTATTCCTTCTCTCTCATTTCTTGAACACTGTTATGGAAGATATGCTTGTTTTATTTTTTCAAAAGTTCATTTTTGTTGTAGTTGATCATTGCCATTCAAAAACATTTCTATTTCACTAATTCTGCTGCTAAAGATTTAATTTTTCTAAGCCAGGTGCGGTGGCTCACTCCTGTAATCCCAGCACTTTGGGAGGCCGAGGAGGACAGATCACAAGGTCAGGAGATCAAGACCATCTTGGCTAACATGGTGAAACCCCGTCTCTACTAAAAATACAAAAAAAATTAGCCAGGTCTGGTGGTGGGTGCCTGTAGTCCCAGCTACTCTGGAGGCTGAGGCAGGAGAATGACATGAATCTGGCAGGCGGAGCTTTCAGTGAGCCGAGATTGCGCCACTGCACTCCAGCCTGGGTGACAGAGCGAAACTCTGTCTCAAAAAAAAAAAAAAAAAGATATCCTTTTTCTTTTAAAATTTCTTTAGACGTTTTGTGAGTCTATGGTAGAGAATTTCTTTTTCTCATTTTAAACCTCTACATGGTAAATGAGGTTCTCTGATCAGAACAGACAGGGAAGAAAACTATTGGGATAAATCAGTTCTTTAACAACTAAAATAAATATTTGCTTTAATTATGGTACCAAACTTAGTGATTAAAAAGCTTAATCATTAACTAAAAGTAATTATTATCATATACATGTATTCAGAACAAGATAGGTAACATGAAAGCCTTTACATTCATACACTATCTACGTCATATTTCAACTCTGCCTAAAATATTATTTTATTCATTGTTTCACTCACTTATGGTAAAAAAAAAACGTATTGAGAAACTTCCAAGGACCAGACAATGTGCAAGCCATTCTAGAAGACAAGATTTTTTTCCCCTTATCCTCTATTTGAATAAGGAAATCAGGCATAGGAACTAACAATTGTAATGCAAGATAATAGGTTCTATTGCAGAGGCCTGTGCACCTACAACAGATGTGCTGCTGGGGTGGGTATGGGAGCAGAAGAGGTGAAGTGTCAGAACTGGTAAATGACTTTTCCTTGTTTCTTCAATGAGATGAACAAAGAAGGTAAGATGAGCATATGAAAGGTATAGTGATGTGGATAATCCAGATCTTTTGGTTTAGCTTGTTTGGTATGGCTGGGGCGCAGCGTGTGCAGAAGAGTTGAATGATTAAATGTAGCTGAGGGTGCCATAGATGCCATACTCACGCTTGGTAGAATGTTCATGATGGAAGTAGATCATCATCTTCAAAGCTATTTTCCTCATTTTATAGGAATGGTGCCACGTATGAGTTCTCCCAAAGCGGAACCTGAGACAGACAGATGCAGGTAGTTTATTTGGAGGTTATCCCAGGGAGATGGAGAGTGGGAGAGGGAAGAAAGCCAAAAATGGGTGTGCGGCGGCTGCTGCTGCTGCTGCTGTAGACAAGAGGAGTCAACCCTGCAGGGACCTCTGAGAAACACGTGGAATGCCTTCCAGAGCTATCTATCTAAAGCCAGGGGCGGTGAGGGGGTGGGTGCTGGGCCACTTATCCATTGATACATGATTCCATTGACTGAGGGTTTTGAGAGAGAGTGGACAAACATAGCTTGTAACTGTGTGCCACAGCTATGACTGGAATCTAAGAATAAAAACCATGTGCTACAGATGAAAAACGGAGGTAGGATTGGAGCCTAGGTCTCAGCTATACTGCACACTACCATGGGGTCTGATCACAGGATCTAACTTGCTCATAAGATCTCCACTTGCTTTCCAGCTGTAGCGAAGGCAATTATGGAAAATATTTTCACTTATTTATTGTATTAGTTTGGGTTATCTAGAAAGTGTATGCCAAGTTGGGATTAAGTATGCAAGAGCGTAATTAAGGAAAATGCATGTGAGACAAAAAAAGACACTTCTGTCTGTTGGTTTAAGAGTTGAATATTTACATATTAATTATACATACTAAAATAAAAGGTGAAATATTATTCTTGTGCTATCCAAATTTTATACAGACTTCAGTGTTCAGTGAACAAGCTTTTGCAAAACTTTGTAAGTCTTTTCCCTCTCTATTAGATGGAGATATGAGTTCATTTGGAATTACATCAAAGGAAAAATTTTGGGAGAAACACTATGCTGTCATAATGATTTCTTTTCCTTTTGATGGCAAAAAAAGCCAGAGGTTGGAAAAGCTGTAAGTCCATGAGGCAGATTACCCCTGTGGAGGAGAGGGGAAGGAAGGATGCTTGGGTAGAAAAGACCACAAGACTATAGCAGAGTTCTAAGGTAGGTTTGGAAAAGTTGATGAGAAGTCTTCAAGCCTAGGTGCTCATCAGTATAGTCTAGTACCACTCAGGAATGAGCCTGCCTCAGTAGCCCTACCATGCTCAGTTATCAGCTTGTAGCAGCCTGTCAGCAGCGTGGCTGTGGCACCAACTTGCTGACGAATTTCTGAGTGCAGCAGCAGGGCCAGTTACTTACACACTCTGCACTGGGAAAGCTGAAAGGGACACTTTCATCCTCACCACAATTATCTTTTGATAAATGAAAGAGCACTCTTTTGAATCAAAAATAAGGTATCAGCTCTCCATACTTTTCTTATAATAGAGCAGGTGGAAGAGGGTACATTCCAGTATTTCTAGAAGACTACTCAAATTTTACCTAGAAGAGAGAGTGTTGTACTCATCCTGAAGAGAACACAAATTTCTTTCTGTGGAAACGCAAACTGGAACAACTGCCAATTTGCAAAACTGCCCCAGATTAGCTCTAAGAAGCATCTGGAACAACTTGGACCCCAGAACAGAAAGCACCTAGGAGCAGAAGCTGCTCTCATGAGGTTTATTCTTGTATCTGCAGCATCTGGCATTTCATACAACCCAAGTTTTGCTGGCACTTGCCTTACTTACTTACTGTTAAAGTACTTTTTGCCTCCCCACAAATTTCCTTTTGCTACACTGTTTCCTAAATTCTTTTGGGAATGTCCCTCAACTTCAAAACCAAATCCTGTCAGCTATTATGAAGCATCTGATTTTTAAACTTCCATCCTAGTCTTCTTACATTAGACACCTCTAGTAGCTGTTTTAGACAGCTATTTTGTTGGGGTTCTAAATGGGTTAAACTCTCCTGAAAGTATAAGTTCTTTAGTGAAATAAAGCCATGTTGTATTCATGTGGAAATGAAGAGACTATTTCTCTTTGTCTGTTTAGAATTGAATATGTACATATTAATTACAGGTACCAAAAAGAAAAGGTAAGATATTATTCTTGTGCTATCCAAATTTTATAGAGATTTTAGTGAACAAGCTTTTATCAGAACTTTGTATCATTGCTTTCTCTATTATATGGAGATATGAGTTCATTTGAAATTATATCATTTTCCTTATGTCAAAGGAAAAATCTTTGGAAAAACACCATGCTGCCCTCATAATTTATTTTCCCTTTGATGACCAGCTCTTATCAAGCCAACATGGTTTGCCTGACTGCCTCTTTTCTGAGGAAGACTTCTCCCCTAGGAGACTCCTCAATTCCTTTTGCAAATATGTCATTGCTGGCTCATCCTACCAGTTTGCTAGCCATGCCTTGACATGTTTCAATCCCAGTGGTGGACAGGCTTAAGCAGCAACCTCTGTTATATATGTCACTCTGAATGAACACCTATAGTTACTGTTCCAGGAAACCAATATCCTCTAATATCTGGTGTGGCATTTTATTTCTTCTTCTAAGCAGCCCTATTCTTTTAAACCAGAATTATCAGAACATTTACTAACTGATTACCTCTCTGAGCACAGTGATACAAATATATTCTTAACTCGAAGATAACCTATGCCAAATTGATTCTACGTTAATACATTTGGCTTTCTCTTTTCATCCATGCCCTCCTATGAAGTCCAACTGAATTTTTGTATTCATCTTAAAAGTAATAGAAGAGAAAAATAGAAAAATAACACTTGGTCACTCATCAAAAAACATGAGCAAAATGTATAGTGCATTTTCAGTTCAGTACATTGTAATTTTTATGAAATAAAAGCCAATAGAAATTATAACAAAAAGAGCTATCCTTTATGAAACCTCCTTGCTGTGCATTGATAGGCACTTCCGGTGTACTGCTTCTAATTTTTATAGTTACCTTGTGCTAGGATTTGGATGTTTCCCACTAAAATTCATGTTGCAGTTTGATCGTCAGTGTGGCAGTGTTGGGAGGTGTGGCCCAGTGAGAAGTGTTTGGGTGAGGGGGGTGGATTTCTCATAAATAGATTAATGCAGTCTAATTTAGAGAAGGTAGTTATAGAGTGAGATTCCTCCTTTTGTTTGGTCCCATTTTTGCACATGTCCGCTTCCCATTTGACCTTCTGCCATGTTGTGTTGCAGGACCAAGGCCCTTACCAGAAGCCAGCACCATGTCCTTGAACAGAGCAGCTTGCAGGACTATGAGGTAAATAAACCCCCTCCCTGCCTTTTTTTTTTTTTTTTTTTGAGATGGAGCCTCACTCTGTCACCCAGCCTGTAGTGCAGTAGCCTGATCTCCGCTCACTGCAACCTCCGCTTCCCAGGCTCAAGTGATTCTCTTGCATAAGACTCCCAAATAGCTGGGATTATAGGTGTGCACCACCACATCTGGCTTTTTTATTTATTTTTTTATTTTTTGTATTTTTAGTAGGGACAGGGTTTTGCCATGTTGGCCAGGCTGGTCTTAAACTCCTGACCTCAGGTGATCTGCCCCTGCGTTGGCCTCCCAAAGTGCTGAAATTATAGGCATGAGCCACTGTGCCCGGCTAAAACACTTTTCTTTATACATTACCCACTTTTGGCTATTCCATTATAGCAAAACAAAACTAAGACACCCTGCAAGTTTTGTATGATTATCATACCACTTTATTCATATGAAAATTGAGGACTACTTCTCCCACCTTTATAATTCTGCAGTTATTGGTATTTTTTTGTTTCCAAAAACAGCAATTCACATTGTTTCATTTAATTAAGAATAAGCACCTAAGAAGTGTGATACAAACTGAATGAAAAAGCCATGTTTATTGTCTGTGGAGCACTTGTCTTAACGTTCCTCTTTTAAAGATGACTCATAATTTAATCCTGATTCAAAATAATAAACAACTATATACAGCTCTTGGTTTTTTTTAAGTGTCAAGTGAATAGTTGGATTGGATCACCTTAAAGGTCACTCCGAATCCTGATAGTCCAGTTCCCAGAGGGTTCCAATTTGTGTTCTTCGGAATCCTAGGATTCTTCTGAGGTATCTCAGAAGCTGCAAGGGGACCAGGGAACAGATTTGGGGATAGTATTGTAGGTTCTCTAATTACTATAAATAGAACAGCTTCAGTTTCACTTGTTTTACTCAGTGAGGTTATACATAAAACACATTTTAATAATCTGAAAGCCACTGATATATGTGACAAGTATCACAGGAGTTTAGGGAAAATCTCACAATTTCTTCAAGTGTTCTCTTAAATTTGTTTGCCTCTCTTTTTGTTTGGCAGCCCAATCATACCGAAATAAGTTTTCCACATTCAAATTCCTTCTGCTTTGCTTTATGGTCGCTTCCTGGATTACAAAATCAGATAGCGTTTGAGAGCATAAGTAATGGCATCACATTGCCAGTGTTAGATGTCTGTCACCAATACTTAATACTACCTGTGTGACATTGAGCAATTTACTCAACCTCTCTGAACATCAGACTTCCGTGCTCTAAACTGGGGATCATATTAACACTTTTTAACTGGGTTGCTTTAAGGATCAGATGAATATAAAACAGATGCCTCTTTCAAGGTAAGTCATCAATAACTGTTAGCTCTAAGTATTAAATAGCTGCCTAATGATGGGTGTCACCTTTAATAATGCTTAAATTCTTTTGGACATGACAAAAAGGCCATCTTCAATAAACTTTAATGTATCTAAGTTTCAGACATGGTATTTGATTTTATTTGACTTTCTAGTCATATGGTGCATGGCTTAATTTGTATTCTTTAGTAATATGAATTGCTATTCTCTCATTGTGTTGTTTTCTGGCCTACTGGCCCTACAACAGCAGCTTTAATATTATTTCTTTTTCTATAGATATATATAATGAAATACAGGATTTATTTTAATATTCTTCTGTATGATCTCCTTTTTTCATTATAACATATTTATAAGGACCTTAGAAATATGAAAAAGAGTGCCTTCAATTTACATTTGACTCCAAGAGAACTGGACACATCTTCCTATGTGAATATGTTAATATTTAATACTATTGTGGCCTTGATGTAGATATCTATAGATATGTCTTATTTTTCAGACGTTTACCTTTAGTCACTTTTTCCAAGGACCTGGGTTTTTTGGCCAAAATATGGTTCTTTAAACAGAGATTTGTTATAGAAGAGCTAGATTTACTTCAGGTTTATTGACTATTTAGTAGAAGGTCTCTGCTCAGGAAAACAGTCTAGTAATTGCTTAGCAATAATCTGGTATGTCTTCAATTGAGGCTTCACCCCATAAAAAGAATGTTTCTTATTTGTTAAATTGTTTTAGTCTTTTGTTTGAGTGCTTGAAACTCCATTTTCCTGGGCCCAGGTGTAATGTCACTGTCTAGGCCCTCCAGGTTTGTTACCTCAGACTTCTGGATAAAACTGATGAACTTCACGGAAGCATTTCTATTTATTTCTTGCTTCTGAATACCACAGCAACACGATGGAAACAAACTATGATACCATCTTAATTAGAGAATTATATTTCAGAGCCCACACCATCTATGTTTCCATATGTAGTAAATCACCAGAAAAAAGAAAAGACATTTTTGTTAAGGATAATGCCCATTGAATTTGAACTTTCAGAGCACGCATATTTTTTTCTAAAAGGTTCTTGAATTGATTAATATAAGCTCTCTTACTTACAGTCTTTTTTTTTTCTTGAGATGGAGTCTTGCTGTGTTGCCCAGGCTAGAGTGCAGTGGCTCAATTTCGGCTCACTGCAACCTCTGCTTCCCAGGTTCAAGTGGTTCTCATGGTTCAGCCTCCCCAGTTGCTGGGATTATAGGTGCATGCCACCATGCCCGGCTAATTTTTGTATTTATAGTAGAGATGGGGTTTGACCAGGCTGGTCTCAAACTCCTGACCTCAGGTCATTTGTCTACCTCAGCCTCCCAAAGTGCTTGGATTACAGGCGTGAGCAACTGTGCCTGGCCTTATTGTCTTGTTACGTATTTTTAGAAACATCTTTTGGCAGTCTATGCTTTTGTTTCTAAAGCCTAATTGATGATTATATTTATTTGGGGATTTGTTGTTATTTTATACTTTGAAGATGATTTATTATACTGCTTAAGATTTCTTCATGTGGCTTCCTTTATCCTGATTTTGCTAATATACAAATAATGCTCTTGGTTTGGTGAGCTGTCAACCACAAGATAATTGATTTTAAATATCTTCCCTCTGACTAATATTAGTACATATTGGAAAATTTTCTAAGTACTAATGGAAACTTCAAGTGAACATAACACATTCTTAACCAAAAATATGCACACACTATGATATCAAGGCTAGGCAAGGATGGAAAAAGAAACATTTTTAGGATGAGTATAAGAGAAACCATTAGTAGAATGTGTCAAAAGTGCATAGATTCAGGTACACAAGTATGTCAACAAAATTGCAAAACCTGCAATTAGGGAAGTGACTGAGATTGGAAAACAACATGATCACATATCAGGAGTCACTTGAGTGGCTTGGATTGACAGCTTATTATACTGTGTTGATTGATTTCCTTTTTCCCTAGGATAATTTTGAATTGGTTATTCCCATTTCTAAGTGGCATTAACCTGCCATGTTTTGAAAGAACCCCGATATCTGATACAAACCATTATGTTTTCAGCCTCCTTTAGAAGGAGTCCTAAGTTTTCCTTTTCCTTACCAAATTCTCGCAAGTCAATCATATTTAATAATGAGAATATCCTTTTTAATTGGTGCTGTTCTTCCATCCTGACAATATCCTTGACAGTAAGGAGGTGCAATAATGGCAACACATATAAAGCCTCAGTTCAATCTGTTCTTATATTGAGACTCCACATACAAATGGCATTTAGATATCTACATGTTAGATATAATGGAAACAGATCTGAGGCTTAAGTATCACAGGTTTTGAAAACCACCTACAAGCAATTGGAGTCCTTTTGTTGGTGATTCTCCCACAAATAAAAATTTCCATTCATGGTCCAGGAATTGATATGAATTCTTGATCAGTGCTCCCTAACCACTTCTCAAGGAGTAGTAAATGCAGATGTCTATGGTAAATTTTGGCATGGATTTTCATTGGCTATATTAGTCATGTATATGTCAGAATAAATTGTGAGTCAGCAAATGCATTTTAGAGACTGTATTTATGTGAACAAACCATAAACTTTCTCCATGTAGTGTGACGAAACAGTGACCTGTCTTTTGAAATAACAACTATTTTTGATAATCATTTTATAATCACATCACATACCAACACTAATAACATACAATTTTTAGACAATTTGTCTACTACCACCTTGCCAACTTCCCATTGTTAAGTGCAAAATTTTGGATGCAAAATTGATTGTATAATTTAGTAAACTTGACAAAAGTTTAGTGAGGTTGGTAAAATACCTACCATTTGCAGAGGCAGGTGGCTTTAGATATTTGAATCACCTGTTGCTTTTTCCTGACTTGAATAATTGAGTAGTCAGAAGTCTTGAGTAATTAATGTCATGAATTTTTTCCTTAGAAAAAGGTTGTGATCAATACAAATTAAGGGACATTGCCTTACCATAGATGTCCTGATTCTAGGATTAACCAGAAAGAATTATCTGTGTCTGCCTTTCAAACAAAAATATGCCCACGTAAAAAATATTGATTCATAAGATTATATATTAAATGCCTATAAATCTTTAGGCATTGGTCTATGTGCTGGCAACATATATGAAATGATTGCTACTCTCAATCTTATCAGGTAGAAATGAGGTCAAGTGCCTTGACAATTAAAATAGCATTAATTGGGAATATGTGTAAGGTGTAATAAGAATCATACCTAATTTGCACTCAGTGGGATGAGATAGGGAAGCCTCCGGATAAGAAGGTAGTAAATGAACTAAGTCATGAAAAACTAAATAAAGGGGGTCATCTGCAAAAAGGGAGGATTATATGCATGGTGGTATTATAGGAAGAGAGAGTCACACCTACAAAAGCAAAAGTTGAGAGGAAGCAGGGTACACTAAAAAAATCTGTAAGTTGCTTAGCCTGAAAGCAGATGTGATAGTAGGAAAGTGTCAGGAGGCAGAGATTAAGGAGGATCAAAGGTCCTATCTTTTACATGCGTGCCTTTTCAATTTGAACTTTATCATGAAAGAAATAAAAAACCAAGAAAAGCTTTCAATCTGTAGTACAACACAATTCAAATTGTATTTTAGAAAGATCACTAATAGCAATGTGGAGAATAAATTGAAAGGCAGCACTTGCAGGAAGCTGTTGCAGTCATCCAATGAGAAAGAAGGCAATAGCCATAAGCATGGAAAGAGGCTGAACAGTGGAGGATATTGAGAACATTTTGTCAACAAGACTTGGAAATTAATTTTATGCATATGCTAAAGGAGGAGAAGAATCAAGGATTATATCCAGATCTCTTATTTGATTGGCCATAGGACTTGATATGACATTCACTGAGTTGGCAAATATAGAAAACAATCTTAAATTTGGGGGAAACATGTTTATTTGTGGATATGTTGAATTTTACAATACCTGTGGTATCTTTAACACAAGATACTATCTGACTCCTCTGCGCTTATTATTATTCAGGGCAATTCATACATCAAAGGATATTGGTAAACAAATCCTTTGTTTGTTTTTACAGTAGTTTGTTTTTACTTTTATGTGTTAGCATCACCTAGGAAGTGCTTTGCTGCTTTACATCTTATAATTACATTTTCGTATCCTCTTTTTAGTGGATCATCATGTTGTTCAGGAATATGATCTCTTCTCGAAAGTCTTGATAGCAGTGAGGAATTTAAGGAAGCTTAAGCTTATTGCTTGTTGGCTGGAGTAAGTGTGTGATGGATTGAATGTCCTTTTGCATGGATGAAGGAAAAATATCAGTGATGTTGAACTGGTGACATGGGATTTTACTTCTTAATTTTTCATGTCTCATTCGGGTGATGAGTATCCTGAAATCTTTCTATGAGTGAGTAGTGTGTTCATCCCACAGTAAGGAAACACTAAACATCTCCTCTACACCTAGAATACTAAAAAGACAACCTTCAGAAATCACTGGAAAAAAATCTCTACAGCAACAGAAATTCTGAACACAGAAGCTCTACCTTAGAATATAAGGTCTGTTTGGTTCCTTTAGTAGCTCTTTGTGAGATTGTGGAAGGTCAACAGGTCCTCAACAAAGACACCAAAGAATGTATGGACTTAGTGCCCACCTAGATAAGGGTGGTTTTTATTCCTAGCATATTCTGGGATTTAGGATCTTAAATATTAAACATTAGAGCTTGTGGAGTTGTTTGACAAAGTGTAATTGGTCCAATTATATTTTTAATTTTCCTCAGCAGGCACTTATTGAGCATCACTTTTGTGGAAGGTATCAAGGACATGAATATAAAAATGCACATTATATAGTTGTTTCTCCTCAAAGATGTTTAAAGCAATAAACCATAATAAGAATAGCAAGTAATATAGAAAAATAAAATTCGTGAGAAAATGAGTAACTGCTATAAGAAACTTGGGGAAACATAATTAAGGAGGTAGCATTTGAATGTAACTTTAGAGGATTTTGAAAGGTGAAAGTTGGGAACAAAAGCAATTTTAGAAGCATGAACAAAGACTCCAAGCCTGATTAATACTTACTTTCTATGCAGCAGCCAGATAATATTATAAAATACAAATCATGCCATATTGCCCCTATCATCTAAAGGAAAGAGAAAAGACAGATGCAAAGACAGTTAATTGAATCACTAACTGGCCACATGTTTTACGTTTCTCTGTATTCCTTATGGCTAAAATTTTAATTCTAGTTTCAGATGAATTAAGATAAACCCAGAATCTAATGGAACAGATTAGGCCTTTTCTTAATTTGACAATTTCTTCTATTCAGGACTTCCTAATAGTATGAAGGCCATTGACAAAGATGGTCATGAGAATATTTCTTCCAAATTGGCCTTTGTCAGTCCTCATGTACATAGCAGAGCTTCTAACAATATTCATGAAACTCCAAAAATTATAATCATGAGACAAATAGTCATATGGTTCCAACAGCTCTGGTAAAAGACCATGTGAAACAATATGTATTAAGATCTCTTTACTAATAATAGCGAATGAAAATCAGAATTGATTTCCAAATTTCAGGTTTTAATCCTTTTGAATGAAGTTGAAAGTGTGGTTTTATTTAGAGATATTTTGCCCAGATGCTTATGAATATGATTCTCTTTTTGATTATGTAAAAAATTGAGATCACTATATTCTGTTTAACGAAAACAGCCTTGGCAACTTGTGGATTCCATTCTGATGCCTTATAAAATATACCCTTACTTCAAACATCACTGCCTATTGCAGAATTTATATTATGCAATGCTAACTTCGAAACCAATTCCTGAATGTAAACCTCCACATCTTAAGCAGAGAATGGCATTTCTAAATGGATCTATAAGTATTCTACAGTGTGCAATTCTTGTTGCCATGAACTTCCTATCAGAACATTTCAGGGGCCATTTATATTAGAACATATTCCTTTATCCAAAGACATATATGGGTATGGTCTATTTTTGAACTATTACAAATATTAAATTTGGTTAAGAGAAGTTTGACACAAGCAGCCTATTCATTTATGAAGTCCATAGTTCAAAATATCTAAGGAATTCCTGAGCCTGTTGTCAAAATGTAGAACAATCTTGTGACAAACAGAATTCCCTCAGAAGTTTTTTGATTTAATTATTTTTCAACTGAATAGACTATTTATAGAGTGGTTTTAGGTTCACAGTGACATTGAGAGGAAGGTGCAGAGATGTTCCATATACCCACTGCCTCCACACATGCATAGCTTCTCCCATTATTAATATCCCCCACCAGAGTGGCACATTTGTTACCAGTGAAGAACTTACATTGACACATCATTGTCACCCCAGAGTCTATAGTTTACATTAGGATTGTACATTCAACAAGTTTGGACAAATATATAATGACATGTATCCACTATCGTAGTATACAATATTGTAGTATACATTTTTTCACTGCCCTGATATGCCCTGTGATCCACATATTCATCCCTCCCTTCCCTCAACCCCAGGCAACCACTGATCTTTTTACTTTCTCATTACTTTTGCCTTTTCCAGAGTATCATGTAGTGGAATCATGATGTAACCTTTTCAGATTGGCTTATTTTACCAGCAGTATGCATTTAAGTTTCCTCCATATCTTTTTATGGCTTGACAGCTTATTCCTTTTTATTCCATTGTCTGGATGTACCACGGTGTATTTATCTACTCTCCTACTGATGACAGACATTTTGGTTGCTTCTACATTTTGGAAATTTTTAATGAAGTTGCTATGAACATCTGTGTGCAGGTTTTTGTGTGGATATAACTTTCCAATTCCTTTGGGTAAATATCAAGGAGCAATGAATGTTGGATTGTATGGTAACAGTATGTTTATTTTGTGAGAAATCACCAAGTGGTCTTCCAAAAGGCTGTACCCTTGTTCATTCTCACCAGCAATAGATAAGAGTTCCTGATGCTCCACATCCTTGTTAGCCTTTGTTAGTGTTTTGGACTTTGGCCATTCTAATACATGTGTGGTTGTATCTATCTCTTGTTGTTTTAATTTGCATTTCTCTAATGACTTTATGATGTGGAGCATTATTTCATATGCTTATTTGCCATCCATGTATCTTCTTTGGTCAGGTGTCTGCTAAGGTCTTTGGCCCAGTTTTTAAATTGGGTTGTTCGTATTCTTGAGTTTAAGAGTTCTTTGCATATTTTTATTTTACCATCTCTAATGCTTTTCATTTCTTTAAGTAAGTCTGATTCTCTGACCTTTACTGTTTTCCTTCTCTCTAAAGAATTTCTTTCAACATTCCATGTAATGCAGGTTTCCTGAAAACAAATTCCCTCCATTTTGTCTGAGAAAGGCTTTATTTCTCCTTTTTTTTCCTTTTCTTTGAGACACAGTCTCGCTGTATCCCCCAGGCTAGAGTGCAATGGCACCATCTCAGCTCAATGCAACCTCCACCTCCTGGGTTTAAGCTATTCTCATGCTTCAGCCTCCTGAGTAGCTGGGATTACAGGCACCTGCCACCATGCCCAGCTAGCTTTTGTGTCTTTAGTAGAGACAGGGTTTCACCATGTTGGCCAGGCTGAACTCCTGACCTCAGGTGATCCACCCGCCTCTGCCTCCCAAAGTGCTGCAATTACAAGCATGAGCCACTGAGCCCAGCCTCCTTCATTTTTGAAGATTAATTTCACAGGGTACAGAATTCTAGGCTGGTGGGTCTTTTCTATCAAGACTCTTGATATTCCACTCCACTCTCTTCTTGTTTGCATGGCTTCTGAGAAGAAGTCGAGCATAATTTTTATCTTTGTTCCTCTGTAGGTAAGATAGACCCCTTTGGCTTCTTTCAGGATTTTTAAATTTATCTTTGATTTTTTTGTAGTTTAAAAATATTTGGTTGGTGCAAAGGTAATTGAGGTTTTTGCCATTACGGTTTTTGCCATCGAAAGCAATGGCAAAAACCACAACTGCTTTCTAAGTGGCAGAAACCGCAATTACGTTTGCACCAACCTAATGATATGCCTATATGTAGGACTTTCAGCATTTATTCTACTTGTTCTCTGAGCTTCCTAGATCTGTGGTTTGGCATCTGACATTAATTTGGGGAAGTTCTCAGTCATTATTGCATCAAATATTGCTTCTATTCCTTCTTCTTTTCTCTCTCTCTTCTGGTATTCCTATCATGTATATTTTACCTTTTGTAGTTGTCCCTTAGTTCTTGGATATTTGGTCCTATTTTTTTTGTTGGTCACTTTTTTTCTTTTTTCAGTTTTGGTGGTGGTTTTTTTTTTTTTTTTTTTTTTTGTGAAGTTCAGCGATTTTTTCCTCAGCTGTGTCCACTCTTCCAATGAGCCCATCAGAGGTGTTCTTTATTTCTGTTACAGTGTTTTTGATTTCTAGAATCTCTTCTTGTATTATTCTTAGAATTTCATCTCTCTGCTTATGTTGGCCATTTGTTGTTTCATGCCATGCTGTCTACTTTCTCCATTAGAGCCCTTAGCCTATTAATCATAGCTGTTCTAAATTCCCAGTCTTGTACTCAAACATCTCTGCTATATTTGAGTCTGGTTCTGATGCTTGCTCTGTCTCTTTAAACTCTGTGTTTTTTCCTTTTAGTATACCTTGTACTTTTTTCTTGATAGCTGGACATGATATACTGGGTGAAAGAAACTGCTGTAAAAAGGTCTTTGATAAAGTGGTGGCAAGGTGTGTGTGAACAGGGTGAGAGGAACCAATTATAGTCCTATAAGTAAGTATCAGGCATTTAATGAGACTGTACGTCTGGTTTGGGAACTTCACAACTGCTTCTCAGTCTCCCCTGCCCACTTCAGTGCAACAAAATGGCTAGAGTGGTTGGAGTTGGGTATCTTCTTCCACATGGAAGGCTAGAGGGGACTAGAGTTGTTTACTTCCCTACCCCCAAGTCAGTTAGGCTCCGATAAAACTCCAGCAGGTTAGATTCCAGTTAAGTAATTTCTCTTAAGGGCAGACCTCATTAAGAAGAAAAGAATGTTCTGGCATATTTCAAAATGGCTCCTTTTTCCTTCCTCCTGACGGAAGCACAATAGGATTTTTTTCTAATATTTCCTGTGAGAATTTGGTTGAACTCATAGAGATAAAACTCACAAAAGTATGTGGACTCACAATGACTAGATCCCTCTAGAATTTTTATCTCTCAGACTGGTCTACCATGAGCCTCTAGCAACTGGTCAGTTATAGCTCAGGTCTCCCTACCTCAGCACTGTTTCCCATGGAGGTCTATGCTAGGAGTTTCAGCTCCAGCAAGTCACAATTGTCTGCATTTCTCTATCAGTTTCTCCAATTCTGGGGGCAGTGGTTTGCCCTGTGATTCTATCTCTCTGATGCATCTAAAAAGAGTTACTGATTTTTCAGTTTGTCTCAGTTTTTATTTGCTGTTAGGATTCAATGGCAATTTCTAACTTCTTACATACCAGACTAGAAAACGGAATTCCTTGAGCCAATGTTTAACTGATAAATCACCAAACATTGACTGTTGATATTGGTAAGAAATGTGCTTTTAATAACCTTCATGTTGTTTAAACATCCTAGTCTTAAGTAAAATATTGTGTGCAATAATAAATTTAGGACCACATATACTATTAGTATTAGATAACAGCTATATTCAAGAATTCTTATCTTGCATGCTTATAGAAAGAATGAAGGGCTCTCAGCAAAATAAACCTCAGGAAACAGGTCTTCCAACATCTGTTTTTTCAGTAATAAAAGAAAATTTTGTATGAGAATATAATTTTATATCATTTACAAAATGTTGCACAATATTCTCTTTGATCTAATCAACAATACTACATGAAGCAGGGCAGAGGTTACAATTAACCTTTTATGTTAAAAAAGATTAAAAACAGTTGAAAGAGGTAAAATATTTTACTGTAGGACAAATTCCTAATTACTAGTAAGCTGCATTACTGGTATTAGAATCTGTAATGTTTTCTTTTTAAAAACATGTATTTTTAAGTAATCCATATTTCCTCAGCTTCTGTTTTCTCTTATATGTAATAGCTTGCACCTGCAACTCTTTGGAGGCCTGCTCAAGGGCTACTTGGGGATACTTTGCTTGCATGCACAGACAGCTGGAAATGATTGGATTTTATGTCTCTCCCAGTATGGTTCATAATCAATGACTAGGGCAGGCAGTCCAGCCCAGCTCCCTTACCTGGGTCAGACAAACTGATATGCATTTATACCCCAGAACTCCTCATGAGACCAAGTTGATGCTTGGACTATTTCTATAATTACAACTTTGTTTGGCTTCTTTCACTTTCAAGTTCTCCATCTCCCAGCCCTTACAGTTTATTCTTGGGAGCTCTTCCTTAATAAATCACTTGCATGTTTTTTTTGTTTCCCATTTGCTTGGTAAATATTCCTCCATCCCTTTATTTTGAGCCTATGTGTGTCTTTGCATGTGAGATGGGTCTCCTGAATATAGCACACCAATAGGTCTTGACTCTTTATCCAATTTGCCAGTCTGTGTCTTTTAATTGGGGCATTTAGCCCATTTACATTTAAGGTTAATATTGTTATGTGTGAATTTGATCCTGTCATTATGATGCTAGCTGGTTATTTTGCCTGTTAGTTGATGCAGTTTCTTCATAGTTTCGATGGTCTTTACAATTTGGTATGTCTTTGCAGTGGCTGATACAGGTTGTTCCTTTCCATGTTTAGTGCTTTCTTCAGGAGCTCTTGTAAGGCAGGCCTGGTGGTGACAAAATCTCTCAGCATTTGCTTCTCTGTAAAGGATTTTATTTCTCTTTCACTTATGAAGCTTAGTTTGGCTGGATATGAAATTCTGCAATGAAAATTCTTTTCTTTAAGAATGTTGAACATTGGCCCTCACTCTCTTCTGGTTTGTAGGGTTTCTGCAGAGAGATCCACTGTTAGTGGTAACCCGACCTTTCTCTCTGGCTGCCCTTAAACATTTTTTCCTTCATTTCAACCTTGGTGAATCTGATGATTATGTGTCTTGGGGTTGCTCTTCTCGAGGAATATCTTTATGGTGTTCTCTGTATTTCCTGAATTTGAATGTTGGCCTGCCTTGCTAGGTTGGGGAAGTTCTCCTGGATAATCCTGGATAATTATCTTGAAGAGTGTTTTCCAACTTTGTTCCATTCTCCTTGTCACTTTCAGGTATACCAGTGAAATGTAGGTTTGGTCTTTTCACATATTCCCATATTTCTCGGGGGCTTTTTTCATTCCTTTTCATTCTTTTTTCTCTAATCTTGTCTTCATGCTTTATTTCATTAAGTTGACCTTCAATCTCTGATATCCTTTCTTCCACATGATCAATTTGGCTATTGATACTTGGGTATGCTTCACGAAGTTCTCCTGCTGTGTTTTTCAGCTCCATCTGGTCATTTGTTTTCTTCTCTAAACTGGTTATTCTAGTTAGTAATTCCTCTAAACTTTTTTCCAGGTCCTTAGCTTCCTTGCCTTGGGTTAGAACATGCTCCTTTAGCTCGGAGGGGTTTGTTATTACCCACCTTCTGAAGCCTACTTCTGTCAATTTGTCAAACTCATTCTCCGTCCAGTTTTGTTCCTTTGCAGGTGAGGAGTTGTGATCCTTTGGAGGAGAAGTGTTCTGGATTTTTTGAACTTTCAGCCTTTTTGCACTGGTTTCTCCCCATCTTCATGGATTAATCTACCTTTGGTCTTTGATGTTGGTGACCTTCAGATGAAGTTTCTGAGTGGATATCCTTTTTGTTGATGTTGATGCTGTTCCTTACTGTTTTGTTAGTTTTCCTTCTAACAAACAGTCAGGCCCCTCTGCTGAAGATCTGCTGGAGGTCCACTCCAGACCCTGTTTGCCTGCGTATCACCAGCAGAGGCTGCAGAACAGCAAAGATTGCTGTCTGTTCTTCCTCTGGAAGCTTCATCCCATGGGGCACTTGCCAGATGCCAGCTGGAGCTCTCCTGTATGAGTTGTCTGTTGGCCTCTACTGGGAGGTGTCTCCTAGTCAGGAGACACGGGAGTCAGGGACCAACTTGAGGAGGCGGTCTGACCCTTAGCAGAGCTCAAAAGCTGTGCTGGAAGATCCACTGTTCTCTTCAGAGCTGGCTGGCAGGGTTGTTTAAGTCTGCTAAAGCTGTGCCCACACCTGCCGCTTCCCTCAGGTGCTCTGTCTCAGGGAGATGGGGGTTTTATCTATAAGCCCCTGACTGGGGCTGCTCCCTTTTTTTCAGGGATTCCCTGCCAGAAAGGAGAAATTTAGGTAGGCAGTCTGGCTACAGAGGCTTTGCTGAGCTGCAGAGGGCTTTTTCCTAGTCCCTGATAAAACAGACTTTAAACCAACAAAGACCAAAAGAGACAAAGAAGGGCATTACATAATGGTAAAGGGATCAATGCAACAAGAAGAACTAACTATCCTAAATATATATGCACCCAATACAGAGGCACCCAGATTCATAAAGCAAGTTCTTAGAAACATACAAAGAGAAAGAGAGAGACTTAGACTCCCACGCAATAATAGTGTGAGACTTTAGCACCTCACTGTCAATATTAGTCTGATCAGTAGGACAGAAAATTAACAAGGATATTCAGGAGTTGAACTCAGCTCTGGACAAAGCTGACCTAATAGACATCAACAGAACTCTCCACCCCAAGTCAACAGAATATACATTCTTCTCAGCACCATATCATATTTATTCCAAAATTGACCACATAATTGGAAGTAAAACACTCCTCAGCAAATGCAAAAGAATGGAAATCATAACAGTCTCTCAGACCACAGTGCAATCAAAATTAGAACTCAGGATTAAGAAACTCACTCAGAACTGCAAAACTACAAGGAAACTGAACAACCTGCTCCTGAATGACTACTGGGTAAATAATGAAATTAAGGCAGACATAAATAAATTCTTTGAAACCAATGAGAACAAAGATACAAGGTACCAGAATCTCTGGTACACAGCTAAAGCAGTGTTTAGGGGGAAATTTATAGCACTAAATGTCCACAAGAGAAAGCAGAAAAGATCAAAAATCGACACCCTAACATCACAATTAAAAGAACTAGAGAAGAAAGAACAAACAAATTCAAAAGCTAGCAGAAGACAAGAAATAACTAAGATCATAGCAGAACTGAAGGAGATAGAGACACAAAAATCCCTTCGAAAAAAATCAGTGAATCCAGGAGCTTGCTTTTTTGAAAAGATCAACAAAATAGACTGCTAGACAGACTAATAAAGAACACCTTTTACAATGTTGGTGGGAGTGTAAATTGGTTCAACCATTGTGGAAGACAGTGTGGCAATTCCTCCAGGATCTAGAACCAGAAATATCATTTGGTCCAGCAATTCCATTACTGGGTGTATACCCAAAAGATTATAAATCATTCTACTAAAAAGACACATGCATACATATGTTTATTGCAGCACTGTTCACAATAGCAAAGACTTGGAACCAACACAAATGCCCATCAGTGACAGACTGAATAAAGAAAATGTGGCACATGTATACCATGGAATACTATGCAGCCATAAAAAAGGATGAGTTCATGTCCTTTTCAGGGACATGAATGAAGCTGGAAACCATCATTCTTAGCAAACTAACAAAAGAACAGAAAACCAAACACTGCATATTCTCACTCATAAGTAGGAGTTGAACAGTGAGAAGACATGGACACAGGGAGGGGAATACCACATACTGGGCCTGTCAGGGAGTGGGGGACTATGAGAGGGATAGCACTGGGAGAAATACCTAATGTAGATAACGGGTTGATGGGTGCAGCAAACCACCATGGCATGTGTAAACCTATGTAACAAACCTGCATATTCTGCACATGTACCCCAGAACTTAAAGTATAATAAATAAATCACTTGCACATAATTCCTCACTTCAGGATTGGTGTTTCAGGAATCCATTCTAAGAAATTAAGAAAAATGATAAATGAAAAATTTAAATATTTTTTCTAAGAACGTACTTTTCATAAATGCAGGAGGTAGAAAATCTAACTAAACCACTATTACTTCTTTGTTCTCTTCATTAGTTCATGAGGTCTTCTTACTTAAGATAAACATTTGTGTTAAAGTTTTTACCTTGCCACAAATTCAGTTAACCTTTTTGAGTCTGTTTTTAATCTATATACACACAGAACTTATTTAGAACGGTTCAACTTGTGATTTTTCAACTTTATGATGGTGCTGAAAGCAATACACATTCATTATACTACTTGATTTATGAGGGTGTTTGTCTGGATAAATCCATCCTCAACTGAAATTATCATGTCAGAAACACATGTTTGGCTTATGATATTTTTAACTTACAGTGGGTTTATTGGGATATAACTGCATCATAAGTTAAGGAGCAGTTATATTGGGGGATAATAGCAACTGCCCATAATATTATATGCATATAGGTATTATGATGATCAAATGAATTAATAGAGAAATAATTTATAAACTATAAAACACTCAAATAGGGGTTCCCAAAATGAAAAAAAGTAATAAAAATGTAGACTCCCAGGCTTCCTGCCCCTAAACTCCACAGATTTTCATTCAGTAGGTATAGTGGATTAGGGAAATGCATTTTCACAAGCACCCTAGGGTGAAGACTGTTCAAACATTTTGAGAAACATTGAACTATGCTAGGTCAGTTGATATCAGCATCATCATGTACATACAATAGTCTTCATTTCCTTTGGACTTCACTGTGTAAAATTTAACCCATTGTTATTGTGTTTCAAATCTTATTAATTAATGGATTTTCCCTATTATCTTTCCTTTCTTACCTGACACTAGTAAAATTTTTATAACTTACCAAAAGCAAGCAAGACTGAACAAATGAAACAAATTTAAGAAGAAGACTAAGCAAGCATATCAGAAGACATTTGAAAATGACTAAAAGGAAATTTTTTTAAAAAAGTTTGAGTACTTTTTATATAGATGTGCACTCACTAATTAGCCATTGATATTTAAAAGTTGAATGAAAAAAATGTACTGTGGAAATTTAAAAAAGGAATTCAGCTAAAGCATTCAAGCCATGAAACATAATTAGTTACACAAGAGTTACGTAAGAAAGAAATATGCAAAGTTTGAGGTAATTACTATTCCTTGGGTTTGGATCCTATGTTTTTGAAGATATTCCTCTTGAAGTTTATTATTTCAGTGATAAAGGACATTTTGGTCAATGACAGATTGCAAATCTTATAGTGGCTCCATAAGATTATAATGAAGCTATATAATGAAGCTATATCATCTACGTTTGTGTAAGTGCACAAACTTGTATGACTTTTGTAGTTCAAATTTATATAGATAATGTATCATAGACAGAGATGTCATCAATTAGATACAGAATTACTTGGCTATCATTACTGATTTGTTCTTTCTTTTTGATTTTATATATGCTAAAGAGAAGTAAATTCCCCTTCTGTTGATTTCAGTACTCTGCATCAGAATATTAAAATACTATCTAAAATATTTTAAGTGTCTAATTGTAAACCTATTTATGTATTTTTTTAAATTTAAACGTTATACAAATTATTTTAGTTAGCGAAGTTTTAAACTTCACTAAGTTTAAAACAATAGCAATTGTTTTATTAAGAATATTGTTTTAAATACTAAATATCATTTTTAATATTAAATACTACTGTTAAGTTTTAAATATTGTTAAGTTTGCTAAAATATTGCTACTATTTTTAACTTTAAATATTGTAGGCTGGGTGCAGTGGCTCATGCCTGTAATCTCAGCACCTTGGGAGGCTGAGGTGGGCAGATCACGAGGTCAAGAGATCAAGATCATCCTGGCCAACATGGTGAGACCCCTTCTCTACTAAAAATATAAAAAGTAGCTGGGCGTGGTGGCACGGCCTGTAGTCCCAGCTACTCGAGAGGCTGAGGCAGGAGAATTGCTTGAACTCAGGAGGTGGAGGGTGCAGTGAACTGAGATAGCACCATTGCACTCCAGCCTGGTGACAGAGTGAGACTCCATCTCAAAAACAAAAAAAGTTTAAGTATTGTTAAGTTTTAAAATAATAACAATATTATTTTAAGGAGAATAAAGAGTGTTATGCTTTAATGTGGGCAAATTAAGTGATTTCATGCTTTATCCATGCTTACGTCTCCCAAATTTAAATCTCCAGCACAGAACTCTCCGGAAGAGAAAAATCACACTCCAGAATCATATAAACAGCTACTTAAATAATATTTATGCATATGGCTAGCGGGTTTTTTCAGCACCATTTATTAAATAGGGAATCCTTTCCCCATTGCTTGTTTTTGTTAGGTTTGTTGAAGATCAGATGGATGTAGATGTACAGTCTTATATCTGAGATCTCTATTCTGTTCCATTGGTCTATGTGTCTGTTTTTGTACCAGGATCATGCTGTTTTGGTTACTGTTGCCTTGTAGTGTAGTTTGAAGTTTGGTAGTGTGATGCTTCAACCTTTGTTCTTTTTGTTTAGAATTGTCTTGGCTATTTGGGCTCTTTTTTGATTCCTTATGACATTTAAAGTAGTTTTTTTTCTCTAATTCCATGAAGAATGTCAATGGTAATTTAATGGGAATAGCATTGAATCTATATATTACTTTGGGCAGTATGGCCATTTTCACGATGTTGATTCTTCCTAACCATGAGCATGGAATGTTTTTCCATATAGTTGTGTCCTCTCATTTCCTTGAGCAGTGGTTTGCAGTTCTTGAAGAGGTCCTTCACTTCCCTTGTTGGCTGTATTCCTAAGTACTTTATTCTCTTTGGAGCAATTGTGAATGGGAGTTCATTAATGATTTGGCTCTCTGATTGTCTATTGATGGTGTATAGGAATGCTTGTGATATTAGCACACTGATTTTGTTTCCTAAGACTTTGCTAAAGTTGCTTATCAGCTTAAGAAGCTTTTGGGCTGAGATGATGGGGTTTTTCTAGATATAGGCTCATGTCATCTACAAACAGAGACAGTTTGATGCAGCAAACCACCATGGCATACGTTTACCTACGTAACAAACCTGCACATCTTGCACATGTATCATGGAACTTAAAATTAAATTTAAAAAAAAAAGATGTATGGTAGGCATCTCAAGCAATATATCTACAACTGAACCCTTGGTGTATCTCTTAGAACTGTTGCACCCTAGTCTTATTCATCATTTAGTTGCTCAGAATGAATAAATAATAAAATTTTTAAAATCCTAAAACCAAATTGGACTCTTCCATGAGTTCATTTTTATATCCCATATCCAATTTTGTCTCATTGCAATATGCAATACATATTATGTTAAAATATGCAATACAGATTATGTTATTTCCCAAGACCTAGCAATGACTCCCCATTTCACCCAAGGTAAGAAACAAATTATTATAATGGTCCACATATCTCTAAATGTTACAAAACCATGTCCTCTATTACTTTCAAGATTTTATCACTACCAGTTTCCATCTTGCTTTCTCTGATTCAACTGAATTAACTACTGGCCTCCATGCTTTTCCTTGAACATACCTGGAATGTTGTTGTTTTTGTCTGTGGTGATTGTTCTCAGATATCCAATGGCCTCTTTTCCTGAACTCTTTTTCTTAAATGCTACTTTTCAATATATCTAACTTAACCATTTTATTTTAAATTGCACCCTGCCCCAGCAACATTCTAGATCTTTTTCAGTTTTCTCTTGTATTTGCTTCTTTTGTGTTGCTGCTCTGTATTCTGGAAAATTTTTCAACAAATTCCTCCCACTCTTCTGAAGATTTTTTGTTTTTAAATTTTATCATATATAGTTTTTTTTTTTCTATGAGACCTTTCTTATTTTTTGATCTGAAACAGAGAAGCTTTCTGATTGGAAGTGTTAGATTTGAAGCTTTAATAACTTTCTAACACTAATAGATTAAATAATATCTCACAACTGAGAATTCTAGTTGGAATTAAATAATGCAATTATTTCAAAGATTTATGGAAAATTCTATATCTAGCCAAACTTTTTAGAAGAGAGAGAAAATATAGATTTCTGTACCTCAGAACCCCAAAATGTCATTGCCCATACATCTTTTCTGGAAAAAATTACTTGAGAGATGTCAGAAATGTAATCAAACAATTTATAACTACAGTCATTAGGAGATTTTGATGTTGTACGAACACCACAGAATACTTATACCAACTTAGAGGGTATAGCCTACTCTATTACACAGCTCTATTATAATCTTTATGGGAATATTGTCATATGTGTGGTCTGTCATTGACCAAAAATGTTGTTACATAGCATATGACTGCAATGATAAAGAGAAATGTCTCCCAAAAGAGGAATTCAAGAGGAATTCACAGAGACATTCAAGAGGAATGTCTTCAAAAAAAGCATTTCATACAACAGAGTATTCATCCTTCCAAATTTATGATTTTAAGTAAAAAAAAAAAACCTATAAAAATCCATGGTCCAAATATAACATTTTCCATAGGATTTAGAATTAGATTATTAATTTCTGTAAAGGAGCTGGAATTTTGATTGAGATTGCACTATATCTCTCAAATTGAGATTCATTGAAATACTATAATATTGAGTTTTCTGATTCATGAAAGTGGTATGTCTCTCTATTCTAGGGTTTCTCAATATCAGCACAATAGACACTTTGGATAGGGTCATTATTTGTTGTGAGGAGCTATCCTGTTCTTTATAAGATGTTTAGCCAATAGAACATCCCATTCTCCCACCGAATGCAGTTATGACATCAAAAAGTGACTCTAGACATTGCTAAATGTCCTCTTGGGGGCAAACTTGCCCTCCTCTTCCATTGAGAACAAATGTAACAAGGTTATACAATGTAAGTGATAGAGCTCAGAGAGAAAAAAAATAAAATACAGAACAGAGCACTTGAGAATTGTAGGGCAGTAACAGATGGTCTAAAATATACATGTAATCCAAGACACAAGTGGAGAGGAGAGTGATGATCAAAAGGGACAGAAAAAATATTTGAAGATATAATTTCATCCAAAATTGGGGCAAACTCAATCCATGCACTAATGTCTTTTACTAATTGAGGACCAAAATTTTGTCCCCAATTAGTAAAAATCATTAGTGCATGGACTGAGTTTGTTAAACCTCAAGCAGGATAAAGGTAGAGATTACTAAACACATATCATAGATAAAAGGTTTAAAATCAAAAAATTAAATAGAAAATGTTAAGTGTATCCAGAGGAAGAATTCATATATTCAGAGGAACAACAATAATTACAGCTGACTTTTCATCATAAGCAACAAAACCAGGAGTCAATAGAATAATATATTTAAAATGCTGGAAGAAAACCCCAGAATTCTATACTAAGTAAACACTCATTCTGAAAAATGAAGATAAAATAAAGACAATTTTAGGAAAATGTGTTTTTTGATTAGCACTTAGCAGTACAAGAAATACTAATGTTCTTTCAGCTGAAGAGCAATTATTCCAGATAAAAACCTGGATCTTCAGAGACAGATGAATATTATTAGAAATAGCATGTATGTCCCCTATATATACAGAAAATTGTTTTAACAAAAATAATAACAATGCTAGAGTTTTTAACATGTAGAAATGAAATGTAGATAACAACACGACAAAGGATAGGAAAGAGGATAGATGCACTTTTGCTGTTTTAAAGTCCTTATATATTAGATGGTAAAACAGTTGAAGATAAACTGTCAAAAGCTACAGATGCATTTGCAATCCTCATAGCAAACATAAATATAATACTACTGAAAACTATAGAAAACAAATAACTAGATTATAAACACAAACTTATCTATATTAACAATTACATTAAGTAATAATGGTCATATACACCGATGACATAATTTTGTACACACAAAATATGTAACTATAAACAAACATATAGTAATAACTGCATTCATGAAGATAGCTGAGTGTAAGGATGGTACACCAAAAACAAATTATATTTCTATATACTACCAAGAAATATTTGAAAACTGAAAAAAGATGTTATTTACAATAGCATCAAATATTTCATCAATTACATTGACAAAGATTTACTTTGGGAAATATAAAATTCCTAACTTAAAACTAAAAATGCTGACAGAAATTAGATAAAATTTAAAGAAATGGAGATAGATTTTTATGTTTATAGGTCAGAAGACTAATATTTTTAAGATGTTAATTCTCTTGAAGTTGATTTAGATATTTAATGTAATCTCTCTGACTCAAAATCCTTGAAGGATTTTCTTTTCATAAATATTGAAAAAAACAACTCTAAAATTTATATAAAAATTTAAAGGACTTAACCAAAAAAATATTTTAAAAGTAGAAGGAAATAATTGAAGGTCTTACACTATGTGACTTCAAGACATTGTAGAGAAAGCCACAAGTATTAATATCGTATAGTTGGGCTGGGCACGGTGGCTCATGCCTCTAATCCCAGGAATTTGGGAGGCTGAGGGGAGCAGATCACCTGAGGTCAGGAGTTTGAGACCAGCCTGGCCAACATGGAAAAACCTCATCTCTACTAAAAGTACAAAAATTAGCTGGGTGTGGTGGCATGTGCCTGTAATCCCACCTACTCAGGAGGCTGAGGCAGGAGAATCACTTGAACCCAGGAGGCAGAGGTTGCAGTGAGCCAAGATCACACCATTGCACTCCAGCCTGGGCAACAAGAATGAGATTCCATCTCAAAAAAAAAAACAAAAACAAAAAAAAACAAAAAAAAATCATATAGTTGGCATGATACTTATATAGATCAACTAACAGAACAGAGTCCAAAACATAGACCATACATCTTTACTCAATTCATTTTTAACATAGCAAAATGATTCAAAAGAGAAGGCAAAGTGTTTCCAATAAGTGGTTCTAGAACAACTGCATATCCAAATGAGAATGGAAAGTAAACCTTGACTCTCACTTCATACCAAATGTAAAAATTAAATTGAAAATAATAATTTACCTACATCTGAAAGCAAAAACTATACATTTTCTAGAAATAAAACAGGTGAATATTTTTGTGACTCTCAGGCAAAGTTTTCTAACACAGCTGAGAAAAGGTAAGAACCATAAAAGAAAAAATATATAAATTGCAATTTATCAAAATTAAAAACTTCTGTCAGGAAGCAAAAGTGAAAATGCAAGCCACACACTGGGCATCATATGAAATATGAGACATGAAAGAAAGAACTGATATACAGAATATATAACAAACTTCTACAAATTAATTAGGAGAAAACAAACACCCTAAAAAAAATAAGAGACAAAAGTAATTCACACAGGCAGTTTGCAAATGGAGACTTCCAAATGGTCAATAAGCATATGAAAATTTGATGAACAGCTCACGCCTGTAATCCCAGCACTTTGGGAGGCTGAGGCAGGCAGATCACAAGATCAAGAGATCGAGACCATCCTGGCCAACATGGTGAAACCCTGTCTCTACTAAAAATACAAAAATTAGCTGGGCGTGGTGGAGTGCACCTGTAGTCCCAGCTACTTAGGAGGCTGAGGCAGGAGAATCACTTGAAACCTGGGAGGCGGAGGTTGCAGTGAACTGAAATTGCAACATTGCACTCTAGTCTGGTGACAAAGCGAGACTGTCTCAAAAAAAAAAAAAAAAAAAGAAAATTTGATGAACATTATTACTCAGTATGGAATAAAGAAACTAAAAGCCACAATGAGACACCATTACACATCTTCTACAATGTGTAATATTAAAAATTTTGATGACGCTATGTGTGGGTAAGAATGTAGAACAAAGCCAATGTTTACAAACTGCTTGTAGGATTGTAAAATGCTATTGTCACTTTGATAAACTGTCAGTTTCTTAAAAGTTTACACATAAACAAACATGCTCTATGACCCAGCGATTCCATTCCTAGGTACTGGAGAAATAAACCCATATGCCTATAGAAAAACATGTACAAGAATATTCATAGCAGCTCAATTAGTAATAGCCCATAATTGGAAACAACCCAAATGCCCATCAATAGGTGAAAGTGTAAACAAACTGGAATATTCACAGCAAAGGAACAGGACTGAGTAATACAAAAGAATAAACTACTGGCATTATATACAAATACACACATGAATCTCAAAAACATTTTTTATGAAAGTAGGACACACATAGAAGAGTACTTACTGTATGAATTCATTTGTATGTAAGTTCAGAAATAGGCAAAGCTAAATCTATGCTGACAGATGTTAGGATGTATTGAACAAGGTAACAAGGGTGCTTTCTGGGGTGACAGAAATATTCCTTTTCTTGTTTTGGCTAATGGTTGCACTGTGTCTACCTTTCTTAAAATTCTTCAAGTTTTACACTTGATTTGTGCATTTTACTTATTACAAATTATAGCTCAACAAAATACTATTAGTATAAACCAAAAATAAGGTCTAGAAGTAATCACCATTTGATATCTAAAGAGAACCCTAGAAGTAAGTGTTAGACCATAATGTTTTTCACAAACTCAGGAAGATAAATGAGAATAGTGGCTGCAGATTTTGGAGGTATTCCAAGACACTTCATTCCCACCTTCTTGTCTGAAACTTTGTGATGAGTATATGTAAGGTCAAATTTGGGATGGATTTTCTTGAAATATTTGGTGTCCAGCCCTGGTAATTTAAGTTAATTATTTGATTATTACTCTTTGTCAATCAAGAGACTCTTATAGTAACTGTAATACTACATACAAATTCTTGGTAATTCATCTTAACTAAACATCATGTATAAGTAGATAAAAGACACACAGATAAACTAGCAAATTCTTATGAGGCTTCTCTGAGCAGAGAACTGCTGGTTTACATCCAATATTTGTATTTAAGAAGCATTTAAATATTTTAAAATATATACAGGTATCTTAGTTTGGAATGTTTCCTCAGTTTCCAGGTGGATCCTTCTTTAAAAGGAATGACATATATTTTTAGCTTCTAACATTTGTATGGACCCTAAAACTTCTTGTTATTCATTACATGGAAGAAAAAAAATACACTCAGAATGGAAAAATGCATTATTGTTTACCATATTTTTCTGATAACTGCTGAGAAATTCCAGTAGTTAGTAATTAATAAAATATATAATACAAAGATATGGTTGTTGTTAGTAATAAAAAGATATGGTTTCCTTACTCAACTCTATTCTACTTAGATGGGAAGAAAATGGCTGAAATCTTCACAATCTGAGGCACTAGTTCTCTGGATATGCTAGTTAATTCTTGCAGGCAGCTGTAATGCATTTCAAATATAAGTGTTCCCAGCAACCATTCTCTGAAAGACAAGTGCTGTTGATTTAGGTGCTTGTTGCTGGTTTCTTATGGCTTTTGCCAAGTTTTGTAATCTTCCAGGCACATTTTATGGATAAACTAGTAATTACCCAGCCTAGATTTCCTCCATAGATATTCCAGAGCATAGTCGTTTCATTGTACTTTACAAATTATTTTCCCCATTTCTTGATGGGAATTAATGGCTAGGACAATTTTATAAAGTACAGTTTAACCAAAAACTTATTTCATTCACTGATCCCAAATCTTCTTTCTCCTTCCCTTGATTTCTTTATCTCCTGAGATGTCTGTATTGTAAGTTTCAACAGACTTATAGGTTAAAGCCCTTCAATCTCAAAAACGTGAGGATCACTGATCACTGAACTGAACTTTGCCACATAAAGAAGGAAGAGCGTGGAGAAGTATTTAGAAGTGGAGAGACTGAGAATAATACATTGGTGACAATCTAATTTTTTTCCCAGCAACTTCAAACTGTGGACACAGGGCCTGCTTTTGATGAAATTTACCAGACTGAGATAACTGATTAATTGTATCCTTAACGAGAATTCTGCTTATTTAATACACAGGGAAGTAATGATGCTCAAGAATTGGTCAGTGTCTGCATGCAAACCTCATTTTTCCTTTTTTTATTCATTTATTAGGAAGTACAGACATAAGACAACCACAGAAATGATACCAGTCTACTACTGCACTTCATTTTGAATTGCCTTGCAGAGCTATTAATCAAAATTACAAAGCAAAATTTATATGCAGTAAATCAAACCATATCATTAGAATTTATCACTTAGGCCATTTCCTCCCAGTTGAAAATTCTTGAGCATATCCAAGGTAATCTGCCTGAAAACTTAATTATTTTGGGGGATATAGTAATACTTTCAAGAGACCCAGAGGGTATATCAACTCTTTTATTCCTATTCCTGTTAAAAACTTATATATAAGACATTAGTATTTTGAAAATATGTTTGTTATCAAATGAAGTATACATTTAGGTTTTAAAGTAATTCTCCTGGCTAGGCACGGGTAATCCCAGCACTTTGGGAGGCCGAGGCAGGCAGATCACCTGAAGTCAGGAGTTTAAGACCAGCCTGTCCAATATGGTGAAACCCCGTCTCTATTTAAAATACAAAAATTAGCTGGGTGTGGTGTTGGGGACCTGTAATCCTGGCTACTGGGGAAGCTGAGGCAGGAGAATTACTTGAACCCAGGAGGCGGAGGTTGCAGTGAGCCGAGATCACGCCACTGCACTCCAGCCTAGGTGACGAGAGAGAAACTCTGCCTCAAAAAAAAAAAAAAAATTAGGGTGATAATTTGTTATAACTTCCACATACTTTGCCCTTTATGGAAATGAGTACCACAGTGAAAACAGGGAGACAGGATGCCAGGCAAGAGATGATAGTCACCAGAACTAAAGTGTTGTGGATTTAAGATACATATTGGGGCCATAAGAAATTGCTAATGAATTTAATATAGGAGATAGAGAAAAGATGATTCCTGGTTTGGGAACTGGAAAAACAAGCCAACAGAAAACTTTGATTGTTACCAACTATAATCTCTAAAGAAAGAGATTTTTAGACAACTTTTAGTACACTAAAAGAACCCATAAAGATATCCATCAGGCTATGGGCCATTCATTAAAGAATGCTGTAGTCATAGTCTAGTAGGGAACACACTGGGATTGGAGACCTGGCTTCAACTGTGTGACCTCAGTGAAGTCATCAAACCATGCAAAGATATTTTTTTAACCATAAAATTGGTCAATGATACTTTCTCTACAAAGTTCTTATGAGGGTCAAAAGAGAAAATGGTTGAAAAAAAATGCCTTTGGTGGAAGTTAAAAACATAAAAGGCATTGTAGCTGTGCTTTTTAAATTTCCTTGTGTGTTACTTAACATGATGTCATATCTAAGTAGAGTCTTTATAGTATTAGGTTGATTTTGATTGTTCTAAACAGTTTTTTTGGTAATAATTGATAATCACATATAACATACTATATATAATTATATTTATGTATTCATTATATAATTATATACTAACTTATACAAATATATGTGTGTGTTTACACACAAACAATACCAAAAAGAAAATATAAGAACCTGAAATTTGACCTGGGCATTCTTTTTTGACATAATGCTGATGACAAGTTTAGCACCAGCTAAAGAATGTGGTAGCAAAGATAGTATCTCTTTTTCAAACTTATTTATTCTTCTCAATGCCAGGATGGTCAAGATATGCCTGAGGCTTTGTGGTTGATGTCTCTTGAGCAGAAGATCAATTCTGATTTCTGCCTCCTCTGGAGGCTGTCCAAAGAGAAAAGCAAAGGTCTCAGTTGAACAGCATCTTTCACATTGACCAGTTCATTTATTTGAATCAGTAGCACTATTTAAATAGGAATCAGAGGTGAGTGAAAACAGCATGAAGCTCCTTGATTGATGCTTCCAGTTAGAGGAATTATTTTCTGCTGTGTATCTCCTATAGCATCATGTTAGTGTGTTTCTCTTGGTACTTCCCACTGCCATTGTAATATACCTGTGTGTTTGCATATATTAGGTATACACATATACACACATATATTTATGTATGTATGTATATCCAATATATGACATTGTATCTATATTGTAGTATAAATACATGCTAACAACCTTTACCTCTGCTATCACCTTAGACGTTCTTACTTTCTATAGTATCTCAGCCCCTCATTTATACTAGACAGCAAATTTGTTTCAGATGAATGAAAGTATTAATGACTGTATGGATGCCTAGATAAAATGAGTAAAATTCTTAAGCAAAATTCTAGCCTGCTGGAAGGCGGGAATTAATCTGGTGTTTTCATGGCAGGCAGATTAATGTAAAAGTTCCTTTTCTTTAAATTGGTATTTAAAATCATTCTATAACACTAATATTCATTTATTCATTTAAAAAACATTTTTGAGCATCTACTATATCCATGGTACTCTACTAAATATTGGGAATATGATAGTAAAATTTAAAAAGCTCCTGCAATCACAGTATTATCCTTTAAGACATGTCCTGGACTTAAATTACATATTAATTAATATCTGATTTTCAAAATAACATAATCAGAGACAAACTTTACTTGGCCTGCTGTTTAAAGAAGTACTCTTACGTTCTTCCCATCACTACTTCTTAAAGTTTGGGGGCCTAGTTTCATATTTTCATAGTCAGGTTGCAATTCTAATGTTGACTTATGAATGTGAAGGTCTTGCAGAGACTGCTTTCTCTTCAGTAACACAAATTTAGAAATAAACTGAATTTAAAAAAAACTACACAGACATTATTGAATTTCATGACAAAGCTGTAGATGTAACCGACAAAGTAAACTATACCATTTCCTTATCCCATAGATGTTTTCTGAAGAGTAGTGTGTTAGGCAGAATATTCTTTATTGGGTATTTAGAAAAAAATGTAGTCTGTATTTTCCTGTGGAAGCAATGGGGTAACAATAGCCTAGCATTAATGAGAATGTAAAATGTGCACAGTTATATCATTTCTAAAATATTTCTCTAATAGACCATAATTTGAAAAGCTATTTGTCTGAGAGGGCTGCAAGGAGGAAGAGATGTGAAGAGTTTAATAGGATTTATGGTAAGCAATTTATCATAATCTTTTCTGACCTGATGTGAATTTTTCCTAAGAATTATTTTTGAGGTCTGCTGGCAAGATGGCCAAACAGGAACAGCTCTAGTCTGCAGTTCCCAGTGAGATTGGCGCAGAAGATGGGTGATTATTGCATTTCCAACTGAGGTACCTGATTCATCTCATTGGGACTGGTTGGACAGTAAGTGCAGCCCACAGAGGGGGAGCTGAAGCAGGGTGGGCTGTTGCCTCGCCTGGGAAGTGCAAGGGGTTGGGGGATTTCCCTTTCCTAGCCAAGGGAAGCCATTAGAGACTGTACCAGGAGGAAGAGTGCACTTCATCCCAGATACTACACTTCCCACAGTCTTCGCAACCAGCAGACCTCTGGTGCCTGGCTCGGTGGGTCCCACCCCCATGGAGCCCAGCAAGCTAAGATCCACTGGCTTGAAATTCTCGCTGCTAGCACAGCAGTTTGAAGTCAACATGAGATGCTAGAGCTTGGTGGGGGAAGGGGCGTCTGCTATTGCTGAGGCTTGAGTAGGGGGTTTTACCCTCATGGTGTAAACAAAGCCACAGGGAATTTCGAACTGGGGAGAGCCCATGGCAGCTCAGCAAGGCCTCTGTGGCCAGACTGCCTCTCTAGATTTCCTCCTTTCTGGGCAGAGCATCTCTTGAAAAAAAAGGCATCAACCCTAGTCAGGGACTTATAGATAAAATCCCCATCTCCCTGGGACACAGAACCTCGGAGAAGGGGCGGCTATGGGTGCAGCTTCAGCAGACCTAAACATCCCTACCTGACAGCTCTGAAGAGAGCAGTGGATCTCCCAGCACAGAATTTGACCTTCTGATAAGGCACAGACTGCCTTCTCAAGTGGGTTCCTAAACCCCATGTGTCCTGACTGGGAGACACCTCCCAGAAGGGGCTGACAGACAACTCATACTGGACAGCTCTTGCTGGAATCTGGTGGGTGACCCTCTGGAACGAACCTTCCAGAGGAAGGAACAGACAGCAATCTTTGCTGTTCTGCAGCCTCCGCTGGTGATAACCAGGCAAACAGGGTCTGGAGTGGACCTCCAGCAAACTCCAGCAGACCTGCAGAAGAGAGGCCTGACTGTTGGAAGGAAAACTAACAAACAGAAAGGAATAGCATCAATATCAACAAAAAAGACAACCACTCAGAGACCCCATCTGAAGGTCACCAACATCACAGACCAAAGGTAGATAAATCGATGAAGATCAGGAAAAACCAGCACAAAAAGGCTGAAAACTCCAAAAACCAGAATGCCTCTTCTCCTCCAAAAGATCACAACTCCTTGCCAGCAAGAGAACAAGACTGGATGGAGAATGAGTTTGACGAATTGACAGAAGTAGGCTTCAGAAGGTGGGTAGTAACAAACTCCTCTGAGCTAATGGAGCATGTTCTAACCCAATGCAAGAAAGCTAAGAACCTGAAAAAAGGTTAGTCGAATTGCTAACTAGAATAACCAGTTTAGAGAAGAATATAAATGAACTGATATAGCTGAAAAACACAGCACGAGAACTTTGTGAAACATACACAAGTATCAATACCTGAATCAATCAAGCAGAAGGAAGGCTATCAGAGACTGGAGATCAACTTAATGAAATAAAGTGTGAATACAAGATTAGAGAAAAAGAGTAAAAAGAAACAAACAAAGCCTCCAAGAAGTATAGGACTATGTGAAAAGACCAAACCTATGTTTGATTGGTGTACCTGAAAGTGATGGGGAAAATGGAACCAAGTTGGAAAACACTCTTTAGGATATTATCCAGGAGAACTTCCCCTTCCCCAACCTAGCAAGACAGGCCAACATTCAAATTCAGGAAATACAGAGAACACCATAAAGTATTCCTCGAGAAGAGCAACCCCAAGACATATAATCATCAGATTCACCCAAGGTGGAAATGAAGGAAAAAATGTTAAGGGCAGCCAGAGAGAAAGGTTGGGTTATCCACAAAGGGAAGCCCATCAGACTAACAGTGGATCTCTCTGCAGAAACCCTACAAGCCAGAAAAGAGTGGGGGCCAATATTCAACATTCTTAAAGAAAAGATTTTTCAACCCAGAATTTCATATCCAGCCAAAGTAAGCTTCGTAGGTGAAGGAGAAAAAAAAAATCCTTTACAGTCAAGAAAATGCTGAGAGATTTTGTCACCACCAGGCCTGCCTTACAAGAGCTCCTGAAGGAAGCACTAAACATGGAAAGGAAAAACTGGCACCAGCCACCGCAAAAACATACCACATTGTAAAGACCATTGATGCTATGAAGAAACTGCATCAACTAATGGGCAAAATAACTAGCTAGCATCATAATGACAGGATCAAATTCACACACAACATTAACCTTAAATGTAAATGGGCTAAACGCCCCAATTAAAAGATACATACTGGCAAGTTGGATAAAGAGTCAAGACCCATTGGTGTGCTGTATTCAGGAGACCCATCTCACATGTAGAGACACACATAGGCTCAAAATAAAGGGACAGAGGAATATTTATCAAGCAAATGAAAAGAAAAAAAAAAAAAGCAGGACTTGTAATCCTAGTCTCTGATAAAACAGACTTTAAACCAACAAAAATCAAAGAGACAAAGCCATTACATAATGGTAAAGGGATCAATGCAACAAGAAGAACTAACTATCCTAAATATATGTGTACCCAATACAGGAGCACCACCCAGATTCATAAAGGAAGTTCTTAGAGACCTACAAAGAGACTTAGACTCCCACACAGTGAGAGACTTTAACACCCCACTGTCAACACTAGACAGATCACTGAAACAGAAAATTAACAAGGATATCCAGGACTTGAACTCACCTCTTTACCAAGCAGACCTAATAGACATCTACGGAACTCTCCACCCCAAATCAACAGAATATACTTTCTTATCAGCACATTGTACTTACTCTAAAAATGACCCCACAATTGGAGGTAAAACACTCCTCAGCAAATGCAAAAGAACAGAAATCATAACAGTCTCTCAGACCACAGTGCAATCAAATTAGAACTCAGGATTAAGAAACTCACTCAAAACTGCACAACTACATGGAAACCAAATAAACTGCTGCTGAATGACTACTGGGTAAATAATGAAATGAAGGCAGAAATAAAGATGTTCTTTGAAACCAATGAGAACAAAGACAAAATGTACCAGAATCTCTGGGACACATTTAACGCAATGTGTAGAAAAAAAAATTATAGCCCTAAATGCCCACAAGAGAAAGCAGGAAAGATCTAAAATCGACACCCTCACATCACAATTAAAAGAACTAGAGAAGCAAGAGCAAACAAATTCAAAGGCTAGCAAAAGACAAGAAATAATTAAGATCAGAGCAGAACTGAAGAAGACAGAGACATGAAAAGCCTTTCAAAAAAAAATCAATGAATCCAGGAGGTGCTTTTCTGAAAAGATCAACAAAATAGATAGACTGCTAGCTAGGCTAATAAAGAAGAAAAGAGAGAAGAATCAAATAGATGCAATAAAAAATGATAAAAGGGATATCACCACTGATCCAACAGAAAAACAAACTATAATCAGAATACTAAAAACACTTCTTCACATATAAACTAGAAAATCTAGAAGAAATGGATAAATTCCTGGACACATACACCCTCCCAAGACTAAACCAGGAAGAAGTCAAATCACTGAATAGACAAATAACAAACTCTGAAATTGAGGCAGTAATTAATAGCCTACCAACCAAAAAAAGTCCAGGACCAGATGGATTCACAGCCAAATTATTCCAGAGGTACAAAGAGGAGCTGGTACTATTCCTTCTGAAACTATGCCAAACAATAGAAAAAGAGGGAATCCCCCTGCTAACTCATTTTATGAGGTCAGCATCATCCTGATACCAAAACCTGGCAGAGACAACAAAAAAAGAAAATTTTAGGCCAATATCCCTGATAACCATTGATGTGAAAATCCTCAATAAAATACTGGCAAACCAAATCCAGCAGCACATCAAAAAGCTTATCCACCATGATCAAGTTGGCTTCATCCCTGGGATGCAAGGCTGGTTCAACATACACAAATCGATAAACATAATCCATTACATAAACAGAACCAATGATAAAAACCACACGATTATCTCAATACATTCAGAAAAGGCTTTCAACAAAATTCAAAACCCCTTCATGCTAAAAACTCTCAATACACTAGGTATTGATGGCATGTATCTCAAAATAATAAGAGCTATTTATGACAAACCCACAGCCAATATCATACTGAATGGGCAAAAACTGGAAGCATTCCCTTTGAAAACTGGCACAAGACAGGGATGCCCTCTCTCACCACTCCTATTCAACGTAGTGTTGAAAGTTCCGGCCAGGGCAATCAGTCAAGAGAAAGAAATAAAGGGTATTCAATTAGGAAAAAAGGAAGTCAAATTATCTCTGCAGATGAAATGATTGTATATTTAGAAGACTCCATAATCTCAGCCCAAAATGTCCTTAAGCTGATAAGCAACTTCAGCAAAGTCTCAGAATACAAAATCAATGTGCAAAAATCACAAGCATTCTTACACACCAATAATAGACAAAGAGCCTAATCATGAGTGAACTCCCATTCACAATTGCTACAAAGAGAATAAAATACCTAGGAACACAACTTATAAAGGATGTGAAGAACTTCTTCAAGGAGAACTACAAACCACTGCTTAAGGAAATAAGAGAGGACACAAACAAATGGGAAAACATTCCATGATAATGGATAAGAAGAATCAATATCATCAAAATGGCCATACTGCCCAAAGTAATTTATAGGTTCAATGCTATCCCCATCAAGCTACCATTGACTTTCTTCACAGAATTGGAAAAAAAAACTACTTTAAAGTTCATATGGAACCAAAAAAGAGCCCATGGAGCCAAGACAATCCTAAGCAAAAAGAACAAAGCTGGAGGCATCACACTACCTGACTTCAAACAATACTACAAGGCTGCAGTAACCAAAACAGCACGGTACTAGTATCAAAACAGATATATAGACCAATGGAACACAACAGAGGCCTAAGAAATAACACCACACATCTACACTATCTGATCTTTGACAAACCTGACAAAAACAAGCAATGGGTAAACGATTCCCTATTAATAAATGGTGTTGGGAAAACTGGCTGTCCATATGCAGACAGCTGAAACTGGATCTCTTCCTTACACCTTACACAAAAATTAACTCAAGATGGATTAAAGACTTAAATCTACAACCTAAAACCATAAAATCCCTAGAAGAAAACCTAGGCAATACCATTCAGGACATAGGCATGGGCAAAGACTTCATGACTAAAACACAAAAAGCAATGGCAACAAAACCCAAAATTGACAAAGGGGATCTAATTAAACTAAAGAGCTTCTCTGCACAGGAAAATAAACTATCATTGGAGTGAACAGACAACCTACAGAATGGGAGAAAATTTTTGCAATCTATCCATCTGACAAAGGGCTAATATCCAGAATCTACAAAGAACTTAAACAAATTTACAAGAAAAAAACAACCCCATCTAAAAGTGGGTGAAGGATATGATCAGACACTTCTCAAAAGAAGACATTTATGCAGCCAACAAACATATGAAAAAAAGGCCATCATCACTGGTCATTAGAGAAATGCAAATCAAAACCACAATGAGATACCATCTCATGCCATTTGGAATGGCAATCATTAAAAAGTCAGGAAACAACAGATGCTGGAGAGGATGTGGGGAAACAGGAACACTTTTACACTGTTGGTGAGAGTGTAAATTAGTTCAACCATTGTGGAGAACAGTGTGGCAATTTCTCAGGGAGGTAGAACTAGAAATACCATTTAACCCAGCAATCCCATTACTGGGTATATACCCAAAGGATTATAAATCATTCTACTATAAAGACACATGCACCCATATATTTATTGCGGCACTGTTCACGATAGCAAAGACTTGGAACCAACACAAATGCCCATCAATGATAGACTGGATAAAGAAAATGTGGTACATATACACCATGGAATACTATGCTGCCATAAAAAAGGATGAGTTCATGTCCTTTGCAGGGACATGGATGAAGCTGGAAATCATCATTCTCAGTAAACTAACACAAGAACAGAAAACCAAACACCGCATGTTCTCACTCATAAGTAGGAGTTGAACAAAGAGAACAATGGACACAAGGAGGGGAACATCACACACTGGGGCTTGTTGTGGGGGTGGGGGGCTAGGGGAGGTATAGCATTAGGAGAAATACCTAATGTAGATAACCAGTTGGTGGGTGCAGCAAACCATCATGGCACATGTATACCTATGTAACAAACCTGCACGTTCTGCACATGTACCTCAGAACTTAAAGTATAAAAAAAAGAATTATTTTTAACTTCTTTAACTTTCATTATTTTATTTTAGTTTAGTTTAGTTTTGAGACGGAGTCTTGCTCTTTTGCCCAGGTTGGAGTGCAGTGGCTCTATCTCAGCTCACTGCAAGCTCCGCCTCCCGGGTTCACGCCATTCTCCTGCCTCAGCCTCCCGAATACCTGGGACTACAGGCGCCTGCCACCGTGCCCGGCTAATTTTTTGTGTTTTTAGTAGAGATGGGGTTTCACCATGTTAGCCAGGATGGTCTCTATCTCCCGATCTCGTGATCCACCTGCCTCGGACTCCCAAAGTGCTGGGATTACAGGCGTAAGCCACCACGCCCAGCCAACTTTCATTATGTTTTATAACACAGCATTATAAAACTAAATATTTTGAACAAAATATGTGAACCAAAAGTTCAGGCAGAAAAAAAACAAAAAGAGCATAAGATCTGAAATGAAGATATGCATAAGTGGTAAAGAAGCAGAAGAAGATTTTGAAAATATCTTGGAATTTGGGGGTCAGAAAACGTGAATTTGTGTCCTAGATTAGCCACCTATTTGCCTAATGATCCAATCACATAAAATCTGTAAGCCATTGTTACTTCACTTATTTATGAAAGTGTGACACCTTTCACTGTATACTATCTCACAAGGCTGCTTCGAGAAGGGTATAATTGGATGGGAACGTGTGTAGAGAAACTTAACAGAACTAGTAATTATTCATACGTTCAAGAAGTTTGGTACTAATGGGAAAATGAGAGCTGGCACAGAATTTGAAAAGATGGGAAGATTTTTTGGGATGGAGCTAGGGATTGAATTATGTCATCCTAAAATTTATAGTTTGAAGTCTTAACCTCCAATACTTCCGAATCTGACCTTATTTGCAAGTAGGGTAATTGTAGCTGTAATTACTGTTAAGATGAGGTCATACTAGAGTAGGGTGGGCCCTAATCCAATATGACTGTTGTTCTTATAAAAAGGGGGAAATTTGGACACAGACACAGACACATACAGAAGGTAAACATTATGAAGGGGCATAGAGAGAATATGGCCATCTACAAGCCAAGGTGAGAAGCCTGGAACAGGTCTTTTCCTCGTAGCCCTCGGAAGGAACCAACCCTGCCAATACCTTGATTTTAGACTTCTAGCTTCCAGAACTGTGAGACTTTCTGTTGCTTAAGTCACCCAGTTTGTGGTGCTTTGTTATGGTAGTCCTAGCACACTAACGCAGATGAGAGAGTCTATGCCAGTCTCTAGGCTGAGGAAAATAACCAAAGAATGGGAAGAAGCTGAAAATGAAAGGTGTGTGTGGGTGGGTGAAGAGGAGGGAAGATTTATGACAGAGCACATTTCTAAGGTGGGTTGAAGGCTGAGAATGAGAGCTTAGGATTGGACATTTAAAAAAAATAATATAGGCTGGGGGCAGTGACTCACATCTAATCCCAGCACTTTGGGAGGCTAAGGCGGGTGGATCACCTGAGATCAGGAGTTCGAGACCAGCTTGGCCAATATGGTGAAACCGTATCTCTATCAAAGATACAAAAAAATTAGCTGGGCATTTTGTCACATGCCTGTAGTCCCAGCTACTCAGGAGGCTGAGGCAGGAGAATTGCTTGAACCTGGGAGGTGGAGGTTGCAGTGAGCCGAGATACACCACTGCACTCCAGCCTGGGCAGCAAGAGCAAAACTCCATCTAAAAAATAAAATGAAATAAAAATAAAAATAAAATAAAAAGTAAATACGAAGAAAGCTTCTTTCTCAAATTGGAGTTCAGGAAAAGAGGAAAAGCGTGAAAGTATTATTTAGGAGCCAGTACCATAACGCTTTCTTGCTATTATTCATCCTTTGTAAAGTTTTGTCCTGTAACCTCCATTAGATTACATGTCTCCTGAGGAGACAGAATGTCCTCAGATTTCATTTTATTTTTCTTATCATTTTCACACAAGGCTGGAACGTATGAGATGTTTACTAAATAATATTGACCAACTGCAATATTTTGAACATGACTCAACAGCTAAAGCGGTTCCATATCAATTTCTGCTTAAATATATAACTACTACACTATAACAATAAAAAAGAAAAAACAGCAATAATTTAAGAATAACAGTACACAGGAAGACAGATTCACAAACATAAAGAAAATAACTTTTAAATTTTCCCATCTACTTGGGTATTTTATGGAAAATAAAACTATTAATATGACGATAAGAGTTCTAGCGATAAAGTCAGTTCCTTCGTTCAACTATTTATGGTGCATATTACTTCACATGCGGCTTCAGTGGTGGCACCTCTTCATTTAATTTTTTTGACATAGGGAGTAAACAATAGATTCACATATACCTGCTATCCCACCATCATTATTTTAAAAAGGTGAATTTCTCTAGCAGAATGACAGAGCCAGTTATGGTAGCTAATGATTGCTGGTCCCTGAAATTATTCTGTGAACAATATTATAAATGAAATCATAGAAGTCATATCTTGTCCCATGAGGACACTCACATCACTGATGATAGGCCCATCTTAGCACTTCTGACTGTTATCAGTAATGAAAGTTGGCTGCCAATTTATGTATGGCAATTCCAAGCTAAGCTGTATATTGAATGATGCATTTGTTTCCCATCAAGGTGCCTGGCACAGCACTATCGGAAGTTAGAGTGTGTTATTCCCTCATACATCAAAGTCTGCTTGCCAGTGTTTTATTTATTGACCTGTCCAACTCCTTTTCCATGATTGATCACTTTTGCCACCCAAAGCTTTTCCCTGTTACCCTGCCATAGCGAAGTTCTCGACAATGCTTTGGAAATAAAAGTCCCCTTTACTCTTTCCCTGAGAAAATCTTTACTTTCAAAGGAACAAAGGGCATCCAGGACTGTGACAGAGGATGCTTTTGCTGCCTAATCTCCATTTTTGTCTCCTTTATTACAAAGGAAACCCCTATTTAGTTTTGGGGTGCAATGTACCCACCTTCACATTTAATTTCCCAGGTTTAGTTGCTTTGTGATCTAACTGACCAAAGTAATATAAGCAGTGCTTCACTGACTGGAGCTTATAGGAAATTAGTGTTTTTTCTCATAAAAAGGGACAAACCCTCTAGCATTTACCTTGCCTTTCTCTGTTCCTGCTTTTTTCCCTGGTGTGTGATCACTCTATATGATATTGGAATAAAATTTTGTGAAAATAAGGATGAAACTAGCCAGCAAGGCTGCTGATGACTAGGTCTTTTAGGTATTTCTAGGAGCCAAATTACTAGCTCTGGTTATCTCTGAACTTCTTGAGAAAAATTGTACCTTGTTACACTTAAAGTCACTGGCATCTAGGTTTTCTGCCTCAGAAAGATGAATGCCATCCTAAAGGGGTTGACAGATCTACAGTGTAGGTGCAACTATTCCAGAATAGCTAGGCTTTGTAATGATATATTGTGTCAGAAAGGGCAGTGACTTTTTCAACCAATCACCTTCAAGATTAAACTACTATATTTTCAGAATTGTAACTTGCAGACTTTGGATTGCTAAAAATTGTTTATATAAGGAAATTAGGTCTGATTTCCTCTTCCTTTCTGTGATTGAACATGTTACAAAAATCTGACATCTTAATTTTGATAACATAGATATCTTCAGGTCTATCCACTTTCAGCATGATATTAACAAGGTACGTTGGGCTTCTTTCTCTGCATAGCCCAAGTCATGCTTTGCCTATAACTGAATCCTCAGAGAGATTCATCGTGACAAATTCAAGAGTGTAAAAGGGAAGAAAGAGGGAGAGAAAAAAGAAAGAGTTAGGTAATAATAGACGGTTGACGTTTCCACTTTCAGTAACTCAGACTAATAACTCTTTGTCAAAAACACAGGGAGAGATATATAGGGAGAAAGACAGATAGATAAATAGATATAGATACATATACACTATATAAAAGGTTTGTTTCCTTATAACATGATATGCATTGACAAATAAAAGCACTACTATTCATTTTGTTACTGAATTGCACCTTTAAATATAAAATTAATTATAGTATGGATCATGCAAGTATATGAATCATTAAATATCTATGTAATTTGGAGATGATCTTCATCTGAATTTCTTTTTAAGAATTATGAACAAAAAATCTTCATTCAATTTTTGAAGAATGCTCTAGCCAAGCAGTTACTGGAAAATCATTGATATATTAATTATAAGGAAGTGTAACCAACCACATAATGCAGCCTTTTTGAATGACCAGCCTCTGGAACCTAAGCCTGCTGGAGGGAGTAATCACTTGCAAACCATGGCACATTTCACCTTATTGATAACTACAGGCACCTATGTAGATACAAATAAAAATAATTCAAAATAAATTCAAAATAAACACTATGATGGAAGTACAAAAATCTATAAGATATACAAGAAAGCAATTTGTTGATTCTTATGTCCTCCTAGAGGTTCTGCTTTACTATAAGTGATTACTGAATATGAGATAGACTGTAGACAGAATTATGAAGTGAAATTTGCATTGATTGCTTCTAGTTTGTCCCCATTTATTCCTGCTGTCTCATTTTCTGCTTCCCTCACATATTCAAAGCCTGCAATCTAATCTATCCCCTATCCCATATCCATCTTTTTTTTTTTTCTTTAGATGGAGCTCACTCTGTCACCTAGGCTGGGGTGCAGTGGTGCCATCTTGGCTCACTGCAACCTCTGCCTCCCGAGTTCAAGCAATTCTCCCTGCCACAGTCTCCCGAGTAGCTGGGACTACTGGTGCCCGCCATGATGCCCGGCTAATTTTTGTGTTTTTGGTAGAGATGACGTTTCACCATGTTGGCCAGGCTGTTCTCAACTCCTCACCTCAAGTGATTCACCTGCTTAAGCCTCCCAAATTTCTGGAATTACAGGCATGAGCCACCATGCCCAGCCATCTCTCAAACCCATTTTTAACATGCTAACTTAAATCCTTTATTCCTATGAAGGCAAAAATGATTGATAACATCTAAAATCTTCCTCTCCTTGGGGCAGTTGAATTTTAATAATGACTAAGATCTAGAGTGAAATGGAAGAAAGGTATTCCAGCCAAGAACCTTGAAGTAGCCCCACTACACCTAGGTTTAAATAACCACTTAAAATATGAAAGGAAGATATACCTTTTGATAGCATAATATTAATTATTCAACTCGGAGAGGAATGAAGACAGAGATTTTATCAATGTCTGTAATAAATACTTATCTTTTTCAGGTGTTTATTTTTGTGTGTAACAAACTGCAAATGTAGATGTTTAAAACAACTTATTATTTCTGACGATTCTGTGGTTGACACCTGGGTGATCTGTTCTGGGGACCCTCATGCAGTCATAGTCAGATGGAGGCTGAGCCTGGAGTCATCTAAAGGCTTATCTTGGCTGCATATTAAAAATGGGTTACTAATATAGCTGGTGATTAATGGTGACTGTCCACTGGAAGCCCAGGTAAGTTTGCTGACTAAAGAACCTACGTATGTCTGAAGAACTCTCCACGTGTATTGGGTTTCCTTAGAACGGTTTGGTTGCAAAAGGAGGATCCCAAAAATAAGTATTCCAGGAGACACAGAGAAGCTATGAAGCTTCTTTTAACTTAGCCCCAGAAGTCACAGAATTTCACTTCTGCCATATTCTATTGGTCAAATAGCCCACATGCAAGACAGGTTATTAGACTTTATCTTTTGATGTGGGAGTAGCAAGATCACATTAAGAACATTTGAGATGAGATATATTTTAGGCTATCTTAGGAAAATATAGTCTTCCCCATCCTCTGTGATGAGAGTGCTCATTGTTTTGTAATATAGATTCTCTCATTCCTTTAAAGAATAATTCTGAGAGTTATAACTGGGTCCATAGCTATTTCACTAAAAACAGTTTCTAGCTCTCTTTTTTTTTAAAGTTATAACAAGTTAAAAGTTTATTTTATTTTTTAATTAATTAATTAATTTATTTATTATAGCCCTGAGACTAAGTTCCAGCCAAGGAATGTGAATGGAAATGATATGCACATTTTCCAGACCATTTCTTAAAGCAAAGTTTGTTGACTGTCATTGACTTCTCTCACCCTGTTTCTACTAGCTTAGAAATGATGAAGATCAGAGCAATCATAGGAGCCCCACTTGTTTTTTTTTTTTTTTTTTTTTGAGACAGAGTCTCGCTTTGTCACCCAGGCTGGAGTGCAGTGGCATGATCTTGGCTTACTGCAACCTCCACCTCCTGGGTTCAAGTAATACTCTGCCTCAACCTCCTGAATAGCTGGGATTACAGGCGTCCGCCACCACACCCAGCTAATTTTTGTATTTGTAGTAGAGATCGGGTTTCACCATCTTGGCCAGGCTGGTCTTGAACTCCTAACCTCATGATCCACCCGCCTTGGCCTCCCAAAGTGCTAGGATTACAGGCATGAGTCACCATGCACAGCCAGGAGCCCCATTTTAATGACAATGGAGTCTCTCTACTACCCCTGAGCTTTGTATCTTGGAATTGTTTCATAAGAGAAGAATAATGTATGCATTCCATTCTATACTCTGCCTATTCCTAGCCTAATTTGCCCACTACCAGGCACAATACCTATCTATCTTGATCAAGAAATTGTATCGATAGATCTTTTCATCATAGCAGCTTATGCCACTTTTAGATTTGGTACCTTCATATACTATTTTCCAAGCCTCTAGAGTAATTATACACTATTATATGACAAATTTTCTGGATTAGGCTGAAATCCACTAAGGTAGGAGATGGTGATACAGTAAATAATAGTGTTACTAACCTATAAAGTAAATAACATATATGTTTACTTTTAAAAGTTAACTTGCTCTACCAGCAATAATTTACTCTTCACCAATCACTAATAACTTTAAAGCTTATTGCTCATAACAATTTTCCCAGAGGGTGTAGGCAAATATTGTTGGTGTAGGCACAGAAAGAATGGGGAGAAAAAAATAGAATTTTTCAAGTTGAAGGCAAATTCAATTTTATGAACCCAAAATTATGATCTTGTTTAAACTCTAAGCAATTATTACTGATGTTTCTGTTTATAAAATTATAAAAAATTCTGTTTAAATATATTTCCTACAATTGAAATTTTCTTTAATAATGCTGTAGAATATATGCTTGACTTGCTAAAATTTCACCTGTATTTAGATTTCCTCTACACATCTTTTAATCTTCTTTGCCAAGCATATTAGGAGGAGATAAGCTTTGTTGATGCCATCGTTAATTGAGAAAAAAATAATCTGTTAACTTTGTAACTGCAAATGGAAGCTGTGTAGTTCTTCAGAAAAGAGATTAGTGATACATGCATTTCCTTACTTCAGAGATAACAGTTTAAATTTTAACTATGTCATGTAAGCTATAAATATTTCACTTTAAAATTAGAATTTAAAAAATAAGGAATTTCAAGAGAGCTGACTTAGGCCTTGGACATCTGAGTAGACGTAACAAATCAACAAAGGAATAAAATTGTATGAATTTCATTCTATATTCTGCCTATACCTACCTGAATTTGCCCACCTCCTAACACAATTTCTGTCTGTCTGTCATCTATCTATCTCTCACTCAGTCTCTATCTACACACACACAATATGTATGTATGTATGTGTATATATATGTGTGTGTGTGTGTGTATACACATATATTTTAAAAGTTTATTTCTCATAACAATTTTCCCAGAGGGTGTAGGCAAATATGGTTTGTATGGGCAGAGAAAGAATGGGGAGAAAAATCATATATACACACATACATATATATATAATGTTTTTGGCCAAAACATGTAACATAGCTGAGTTTAGATTAAAGAAGTAGGGCTGAATGACCCAGCCACAATATGAGGGCACTGAAAAGTTACATAGCAAAAGACACTGATCCAGAGAAAGTTGAAATTTTGAGGCTGTTTGTGATAAATTCATCCTCCATCATCTCTCATCCTCCTGCTTCCAACATTATCAGGGTTTGAGATATTTCCATTCTTTTCTGTTCCTGAGGTTTCATTTCTTGCTTCACTAAAGTTGATTCTCTAATACCTTTGTCAAGAAGGGTACATAAAAATTGTATTCCCTCTGGGAATAAATGTTGTGGAGTACATATTTTTTTCTTGAAGAATTAATAGATATTGTACCATTATTTCCTAGCATTCAGAATTGCTATAACAAAAGACCTACCTAGCATTTTTAATCACCGTACTACTCATAAACACTTCAAGCTCTGAGAGCCTCAGGCCAGGACCCAAGCTATTTCTCCAAATAGAGTTGGGAGAAATCCTGGAATAGACTGGTCACAGTTCTTCCTATTATAAAAAGCAGAGTCTGTAGATTGCTTGATAGCTGAATAAAGGACAAATTGGGGGATAATCCTCTGCCTTTTTCCTAACAGCCATGTATCTCAAATAAAATTCATGTAAGTCATCAGGTTTATTTGGTTTTAAACAACTCTTGCTGTCAAAGATTTATCATCAAATTCTGACAAATTTTTTTTCCCTAAACTGAATTTCACTGTATTTAGAATGGCAAGATTTATTAGTACTTCAAAGGGGAATAAAGTTGTTCCCAACACATTAGAAAACAGAAGCCAAAATACTCTTCACCTCTAGTATTTGTTTCTGTTCTCCCCAAATCTCTATTTAAATGAAGGGTGTCATAAAAATTGCTCTTAGACGTGTATCTTTTTCCATCTTGACTGCCACAGTAAATGTATTCTGTTTTGAAATTTAGAAGATTATAGCATCCTAGAAAGTAAGAAGTAATAGTTATTCCTTGTTTTGATCCCAATGGTTGCTGATGTATTAGCCATCTCATTTCATGGTTATTCTTTCCTTTCACAGTCTATTAACTTGCTGTTCCAGGATCAACAATCTGTAACTCAGTGGAGAGGCCACAACACGTGCAGGGATTTAAGTGTTATCTTCTAAGGTCATTTGTAGTTCCAAGTGTATTTGGTAGAATTTCCTCTTTTGACTCAATTTCATTTTATCTGATCATCTTGGAGGAGAAGAATTGACTGCAACTCGTGTTGTATTTTTAATTATTGTTTGATTCTTTGTCCACTTTCTTTTTTTCCTATTAACTAGTTTAAAAAATAAAAGAAGTGTGTTTGTTTTTTCTTTGTCCCTTCCCTAGCTATCGTTATTGAAAACCATTTGCTGTTCCCTGGTTTCTGCAAGAGAGTTGAGCCAGAATTAGAAAGGTTTGCATTGGCACTGCTGCACACAAAGTCTATCATCTCCTAGTTGCTATTATCCCCTAGAGAAACTAGAAAGCAGAGTGGAAGTTTAGAATCAGCTGATTCTTGCATTCAGTCAGGATTTTAGTAGTTTAATATATTTTATCAGCCTTAGCAATGGAAAAACTTCACTATAATTATGGGATATATCTACTGTAAGCAATCACCAATCTAGATTCAGAGTTTGCTGAGGTTTTCCCAAATATGCGTCTAAAACTTAAAAATTTAATTTGTTCTTATTATATGTAAAGTTAGCTTATTCTACTGAAAAATAAAACATTTAAAATATCAGGGAAAAATAATTACTTTTTAATAAAAATCAATTATAATTGGGAAAAAACACTCACTTGACATGAATTTGTCTTACTTTGATGAGTTTTTAAAGCGAATCTCTTTTCCTTGTATGAAAGTTTCTTGAAGTATTGCTACTATTATTAAAATGAATGCATGTCAGTTCTTACACTAAAAGAGAATTATATTAATATTATATAATCCCTGGGTACATTTTTCAAGAGTTCATCTTATAATCACAAACTAAAATGGAAATGCTTTCAATTCAATATGCCAAAAATGTAGATAATGTGTACTAAGGCAAAAACACTTATAAAGATGATACAATTCTAGTAATTTAGGGCAAACAGACAAGTGATTTGGTAGGTGCCATGTCCTGTGCATGGATCCTACTGTTTGGAATTCCAATCATAGACCCCAAAATAATCACCTATGCCCTGTACTGTGAAGTATCAGTCACAGTCTGATAACTAACTTCTTTGCACTATTATTTAAAGAAGAAAATGTAAATACCACACTCCTATCAGCTCGCAATGGAGCAGAAATCTCAGTTCAACACGACGCAGTGAAATAAGAATGTTCTCTGTAATTGCAGCAACCAAAATGATTACCTTTTTACAAAGCTAAAAGAATAATAGCAATAATGTAATAAGGTACTGTGTTGCATTGTTGCCAGTTATTCCTAGCATTGCTGAAAATGCCAGGCGAGAACTGAGAATCCTGCTTTTACTTTTTAGAGGCCAAAAGCCTCCTGCTTTATCCATTTTAATCCTTTATCAGCTTCTTGCCAAATGAATTATCTTGAAATATCAAATGGCAGTTTCAAGCATGGAAAAGATGGAGGATCCAGGAAAAGATCACTGTGGCTTTGGATGTACCTATCTATCTCAGGAGTGCATTTAGCTTAGGAAAGAACCAGTTTTATTCATGAGAGCAATCTGAAACATGGTATTCATTTTGTGATTATAATATTCTTTGGAAGTTGCTCAAAAAACAGTATAGTAACAAATGCTAGAAGTACCTGGAATTGGTGCCATAAGTTGATGATTAATGTGTTACATTGGCACTGTCACTAATCCTGCACTACAGAAAGTCAGCATGTCTTCAGCATAACTACTGCATTGTCTTTGAGGAAGAAATAATTCAATTTGGCTGTGCTTCCTTAATGAGTTCCCAGATTGTCCAAGTAAGGGGCTAAAGTTATGGGTGTAATTCTGTTTGTACACATACTTGTTTAGTAATATAGAATCCAAGAAGATTAATGAATAATTAAGAATTCTGGGATGACAATTCTGACATTTCTACCTTCGTTCAGGCCTTCCTATTTGTCAGAAAAGAGGGACAATTCCCTTGTAACTTCTCAAGTCACTGACTTCAATGAAAAAAAAAAAAACAACACAAAACCACAAAAGTATAAACTGCTCATAAATGAGAAAACTCTCATCTCCCAGATGAAAGAGCTGCCCAATAATAGTTCTTTTAGAAAGGCTTTATTTTCTTTTTAAATATTTTATTATCTGTTTAAAACTTTCAGCTTCAGAGGGTTTCAGACAAACCTGTAATTTCTGTGGTCATTGTTTTCCACATACAGTCCTTCAGACCTGAGTTTCTCCAGCTCAAGCCTGAATTTATGCACAAGTCAAAAAAGGCTCTCATTTATATGCTGAGCCTCGAGGGGTTCTTTAAAAACATCCTAACCAAAAACCAGTCAATAGTTGCAAAGTCACTTGGTAATTTGGCCATTTCTGAACAAACGGAAACTTATATAAGATAGATAATTCATTCTAAAATGTTATATTTGGGAGAATCATTATGAGCCACTTTAAAGAGTCAGTGTCTCACATAAAACAGAAAGCTTTTGAACATATTCTTCCTGTGCCATTTTCTGTAAGCTAAGTGTTAAACAACTGTATCCCAAAGATCACTGGATTTGAACACATATTGGCATGTTTGGTTTCTTTTGTTTTTCCTTTCATTCAACACCACTGTTGAGCAATCACTGAATGAGTTGTAGGGATATAACAGTGAATAAAACTGATAATAGGGGAAATAATGGGAGAAAATAAGCAATAATCGGGTAACCGAATATCACTGATAATTTAAATACAGACAGATATAAAGCATAAAGTAAAGCAAGTTAGTGGAATGTATACCTTATGTTGGGGTGAGGTGTGCTTCTCTAAAAAAGTATCATTCAAGCAAAGATTTGAATGTTGAGAAGGAGCCATCCATGCAAAGGCCTGAGAGACTTGTGTTCCAGGCAGAGGGAACAGCAAATGCAAAATCCAAAACAGCAGAAATCATGATAACAAAATACACATGTTGCTTTAAGGTTAAGTTAAATATAAACTATTTCTATGATAGCAACATCCGTAGAACATGAGCCCACTAACATTGCATAAGATTCTGAAAGTCATCCTGGTCTCTGCCTTACCAGTATTTAAGTAACAACACTAAGAAACCAAGAGGTGGATAATTTGCTTTGTAAATTCACATGATATAGTTTTAATGTGTTGATGGAAAAGTCAGATTGTCCTTCTCATTACTCAGGATTTTGCTCTATTCTTGATATCTTTCAAAATCTATCATTGTCTACTTTTAAAAACAAAAACTCAAGAGGATTCAATGTCATTAATATCAAGTTATTAAACAGGCACAACAGTCTCTTTCAGTTAAAGCATTTGTTAGTTTGCAAGAACTCTTTTTGACACTGACTAACCATCACCGTGTAAATAATAGATCTACCACTCCAGAAAGCAGTTTTCCTCTATTGACATTTGCCTCTCAGCAGCTTTTGATGCCAGACCAAAAGAAATGGAATTGTGTGGATATAATTACTTGTTGTAGCAGCAGTTAATGCATTCACTATTGTTCCCCAAGGACTTAAAGGCTCAAATATCTATTCTCTGAATTTATTAGAACTAAGATTCACACATTTCTGTAGTCATAGTGATTTGGGAACACAACAGGAATAAAACAGAAGTTAGAATATTACTTCACAGCTTCAAAATTAAACTCTCTGCTGAGGGGGGGTATCCTTTCAAATTTGCATACTAACGTTTGGCCAAGATAAAACTTCCAATGGCATAATTAAGTGTTCCTGAACTCGGTTTCTGAATGCATTTGGAAAAGGTGGCTATGAACATTAAGAACTGTATTGTTTAAAAGCAATCTAAAAACCGCTTTGAAAACAATGTGAAGGTGGTAGGTGGACTGAGAATTTTCAGACTCCTGCATATATGATATGATACTTTGAAGAAATATTGGTGATTATATTGAGTATATAAAAGTAAAATTCCCGTTCCCAAAGAAATATCACAGAGTAATTTCAGAAATATTTCTTCATATTTACAAACATGGAGAAATAGAATTTGTTCTTCATTTTTTCCTGTATCAGATGGAAATTCTAAAAAAAGAATATTTCCCTTCACTCTATTTTCTTTCTCATAAACTCCAACTCTAATGGTAAATTGCATGGAACCAGTTCCAAATACACACTCTCTCTCTTAAAAATGTAATAATCTCAAGCTAGAGGAAAGAAAGATAGCCAATGAAAAGAGATGCAGATAAAAGACAACTGAGAAGAAGCTTAAAAGGTTTTCCTTTTAAGCTTTTCTCTGTTCTTCCATCAGCAAAGAGGAAAAAGGAGGATAAAAAGAAGGTAAAATGTTTCACTCTTAAGAGGGTTACATTAGCATGTGGTTTCAATGTGCATCCAACTATAAATTCTTTCTAGCAAAACATTACTTAATATTGATACCTAGGGTATAAGAGTGGGAATGAATCACTGAAAATTCGGATGGACTTACATAGATACTAGCAGTTGTATTTATACATGGTTAAGGGAAGAATAATGCTCAGATAGTTTAGAGGTAAAGCTGATCTTCAGGACTGAGCACAGAGACAGTCTACTTATTAGCCTAATTGGGTATGTATCAGATAAGGTTTACCATATAAAGAGAGGATGTCTGCTTCATCTTGGGGGTTAGAGGGGAGGTTGAATGTTGTTAGAGAAGTAGTTTGGAGTTCAATGCCACCCATATAGTGTTCTGGCACAGACTTTGAAGGAATTTTTTTGTTAAGTTCAAAGGAAAGAGCGGGTACTAGATGAAATATGTCATTGAAGACCCTCTTCTTGTCTAACATTAAAAGTTGTTCCATAAACTAAGAATGTAAGTCAGTACTCTTTGGGTTTTTAACAAATTTTGACCTGGTCAGAGAGGACCTTTCTCCACTGGCCTCACTGTAATAACACTCCCAATCATGTGGTAGGACTTCTATGCTGAAGTTGGAGTTTATACATACTTGTGAGCCTCAATCTTTTAATAATCACTAATGTTCACTTTTGTCCTTGAACACAGCACAGTGCTGACCAAGTAACATGCCTTCAATGGTAAATTATTACCTCCAAGTCTTTATGTAATCTTTAGTACCAGGATAGATAATATTTTTCTGGTGAGAAACTGACATTGTAATGGTGTCATCTAGTGGGATACAGCAAATATAGTACCTGGCTCCGGTGTCAGATTTGGATTAGAAGGGTTGTCTCCAATTAGACTTGGAAGATTGAACCAACCTCCTGAGCTCTACAGTTGTATCTGTATCACAATTTCTGTAACTATTTCTTCTGCTCCCAATTTTCTCTCCTGAATTGCTAATAGAGATAAATAAATTGATGTGATTTTGTTTGCTTTGTCTTTTCTTCATTCAGGAAGGTAGAATATAGGTGAGCCAAAGGAATCTATTAGGGCATTGTCTAATTAACAAAAAGAGCAAAAGAAGAACGGAACATGGCAGCCCAACTGTGAGTTCTGGTTACATCACTTACTCGCTTCACATTCTTGGTGTACTTGCTAATGTTCAGTAAGACAGCCAAAAATGAGGATGCTAAGACCTATTCTCCCTACTACTCCACTGATATCAGGCATCCTCGTATTTGTAGTAGCTGTTACCTTTGCTTGGAGTAACTTCCTTCAAATGTCCACTTTGCTAACTTGCTCAATCTCCTTAAGTTTTTGTGCCTATAGCCTGTTTTCCACAAAGCCTTCCATGGACACCATATTTAAAATTTCAAGCTAGTTTCCTTCATCACTGTTTTTTTCAGCATACTTAATATATTTTAATAAACAATAAAAACGTTTTATATATTATGTTTGTTGTTTATTATTCCTTCCTCTGGAATTTAAACTTCACAAGGATAGTAATTTTTATTTATTTTATTCCCTGATATCCCTGACTCATAGTAAGTACTTCTATTGATTATTAAACCAACAAATAACTAAATTATATTTAGCAACTAAAATGTTTACTTAACATATAAAATTGTTGCTTTACTTAAAAAATCTCTACTATAGAAAGATTCACAAAGTTACAAAGATGAAAGATAAGAAAGGAGAAAAATTACTATATACCACACAGATTTTATTTCTCCCATTTTTCTCTTTTTAATGTACTTACTTGGGTAACCTTTGTTGAGGACATACTCAATCTCCACACAAGGGAAAGAAGTAGAGGATGGACTTTGTAGTTTGCAGTTTAATGGGGAAAATAATTTTTTGGGGGCCTGATTGTGTTAGACATCTTAATAAATTAATGATAGCAGAGGGGTCTTTCTACTAAAAACACCCAGCTTGGCTGCTGCTGATTTAGAGTTTTATTCTTTTAGCTGGAATGATCATTGGTCTCATTTTATCACATCACTGAAGTCTGTTTTTTCAGCTCACAGCCTGAGGACATGCAATCCATAATCAAAAGTCAGAGGAACTCAAAAATGGCAGCCTCTCTTGTGAAACACAATTCATTCCATGGGATATTTTACATTTGTGGTCTCTAAGCCACTTAGAAAGTAAATAACCCAACTATACAAGTGACAAGTAGTGACCCCCATGCTACTTTAGATGGAGATTTGCCAGGAGAAAATTATGTAAAATGTAGGTAGGTATCAATATTTCCCAGATTTATAATTTAGACTGTGGCTTTATTAGCTTTAGTTACCAGTGACTTATGGTTCAGGATGGGAGTTTAAACTTATATGTTTGTTGCCAAAAAAAAAAATGATGATAACAATTCATATGCTTAAGTTTAAACAACATTTTAGGACTAGATTTTGCCACTGAAGGAAAAATAGGCTTTAAAAAAAGGGATACGGACAGTGGGGAAGGAGATTTTCCTTTTAAAAAGAGAAATTTCTGAAGATAAATAACAAAAAAAAAATGAAAGTAAAATGGGTAGACTGGGTCTCTCTCTGATAGAAGCCTCCTCAAACTCACAATTGAAAAGACAGGGTTTGAATGTAAACAACTGTTTAGACCTATGAATACTCAATAACCTAAGAAAAATGATAGAAATCTAGATTTAGGAACAAAAAATTAAACTAGTAGGGGAAGATTTGTTCTAACTATATATTCATTTTTATTACTAAATAGAGCACATACTCGAAGACTGAAGGGCCTGTACTTGGATTCTGTCACTTTCTCAGGGCCTCCCCAAGACTGGAGAGAGGCATTAACAGTAACATAGGCAAAGCTCAATTGTCTGCTGAGATAGATAAACAAAATGATATGTCAAGCAACAAGTGTATGACAATATGGAGTGCTGGGAACTGTGAATACCTGGATTACATGTTCAGAGACAACAGTCTTCACACTGTTGTGAACAGAATATTGACATTTTGATTTAGCTTGTAAACTGCCATTTTTTTTTTTTACCTCTCTTTAATGGGTAAAAGAGATCAACAAAATTTCCCCTATCAGAATAAAGGAAGAATCTACTTCAAAGAAAGAAGCCAGTCTCCTCCTCCATAGAATGCAGATGTTGTCAATTCTTATAGTTTTATGGTGTCTCAGCATCTATTCTGAACCTAGGTTTAACTTCGCATACCAGAAGAAGGGCTTAGTAACTCTTGACACAGTTTTCATTTCTCTAGCTCTTTCTGATTCTAAGTGTGGTCCATCCAGATATCTGCCTTAAGTAACCACCTCCTAGTGTCCAACTCCCCATGGGATATGCAGAGATAACCTCCTTGACTCACCTCACTGACTCCACTCTCCACTCAGTATGCAGGTATGCTACAGGGAGCATTCCCTGTCCCAGTCACCACATGTGACTCACACCCGCTTGCTCTGCATCCACCAATTAGAACTCCATGTGGGAAACTTGCTGGGGTAATGTCCTGGATCCCAGTAAAGCCTCAGGCTATAGGTCTATCTCTCTCTGTCTCTCTTGCTCCCCACCTGCTGTTTGAACACATTGCCCTGTGACCTCTCATTGGCTCCCAGAGGCATCTCTCTACTCTCATGGATCTGAGAATAATATACTTTCTGTTATGTCATGTGTTTTTGTTTTATGGCCTCCTCTTACTTGACTGACACATGCAGATTTAACTTCTTTCCCAGTCAGGGCTCTCCTAGAGAGTGGTCTGGGCGATAGAGCAAGACTTCATCTCAATAAATAAATAAATAAATAAATAAATAAAAAATAAAGAAGTACAACAAAACACATCTGGCCAACTAAAAATCATATTATTGTTTTTTAAATTCAATACTTTTGAGACCTATTTTGAACTACATATACCAGTATATGTAAGTACATATTTATTAAAGAACATAATTATGTTTATTTCAACATTTAATATATTTACTTTCATGCTACATTATTATGCATGTTATTATGTCATAATGACATAATTTATATAGTCATTTCAGATAAGTATATCTTGACCTTGTCTATTTATAGCTCTTCTTCTAGACTATGGAATTTTTTCCATACTACAAGAACTATTTCTTGTTTACGATTGTATTTCAAAGCCAAGCACAATTCTGGATTAACGTATATAGAATAATTTAAAATATTTTTTAAGTGAGGTTATTCTAAGACAGATGTTATCTATTTACAGTTTTACTTTGGGTTGTCTTGCTTTTATGTCCTGGAATGGAGGTGTCTTTCTCTCTCTTCCCCTTTCTACCTTCCCCCTCCCCCATTATCTTCTTCTCTCTACCACTGGATCATAACTGGATGAACATTTCTAGTTTCTTGCTTCAACTCTGTAGACCCACATTTGCCATCCAACAGATAATTCCAATAGCTAGACTTGGAAGAAAGTATATGGTCTGTAGTCTAATTTCTAATTTAGCCTTATAAGTGGTAATGCTGATATTTGGTTTCCATATGTCTGTTACAAATGTCTACTTTTCCATTGGCCTATGTCAAATCATGGGGTAGAAAAAAGACTGTGACTAATTATCAAACTCCAACCCCAATATCTATGGTGATGATGCTGGGTTGGAAGGTGTGCTATTGAGGATGACAATTTCAAATAAAGTTTTCCAGTTCATTAGCTTCCATTACCAAGACCTCTTGCTGACTCCTCTGCAAATTGTTCTTCCTTCCATCCTCTCCTTTCCTTCTTCACTAATCAACTAGGTGGGCGTAATTACTGATCTTAGGAATGGGGTAAAGAGTATAAGCTGTCTGAGCAATGTGTAGCACAGAACTTATGTAATGAGCAACAGGATAAATTTCTTGGATCAAGAAATGCAATTCCTGTAAAACATTTGATGTCTTTTGAAGTTGATTGCAATACTATAATAAGAAACTAGGCCCATTAAAAAAAAAAAAAAACCGTATCATGTACAGATGCCCCTTGACTTACAAAGGGGCTACATCCTGACAAACTCAATAAGCCCATTGAAGGTTTCAAATACTGTCAGTTGAAAATGCACTTAATACACCTAACCCTCCAAACATCCTAGCATAGCCCAGCCCACATTCAACATGCTCAGGACACTTACCTTATCTACAGTAAGACAAATCATCTGGCAACACAGTACACTGTGGAGTACTGGTGTTTACCCTTGTGATTATGTGGCTGCCTGGGAGCTGTGGCTCACTGCCACTGCCCAGGATCCGGAAAGAATATTGTACCACATATGGTTAGCCCAAGAAAATATCAAAGTTCAAAATGTGAAGTACAATTTCTCCTGAATGTGTATTGCTTTTGTACCATCGTTAGGTTAAAAAAAACTTAAGTCAAACCATTGTAAGTCGGGGACCGTGTGTATTCTCTAAAGTAAATACAGAGGCAACACCTCTTTATGAGTAAATTACAATAAAATAAATGTATGTCTGTATGTTTTCTCAAGCTCTGAAAGGTCTACCTCTCAATTGTCTCATCTATAAACTGGTAATCCATTTAAACCATGCTCTTCCATTTTGTTAACTAGTCAAATAAGTAACTCATCCAAAAAGAGGGTGGTACATTCATGCCTTCTGGATTACTAACTTTCCTCTGACATAAGGCATCACTTCAAATATTGGCAGGTAAGAACCAGAGAGCAGTATTTACTTTCTTGGAATTTGGTATTACAACCCCTCTGGCTTCCCCAAATAATTGCCCATATTTTGCCATCTTGACCATTCTTCCTGTAGTGTTTGAGGGCAAAGGGCAGGAGCTCCATTTACTCGTTATAGATGTGCCTAAGATTTGGTTGTTATGCCGACAAACAAATACTTCATTGTTTTCTATAGAATTTTAGGGGTCCCATTTTTAAACTGCACCACTGTATATGTCTTCTCTCCTTGAGATAAAAGTTGCAAACTAATGGTCCCTGGGCTGAATTTGACCCATGGAAAAATTAGTTTTAAAAATTAAACTCTTCATTTTGGGCTAATTATAGATTCATATTCAGTTGTAGGAAATACAACAGAGAGATCCAATGGACTCTTTATCTAGTTTCCTCCAATAATCACATCTTGCAAAGCAATTGTAGAGAATGACCACCACGATACTGACATAACTACAATCCACCAGTCTTATCTACACACATCTTTTATTGCATAATTTTACCCTATATAGTATTTTCAATCTGAATAGCAGCTAATAGTTACAAATCAAAAACTTTAAATAATGGTATAGATTTCTGATTTTGCTTTAAAAAATCCTATTTCTCAAAACTGGGACTGCATTCTATACATAAAATCAGGCTAGAAGTGAATAGCAGTTCGATTACACAACACACATTCTCCCTTTTATACTAGTACTCAGCTACTCGATTTATCTTCTTAACAGCTAACACAATTCATGTAGTTATGCTCTTATGGTTGTCTCTTCTATCACCTGTGTGGGAAGTCCCTAATTCCTATTTTAGCTTGTCCATACTCCAGTGTCCCAAACCTTGTCAGTTTATCCACCAGAGGGCACTCCAGCCCCGCCTGTGTTTAACTGTAGCCTGGAAGAACGAAGATAACATTAGGCCTCTGAAAGGTGAATAATTGGGGTCCTGAGTGAAGCAGGCCAAATATTTCTCAAAGAGAACAATGTCACCAGGTAAAAGCAAATGAAATTATACAATGCCAAATGAATAGTTTTTTTTTTAATTTTCAGTCTTGGCATTTCCCTGAGGTCCAAACATACATTCAACAACCTACGTGACATTTCCACTTGGAAATTTAACACACTGAAAATAGAACATTTATTACTTTTCTTCTACACCTGCTTCTCTTACTTTCCCCATTTCAGTAAAAAGTTATGCCATGTACCCAATCTTTCAAATCAAAGACGCGGAAATCTTCAACTCTTCCTTGATTCATCTCTTTACCTCAAATCACCCTTCTCTTCCCTACATGTAGACTTTATCTACAAATCTGATTGCTGATGCCTCCAAGGTATTTTTTAAATCTATTTATCATCAAGGCTAAGCCAACATTGTTGCTCATCTGGACTACTGCATCTGCATTTGCTTCCATTTTTACCACTAGAATCCATTCCATATGTTAGTTAGATCGCTTTCCTGAAAGCATAAATCACAACCTACAAGGCTCTGCAATTTAGTATCTGCCTACCTCTCCAGTACCATTTTATTTTATTCTGAAAATTGTTAACTCCATTTCACTCTCTCTCTATATATAATATATAATTTATATAATTATGTATATAATTATATACATATATATTTGTTTGTTTTACAAAAGCACCCTTTTTGATGTGCTGTTCTTTTTTCCTGGACATGCTTTCCTAAGTTATTAACAAAGCTCACCCCACACCCTTTTAGTTCTTAGGTGAACTATCACCTTATTTAAATATCACCTCATCACAGAGGCTTTCACTCATCATCCTGGCTAATATGGCACCCACCTCAATACCACTTCTGACTTTATGCACTCTTCTATTACTTTGTTGTATATATCATTATATTATTATATTTCTGTGTTTGCATATATAATTACTATCTATATCTTATAGCTACTATATAAGTTCCATAAGATCAGAGACTGCATATGTTTTTTCACTTCTGTATTACCCAAACTCAGAATATTTTCAAGGACATAGGCCATGTCTATTAAAATTTTTTAGAATGTATAGATGAAAAGATTAATTATAAATAATATTTGAATTTGGCAAAAATTATGAAAGCCTGATAAAAATTGTAATATTTAATTAATTTGTAAAATTAAAACATCATTATTATGAATACATATTAAGATATGTATTTAAGATAATTATCTTGAATAATAATGCACTGGAATTTCTATTTCCAGCCATGATAGAATAACAGAGCACAGATTTGGCTTCTCATGTTAAACAACTGAACCGTCAGAAAAATATATGAAAATAATGATGTTTCAAGTATCAGAGAACAATCAGTGCAGACAGTAACACCTAGGAGAGAAGAACTAATGAAATGAGCTTTAAGATTGCTGTGCATACTGCTCGGAGAATTTCCAGGCCATAGCACAACTCAAATATCACAGCTCAACTGGCTATCTGCTTAAGTTGAAGGGACAGAGTTGAACATTCTGAGAAGTCAAAGTGGTTAGAATTTGCAGGGCAGGTTACTGGAGAGAAGAGAAATGCACAGACATCCAAATGTCTGCAGATGGCTCCTGTAAAGTCTTCAGCTGAATGCTGGTCAGCACATTCACGTAAGGGAATTATCTGAAGGTAGGGGAAAAAAAATCACCAGAAAGGAATAATCAGAACAATCCCTACAGCTCACTCAGAGCCAGGAATAGTTTGTGTTTTCACTAATTCAAATGAAAAAAATAATCTTGTTAATATACAAGGCATCAAAAAGAGTGCTAAGAAATATTTCTCTTAAAGAGGAAAAATTAGCTCTGGACTAATGTGCTGGAATTTCTATTTTCTGGACTAGTGGCTACTCTGGATCCACCTAACAAAGCAAAAAGCAGGAATTGAAGTGATCAAACTGTTTTCAAATGATGTAATTGTGTCTCAGAATAAATTCTAAGTATATTTCACTGAGATGGAATATGTAGGACCTAACAAAATAAATTTCAAAATACCTAGCATCTAATAAAGAAATGAGCAGATATTCAATGAAGTAGGAAAATAAGATTCTTAATTAAGAGGAAAAAATAATGAAATGCCAAAAATGATATAATTATTAAAAAAAGAAAAACAGTTTTGATATACTCTATATATACTCAAGATGACAGATAAGCACAAACATGTTAAGGAGAGGCATGGAAGATTACTGGACTTTTGAAGATGAAAAATACAATGTCAAAGAGGAAAAAGGCATTGCATGGCATTGCCAAGAGGTTAGAAATGGAAGAAGAATACATTAGTGAACTTGAAGATATATCAATTAAACTATCCTGGATGAACTCAAGAGAGAAAAATGAGTGAAAAAAATGAACAGTATCAGTGAGCTGTGAAATATCAAATGACCTAAAATACATTCAAATCATAGAATCCCCAAAGCAGAGGAAGAGGGCAGAGAAATACATGAAAAATAATGACTTCAGTTTTTTTTTTTTGTTTTCAAATTGATGAGAACTATAAACCACAGATTCAAGAAGCTTACAAACCCCAACCTTAAGAAACATGAAAAAAACTGCAAGGGACATCATAATCACATTGCTTAAAACCAGTGATAAGAAAAAAAATCTTAAAAACAGCCACAGGAAAAAGATACATTATGTATAGGAAAATGAAGATAAGAATACAAGTCAGGATTACTGTGGCAGTACTTTTTTAAGTAAAGGAAGAAAAAAAAAGGACCTATCAAACTAGAATTCCATATTCTACAAAAATATCTTTCAAGGAAAATGAAAAAAAAAAGGCAATACAAAGGCTAACAAAATTCACCACCAGCACTGCAAAGAAATGTTAAAGGAAGTTCTTCAGGAAGATAAAAATCTCAATCTATTCAAGGAATGAAGATCAACAGATAAAGTAAGTATGCATGTGAAAATAAAATATAATTTTCCTATTTATAAGTTTCTTTGAAAGATAATTGATTTTTAAAAATAAAAATAACTGAATTTATCATATAGGTGTGTAGAAGCAAAATGGATGATAACAACAGCACAAAGACTGGGAAAAGGAAATAAAGAGTATACACTAATAAGATTTTACATTATATGTGAAGTGAGACATTACTTTAAGCTAGACAGTGACATATTAAACATGCATGTTATAAACACTAAAGCAAACAGTAAAACACAAAACGAAGAGTTAAAGCTAATTAGCCAGTCAAGAATGTAAAACAAAATTTTTAAATTAATTAATTTAAAATAAGGCAGAAAGAAGGAAAAAAAAAGAATAAAGTGTGAAAATGGAAAACAAATAGCAATATGGTTGATTTAACCTAATCATATCATTAATCAAATTAAATGGTTTTCAACATTCCCTGATTAAAAGACATAGGTTTTCAAATTGGATGTAAAAGTAGGATCCAATTATGTCCTTCTTCAAGAAATACATTTTAAAAATAAAGAAAGAAACAAATTAAAAGTAAATAATGGAAATGAATATACCAAGCTAACAATCAAAGAACAATAGAATTAATTATTTTATACCAGACAAATTATACCGGTAAAGAATATTACCAGGGATAAAGAAGATAATTTGATAATGATAAAGGTATCAGTTGATCAGGACATAATGGTTCTAAACATTTATGCTGCTAATAACAGTGCTTCAAAATACATGAAGCAAAACCTGAAAGAACTGAACACAGAAACAGACAAATCACCATTACAGAGACAGATTTCAATACCTCTCTCTAAATAACTGACAGGACAATGATACAGCACTTTCAAGCACTATCAACCAAAATGACCTAGAACGCTCAACCAAATAAGTACCAATGATGTACACATTACTTTCAAGTACCCATAGAACGTGTAGCAAGATAGACCATACTTTGTCAAAAAATGAGTTTGCATAAACTAATTCAATTATGACAAAGTATATTCTTTGACCACAATGAAAATAATATGAATTAGAAATCATTAACTAAAAAGAATGGGAAATCTAAAATATTTTAAAATTAAATAAAACATCTTAAAAACCGATGGATCACAAAAAAAAAGAATCAAAAGGGAATGACACAGCATTTTGAACTGAAATAAAATGAAAACACAACATATCAAATTTTATGGTAGGGTAGCTAAAGGAATGTTTAGAGAAAATGTTGCAGAATTCTTCAATTAATTAGCAAAGCTTAAAAGAAATGACCTAAACTTCTAATTTAAGAACCAAGAAAAAGAAGCATAGATTAAACATAAAGCATATAAGAGTTATCTATAAAAGAACAGCAAATTCCACTGAAAGAACAGAAAACGTGCAATAGAAAACAGAAAAACAATAGATAAAATCAATAAACCGAAAGCTAGATTTTTAGAATAATCTGTAAATATGAATTAGGAAAAAATTATCAATATTAAAAATGAAAGAGGGTAATCACAACATACTTTACAGGCATTAAATTGATAATGAGGGATTTTATGAATAACTCTTGCCAATAAAAACTAACAACTTAAATGAAACAAATTCCTTGAAACACAAACTATTAAACCTAAATATTCCTATATCTATTAAAGTAATAGAACACATGTATTTGAGAATATTCCTACAAAGGAAACTCTAGGTACAAAAATATTCACTGGCGAAGTTAACAAAATATTTTAGGAAGAGAAAAAATATTACTTCCACACAAACCTTTTCAGAAAGTAGGAGACAAGGGTATACTTCCTCACTAATTGTATGAGACCAATATTGCCCTGATTAAAAAAAAGAAAATCAGAAGAAAAGAAAACTACAGAGCTTCGTCTGCTCATTAACTAACATGCAAAAATCTCAAAATTTTAGCAAGTCTCATCTTGCAATGTATAAAAAGAATATTTTCTGACCAAGTGGGATTTATCCCAGTAAGGGAAATTTGACTTAACATATACAATTTAATGTATTTCACTGTATTCACAGATTAAACATGAAAAATCATATGACCCTCATAACAGATTCAGAAAAAATGAAAAAACAAGTGACAAAGTCTAATATCTGTTTATGATAAAAACTCTCAAGGGACTAGAAATAAAAGTGAACTTGCTCAATCAGATAAAGGATATCTATAAAAAGCATACAATCAACACCACTTTTAATGGTGAAAGACAATGCTTTCCTCCCTAATATTAGGGAAGAAACAAGAATAACTGCTGTTACCACTTCTAATTTACTAGATTGTACTAGAGACATTACCCAGTGCAATAAGACAAAAACAACAAAGGAAGAAAGAGAGGGGGTGGGGTGGGAGGGGAGGAGAAAGAGAGAGAGGAAGAAAGAAAAAGAGAAATAAAATACATACAGAATTACAAGAGAGATGTAAAACTATCAGAGATGATGTAATAGTCTATGTAGAAAATCCAGGTAAGTTATACAAAAAGCTGTAGACCTAATAAGTGAATTTAGAATGTTTGCAAGATGAAAAGTCAATATACAAAAAATCAATTGTATTTCTATGTACTAGCAATGAAAAATTTACAAATTGAAATGAGAAAAAACATAATTTATAAATGTATCAAATATGAAATAATTAGGGATAAGTTTGATTAAAAACTTTCAGGACCTATATGCTGAAAACTATGGAAAGATTTCTAAGTGAAATTAAAGAAGAAATAAAGTGAGAGATAAACTATGTTTATGAATTAGAAGACTCAACATTGTTATTTTGTCAATCTTCCCAAACTGATATGTCTACGTTCAAATCAATCTTAAACAAAAGAGTACCATGTTGTTTCTACAGAGATTAATAAACAAATTCTAAAATTAACATAGAAATTCAGAAGAGCTACAATACTTCCCCAAAAAAATTTAAAATAGAAAAACAAAATTGTAGGACTTATACAACCTGATATCAAAACTTAGCCATAAAGCTATGAGAATGAATACATTCATATTAGTATAAAGATAGATACAGTATATAGATCAATGAAGCAGAATATTTTAGAAATAGACCCACACATACATGGTCAATTTATTTTCTACAGTTTTCAAGAAAATTCATTGGAAAAATATTTTTAATAAATGGTGCTGGGAAAAAATGCAAAATCAAACCAAAACCAAACCCCCAAACTCTACCTTATACTGTATGCAAAAATGTGTTCACAATGGATCATATTCCTAAAGAGGACAATTATAAAATGTCCAGAAGGAAAACTAGGAGAAATTTTGGTGACCATGGGCTTGGAAAGACATTTCCTTAATAGGACATCAAAACTATAATCTCTTTTAAAAACATACTTTTTAAAACTTTTAAAAACTTTTTAGGAAGGGAAAAAAATATTACTTCCACACAAACCTTTCCAGAAAGTAGACGACAAGGGAATACTTCCTGACTAATTTTATGAGACCAATATTGCCCTGATTTTAAAAAAATCAGAAGAAAGGAAAACTACAGAGCTTCATCTGCTCATTAACTAAGATGCAAAAATCTCCAAATTTTGGCAAACCTATGAAGTTAAAAAGTAAAAACATAATTTTTATTTTGTCAAAATTAGGAACATTTTCTCTTCCAAATAAAGTTTCTTTTTAGAAAATGGAAAAGCAAGGCAGATGAGAAAATATTTGCAAAACATATCTGATAAATTACTTATGCTGCATTATATCAAGGACTCTCAAACTTCAATAAGATAAATAATAAAAGGAATTTGCAAATGATTTTAACACATTTATCAAAGAAGATATACAGATAGTTAATAAATACATAAAATATCACAAATTCACTAGTCATTAGAGAAATGCAAATTAAATCCAAAATGAGATACCACTGTACATTCTTTATAGTGGGTAGAAATAAAAAGCCTGATCATGTAAAATGCTGGTGAGGGTGTGAAACAATTTTAACTCTTAGGTAATGCTGATTGAAATATAAAATCGGCCGGGCGCGGTGGCTCACGCCTGTAATCCCAGCACTTTGGGAGGCCGAGGCGGGCGGATCACGAGGTCAGGAGATCGAGACCATGCCGGCTAAAACGGTGAAACCCCGTCTCTACTAAAAATACAAAAAATTAGCCGGGCGTAGTGGCGGGCGCCTGTAGTCCCAGCTACTTGGGAGGCTGAGGCAGGAGAATGGCATGAACCCGGGAGGCGGAGCTTGCAGTGAGCCGAGATCCCGCCACTGCACTCCAGCCTGGGCGACAGAGCGAGACTCCGTCTCAAAAAAAAAAAAAAAAAAAAAAAAAAAAAGAAATATAAAATCATACAACTTTGGAAAACAGATTATCATGTTTAAAAAAGTGAAATATACACGTTTCTTCCACTCTTAGGTATTACTTAATGAAGATAAATGAAAACATATGCCCACACAAAGGAATGTGAATGGAATAAAAAAGACAAGAAAACTATGATTCAATTCCATAAAATTCCAGAAAATGCAAGCTTGCCTGTCATAACTGTAAGAATATCAGTGGTTGCTGGAGACAAAAGACAGGTGATGACAGGGAAGAATAGCTGTATTACAAAGTGGCATGAAAATACTTCTTGGAGTGATGGATATGTTTATTTCCTTGATTGTAGTGATGGATTTACAGGTATGCACATATGTTAAGTTCACGAAATTTTACACTTTAAATATATACACTGTGCTACGTGTCATTTATATCACAATGAAGCTGTTCAAATTAATAAACCATGACTCGGTACTTGAAACAAATGACCTGCTCTTCAATCCCAGCTTTTTCATACATTCTTTCTCTAGGTGACCAAAGGCAGGGAGTCTTACATGTTATTAGCATCCCGTGACCTCTTAGCAAATGTCAGGAACTCTTCTTAGTACTGTTCATGGATTATATCTTTATAACGAATTGATAAAGTAAATTATATCATTAATCTCTTAAATGTTATTTTTAAACTCTATAGTTGACCTTTTAAAATGGTTAAGTAACCTGTTTAAAGCCACAGAGTTAGAAGGTAAGTGGGATTTAATGCAGGCATCTGAAATTTGTGCCCATACATTTATTAACAAGATTGTATTACTTCTGGTGGGGAAGTGAGTATTAGGCTCCAAATAATGTGTTGAGGTAGATTGAGTTCCACAAAGTGGCTGTCAGATCAGAAGTCTTTAAAAGCAGAGCAGGAGACATTGCTTCTGTTGCTGATGAAAAACAATTTATTTACAACGGTGTTGACAGCCCTGGAGCCCAGGAAAGGTAAGGACTAGACTCTGCATCCTGCCGGTAAAAAATGATGACTAAGTAAAGTTGATTCTTCATGTAAATTGCTAATAGAGTCACAGTTATTGACATAAGGTCCCCCCTGCCAATCACTTATGTCAGTACAGTTCTGGACAGGAAAAGAACATGAAACAGAGAAAGGCTTGACATTAAAGACATGGGCGTCAAGAGAAGAGATATGTAGGAATTAGTCTAGGCAGACATTCGTTTCAAACACTGGAGTCTGCTTAGTATAATTAGGAGAGACAGAGGTGGTGATTAGGTGTATAACTACCCTTTATTTTAATTCAACTCATTTTATATGAGTTATAATTTCATGATTTTAATCTAAATCAAAAGTTATACATCTGCTATCATTCTTTGCTTACTAAATTTTAATGGTCTAAGTTGCTGACCTGTAGAATGGGCATAGGTATAACCATTTCTATTTGTTGTAGTCTTTATACAACAGTATGCATGTAAAGTAAAAGCTTTCAATTTTTTCCCTAGTTCACTTCAGCATACTGGAGGGATGGGAACTTCCCCCTCACTTTTATCAGTTGCTCACTAAAGTAACAACCTTCAATGGTAAGACAGTCTGGAGAACAGGGAGGCAAGATACATAGTAAGCTGGTAAGCCTAGGGAACATATTAGAATATTGGGAAGATGGGAGAAGTGAGAACAGTAGTTGTTTTTATAAAAGCATTATTAAGTTATGATTCACATACTATAAAATTCAGTTGTTTCTAGTACATTCACAAGTTGTGCAACCATTACTACCAATTCCAGAACATTTTCATCAACCAAGAAATAAACATTAGCACTTACTCTCCCTTCCTCCCCTCTCCCAGTTCCTGACAATCACAAATCTGCCTCTATGGATTTGCCTATTCTGTGGACATTTCATATGAATGGGATCATACAGTATATAACTTTTGTGATTGGATTATTTCACTTACAATAATGTTTTCAAGGTTCATCCATGTAGCAGCATGCACCAGCACTTTATTCATTTTTATGACTGAATAATATTGCAGTGTTTGGATATTACACATATTTTTATTCATTAGGTGATGGACATGTGGATACTTTCTAGTTTTTGGCTCCTATAAATAATGCTGCCATAAATACTGTGTACAAGTTTTTGTATGAATATATGTCTCTATTGAATATATACCAAGGAATGTGATGTTTGGTCTTTATGCTTACTATTTTTAGGACCTGCTAAATAGTTTCCTAAAGCAGCTTTACCATTTTGTAAACTTACCAGCAATGTATAAGGGTTCCAACTCCCTCACATCCTCACCAACATTTGTTGTCTGTCTTGTCCATTTTAGTTATCTTAGTGTGTGTGAAGTGGTATTTCATTGCGGTTTTAAAATTGCACTTGCCTAATAACTAATGTTGAATATCTTTTCATGCTCCTATTGTATACATTCTTTGCAGAAAGGTCCACTAAAATCCTTTGCCCAGTAAAATTTTTTTTTGTTTTAATCACTGAGTTTTAAACTTCTTTTATATGGTGGTTGAAGTGCATTTCTTTTGAGAATAACTGACATCTCTTATTTTTCACAGTAGCTCTCAAAGTGTAGTCCGAGAGCCGCTGGTGGACCCTGAGACTCTTTCAGGAGGTCTAACGGCATCAAAATTATTTCCACTCCACCACGTGTACACTGAATTTTCCAGCTACTACATGTCTGACAGTATAACAGATTAAATATAGAGGCAGACATGAGAATCCAGCTGAATTTACCTAAGCTAGACATTAAAAAGATTTGCAAAAATGTAAAACAATGTCACTTTTCTCACGAATACAAATAATTTTTTGTTTTTGAAAATATTGTCACTTTTCATAAAAATATGTTATGGGTAATGTAATAGGTTTGTCGTTGTTATTTGACATGAATTAATGCATTTTTAAAAAATTTGCCACAGACAGGTGTGATGCTTGGCATGTAGTAGACACTCAATAAAAGCCAATTTTTCCTTTTATAATGCAGCACCATTCAATATTAGAGGAAGACTGTAGATGAATTTATTCACCTGTGCCATATTTTTCATTGCTGCACATAATAAGAAGAACTACACAGAAGAGTGAAAGAATTCAAAAGGTGATATGTGAGAACTTAAAGGAGAACATAATATTTTCCATCCAATGTTTATGTTTCTGACATATAGCTTGAGTAAACCTGGCATTCCTACGTCATGCCCTTGAGTTTCCCACATGCTACCACCAATCAGGTAGAACCAGTTGCTTCCAGGCATTTCTAATAGTGTAATAATTATGAACACGAGCTATGGAATCAAATGATGTGTATACTTCCTTTTAGTGATGCCCTCTTACTAACTACATGAACTTGAAATGGTTACCCAACATTTCTGAGAGATGGTATGTATATCTGTATTGTGATAGTGGTTAAGAGCATGGTTTCTGGAGCTAGACTGCTGGGGTTTTAATCCTAGATCTGCCAATTACTATGTAATCTTAATACATGTTATTTAATGTATTTTTAATTCATCATCTGTAAAAATGAGAATAATAACAGTCCATCCTCATAGTGTTGTTGTGAGATTTTTATATACATAATATATAAAATATATATTATACATTATATATTACATGTAAATTATATAATATATTAGATATATAAAATATACATTATATATTCTATATGTAACATATGGAATATAAGACTAAATTCTAACAATAGATCATCTTTGAAGATTTATTTTTTCCAAGACAGTCTTACTCTACTACCCAGGCTGAAGTGCAGTGGTTCGATTTCCACTCACTGAAACCTCTGCCTCCCAAGTTCAAGTGATTCTCATGTCTCAGCCTCCCTAGTAGCTGGGAATACAGGAGCATACCACCAAGACTGGCTAATTTTTTTTTTTTTTTTGTATTTTTACTAGAGATACGGTTTTGCCATGTTGGGCAACCTGGTCTCAAACCCCTGGCCTCAAGTGATCCACCTGCCTCAGCCTCTCAAAGTGCTGGGATTACAGATGTGAGCTACCACACCTGGCTAACAATATTCAAGTATTTGAATCTTAGAATATTAGAATAATGCCTGGCATAAAATAAGTGTTCTGATAGTGTTTGCCACATTATCATTTATTTCTAAATTTTCTCATCTCTGTAATGAGGATAACAATAGTCCCTACTTCATGGGATTGTTAAAAATATACAAAAATACATTTAATGTGCTAGAGTATCAGGCACAGAGTAAACTCCTGAGAAAATATTAGGTATTATTATTGTTACTGTTAGACAGTTGGCTAGTTAAGGGACCATAAAATCATTAATCTATGATTGTAGTTCAAAAGGATAATTATTCTCAGTTAAATAATTGTATTCTAGAATTTTCATACTAGAAGGAGCCTTGGAATTCTTCTTGCAAAGTCCAGCAATTCTCAATTTAATTTTGAATTTGAATTACCTAGGCTCCAACTCAGTTCTATTAAATCATAGTTTCTGTGGTTGAAGTTTTGGCATCTATATGTCTGTCCAAAACCTCTCCAGGTATTTCTTATGTGTAATTGAGTTTGGGAATCACCATGATAACTAGTCCCTTCATTTTATATTTGAGGGAAGAGAGATTCAGAGAGGCAGGAAGCTTGGTGAGTAAGTCATCTCAAAGCCAAGAGAAGAGCCTCATTTTCTAGACTTCCAGTCAAATATAACTTGTTAGACCTTCATACATCAGTGTGAGTTTTGGATTCTTCTTAACGATAGTTTTATCTATAGAAAGAGCATAGGGATTTTGAAAGCTGGAGCTATAAAACCATTAACTCCATTAACTCTATATAAACCTCCCAGATTCGCAATTTGACTAAGGACTGATATTAGCTTAGTTGCTGGTCTATGCATATTCCCCAAATTTACCAACTTCTCTGTGATATCATCAACAGCAATAGAAAATAGTTACATGTTCTGAAACTTGATAAATCTCTTTCAGACTGTAGAGACCATTGTTGTAGATAGGTCTAAGAAAAAATGGCACTTTGTACAAATGTCACCTCTGATTCTCAATTCACCAATAGGAATTTTGTCTTGTGTTTAGGTGACTAAGGAAAAACTCTCCAATAAAAATAGAATGCTACTAGATATTAGTAACTTGCTTAGAAAAATCTTAAAAGAAAATGACTAGTGACTAGTCCCTACAGAGAAACTGTCAGCCAGAGCCTATGAATGAAGTTCTCAATATAGTTTCATTAATATCATCTCTGTTCACAATAGGCATAACTGGAGCTAGATGTCAGTGTTGGAAAAATTATCAATGTTTTAAGTTGGTCATGTCTTCTTCCACCTATTCTTTAAAAACAACAGCAACTTATAAAGAACTTTATAATCATTACCTCATCGGATTATGTAATTACCTTGATTTATAGTTGAGGATACTGTCTTTGAGACAAGTGATTTGTCGTTAATTATATGTATTAATTGGTATTGTCAACATAGGAACTGTCACAGTTAAATAAAAACCCTGAACTTGACTCCAAGACCTGTCCTCTTTTCAAAACGTCAGAGCCACATTTCCATCTCAATTCTATATTACTTTTTAAAACTGTCTTATAATTTCAAAATATTATTCAAAATAGTTTTATAGGTTATTATTTCCAGTGAGTTAGGCATGAAAAAGAAAAACCTGAAACTCCATTTGTGGTACTGTAGGCACTGTGCTTAATGAGTGCATCATCTTTTGGGATAATTTCCCTCTTGGAATCACCCCAAGTCATGCACATACTGTTTCTTCAGTCTGCAACTCTCTTCCGTTTGTTCTTCCTTTTTTCTTAAGTGTCCTGCCCTGAGAAGTTTTCCGTGACTACCCTAATTCGTACAGCCCATTGTTCACGCTCTCAGACCATTGTTTCTTAACTCAGTAGCCTTATTGCCATTTAGCAGTATTTTTTTGCATGTTTGTTTACTTAGATACTGATTTCTTTTGCCACTGGAGTCCATTAAATCAGTATGTATCCTGTCTTGTTCACCATTGTATCTCTAGAGCCTACTCTGCTCCTTAAATACTTGAATGACTATATAGGTCTACGAATTCTCAAAGCTATTTAACCATAAGGCTAGCTTCTGTCTGTGCAGTGCCAGCAGGGGGGCAGTCTGGGTTGAGAAGCATCATTCATGCCCAAGGACTAATACTTGAGAACACACAATAAAGTATTGATGTTTTGGTGTGAAATGAAACTAAATATGACCCCAAGCTCGCCAGAGAAGATGGACTCCCTGTGGTGGATAAACATACCCAAATTAAGATAATAGGAACCCAGTGGCCATGGCTAGAGAAAGGTGGACATGCACCCCTTGGTTGCCTAAAAGGGCAGCTTCAGACAAACATCCTGTTTGCGCCTCTGAGGTAAGACAGTTTTGACAACTAAAGCTGAGACACTATGGCTGGAAAACTCCTCCTACCAGCTACCTGAAAGGGACATCCTACAGAGACTTCTGGTTTTGGACTTGGAAACTACCCAATCAAGACTCAGCTGTTTTCAACTAGTTGGGAATGGATGAGTTTGAACCCTTGATTTGCACGTACACAGCTGATTGGAGACTGGGGCTAGAACTTTCCCTATCTAAGCCAGACTCCCTCTTTGTTCTGCTGACTATGCTGCAACTCCCCATCTGCAGATTTTTTTTTAATAGAAAATAAAGCTCTCATTTTCTTTTTCTCCACAGACTTCATGATCTTTTATTAACACTGGTGTGGTTCCTAAGTTGCATATCACCAGTCATATTGATCCCTCAGGCATGTTGACTCACTAGGGCTTGAAATACAATATTCTGACTTGTATCAAGTAAGGTTTTTTTTTTTTTTTAATTAGCCTGAACTCCCAAAAGCTGTCAAACTCAAAATTTTGCCAAGCTATATTATTTTCCTATCTGTGCAGAATGGGATTCACAATGAATTCCTGGTTGTTAATAACACTGGGTTTGTGCTTTGGAAAATACACCTGACACATTTTCAGAAAGCACATTTCTTTTTGGCATAAAGTTTAATAGCATATGATATATAGCAATGAGCTCTAGGTATGAAAGGAGTTGGCTAGTTTCATGAATTTTTATGAATCTGCCTCTGCCTTTTCTTTGAACTTGTCCTCTAGAATATCATATAATGGGGGAAGAAATTAAAAATTATTTTCTATTCTCACTGTTCAACTCAGTTCCTGTTCTTTATATCACCTAGTCTGGCAGGGTCTTCTGGTAATCATGTTACTTCTGGTGAAGTAGTCAGTGCCTGGCACAGACTAAGAAGTTTACGAAATTAAGTGATCAATGGTGATGACAATAGCAAAGGTGGGTGGTGAATGTGCTTGAATATGCTAATTGGCTCCATGGGTCATTCATAAAAGCTGAAATTTCAGAGGCCATAGATAAAAGTACAAATGTGTTATTAAAATGGCAGAAGGGGGAAGTGTCCTAAATTGCAAAAAAGGGAAAGAATTCTCAGTAGCTAAGACCCTAAAGAGATCTGATATTTGAAGAACTAAGAAAGGACATTCAGCACTGATAAACTAGGAATAAAGATTGGGCACTAAATGAGAGTTCAATATTTCATAGTAATCAGGTGAGATCAAAACATTCTCAAGTTAAGAGGAGACTGTTACAACTGAAGTCATAATTGAGTGGTGAACTTGGGCCACTACCTGGCTGGAATCTTGGGATCAGACAGAAATTCAGAACTGAGGGGGCTCTAAATATTCTATTTGCTGCTTTCCATTTGTAATCAACTAGATATTAAAAAAAACATATAGAGAACAGCATGTTTTTTTGAGGTCACAGCCACAGATACATAATCTCAAACTTTGGGTGATAGTGGCACAGAAAGAATGCTGCATTTTGTCATAATGAATATACCAAGGTGTGTGCACATTTGACATGATAAAATGAAACTTGGCTTGTTCCAGGAATCCTACGCAGGGCTGATATAATAGAACATAAGATCAATTACAGCAAAAAGTTGTTTTTTTAAAAAAAATGGGAGGCAGTGATAAGAACAGTGTCTCCAACAAGTCTGAAATTAAAAGATCAGTCTCTCCAAAATGTCTGAAATTAAAAGATCAACCTGGGTAAGAAAAAGGCAACTGCTACTAAACAAAGTTCAGGTTAGACATAGGGTAGAAATCCACACGGTAGTCTGACAAGCCTTCCATATGGGACCATACCACAGGGAATTTTTAAGATTATCAATTGGAAGGTGAGTATTAAGAATTCAGTTATAGAATTTCAGTTTCTTGGTAGGTGAAAAAAAGAACAAATTTACTAAGAAAGAATTCAAGAATAGGAAATGTTGCCAAATCCATTAAGTCCTGGTAAGAATCACATAGGAAGTAAACCTCGTTCTGTTAGGTCATTATTCTAGGTTATTTGAAATACATGTAATGAAATACAAGGTAAACTAAAAACAGCACTCCCATTTTCTAATACTTATAATTTTTTTTTGGCCTACATGAATAAGCATGCTAGGAAGGAGGAGAAATCTGGCTATAAATTTTGATTTTTAATCTACTTACACAAATATTTCTAAAATCTATTATGAAAAGTCCTGTATTACTATAGAAAGATCACTTTTTTAATGCCCACATTTGATAACATTTTTATTCAAACTTCCCTCTTGCCTCTTTAACATCAGTATTTATTTTTTTAAATCATTGGAACCATTTCGGAGTCTTCCATTATAACAGAGTCAGTACAAGTGCATTACATTTGCTTGCATTTTAATTTTTGAATCTTTGCCTAATACTGTTCCTATAATTTTAGTTCAAGTTATAAAGGATACAATGTTATTACTACCAGTAGAAATGGTTGATTTTTCTCTATTCGGTATCTTGAGAGCAGATGCATGACTTGGTCACCTTTAACAATCATTCAGCGACAGCATTTGCACTTTGTATCAGAGGCTCAGTAGCTGTACTGCCTAGATAAACTTGCATGTGATGCTTAATGAAATATCTTCCAGCTCACCATTATTAAGACTGTACTTAGTCTTGCTACAGTTAAAATTTATACACAGATAAACGTTTAAAGGATAATATGATTTGTATTCTGCTATAAGTAATTTCTGACAGCTGTGCACCTGCTCAGGAAAGACCTGAGAATGTCCAAAGTTCTTAACTCTGGCTGAACTTGAGGTTCTGTACAGGTAGAAAGTGAGAAGTAAAATGAAGTTATAAACTGCTCTGTGAGCATTAAAAGCATACCCCAAAATGCACAAATAATTGCTGTCAAAGGCTGGAAGATTATACATTCAATTTATTTAAGTATATCTATGTTGAATCACCAGCTAACCCCTAAACTAGCTGAGAAGAAATATTATTGGTTATACATGGCAAATAATATAGGCTTTACAGAATTGGTTCAGATAAATTACTAAAGTGACAGGAACAACAACAACATCAAATCCTGAAGTGAGAGCATTATGATTTCCAGCATGTTGCTATGTTTTATTTTTTTAAATATCCAGTTAACAAAAAATGAGACATTGAAAGAAACAAGACACTATGGTCCATAAACATAAAATGAGAGGCCAATAGAAATCGTCCCTGAAGAAGCCCTGAGATTAGACTTACTAGACAAGAAATTTAAATCAACTATTTTAAAAGAAAGTATGAAAGTGATATCTCATTTAAAAAATCAGTAAAGATATAGAAATTATATTTTTTAAAGAACAGAAATTTTGGAATTGAAAGTACAATGACTAAAATGAAAAAAAAAAATTACTAGATGAGCTCAACACCAGATTTGAAGGAAAGAATAAAGAATTGGTGAAAGACAGGTCAATTATGATTATCCATTTTGAGTAGCTGAAAGAAAAAAGAACTAATGAAAATAAATAAAATCTAAGAGACACATGGGATACTATGAAGCTTATTTCTGGGAGTTGCAGGAGAGGAAGCAGACAAAATGGCAGAGGAAATAATGACCCAAACTTCCAAATTGAAAGAGAAACTTTATACATCTAAGAAACTCAATGAATTCCAAGTACTATCATAATTAAACTCAAAAAAAGACAAATAAAAAAACATTGAAAATAGCAAGAAATAAACAACTCATTATACCCAAGGGATCTCCAAAAACAACAGTTGATGTCTCATAAGAAAGTAAGGTAGCCAGAAGAAAATGGAATGACAAAATTACAGTAATGATTCTGTTACCAATACTTACATTAAATGTAAAAGGGCTAAAACCTCAATCAAAAGGCAGAGATTGGCAATATGGACAAAATCCTTCATTTCTTGTAAATAACATATAGTTATTTACAAATATAAATAACTATATATTTAACTTATATTTACAATATAAATAACTATGTTATTTACAAGAAACATACTTCAGAGAAAATATTTGTAAATTATATATCTGTTAAAGTATAGTATCTGGAATATATAAAGACAAATTTCCCAGTTGAAAAAGTAAGCAAATGATCTGAATTCATTGAGATTGCTTTTCAAAAAGAATTTTAAAATGGCCAATAAGCATGCTAAAAGATACTGAACATTGTTAACCAAGGAAAATGCAAATCAAAATCACCATGAGATACTCGTTCACTGCAATGGATATTATAAAAATGATGGACAATAGCAAGTTTTGGCAAGGATGTGAAAAAAATGGAAAACTTCTACACCACTGGTGGGAATATAAATGTTGCAGCCACTTTGAGAAGTTCAAAGAATTAAGCTTGGAGTTACCATTTGAATCACTAATTTTGCTCTTAGGTATATACCCAAGATAATTAAAAATATGTGTCTATACAAAAACATGTATATGTATAGATACACACACACACATGCACAAACATATACGTGTGTGTAGTTATTCATAATGGCCAAAAAGTGGAACTAATCTAAAAGTCTATCAATTTGTGAATGAATACATAAAATGTAAAATATCCATGTAGTGGAATGATATTTAGTCATAAAAATAAATACTGACACATGCTGACACATAAACCTTGAAAACATTATGCTAAGTGAAATAAGCCAGTAATAAAAGACTACATGTTGTATGATTCCATTGACATGAAATGTCCAGAAGAGGCAAATCCATAGAGACAGAAAGTAGATTTGTGGCTGAAGGGCTGGGGAGAGAAGATTTGGTAATGACTGCCAATAGATTTGAGGTTTCATTTTATGATGGTGAAAATGTTCTGGAATTAGATAACGGTGATGTTTGCACAACTTTGTGAATATACTAAAATCTACTAAATTGTACACTGAAAGAGTGAATTTTATGGTATGCAAATTATATATTAATAAATTAGAAAAATTGACTATATAAATGATATTCCTGAAAAATACTTTTGTTTCTTTGTCTATAATAAAGCAATACAACACTGCCTGGATGGCTGTAGCCTTATGATACATTTTCTGTTTCATGTGGTGCAAGTTCTCTAACTCTGATCCTTTTAAAAATGATTTTTGGCTACTATAGATCTCTTAAATTTCTATGTAAATTTAAAGTTGTCATCACAACTTTTATACTAGTGCTTTCTGGGTGTATGACTATAAATTTGTTGAGTCTATAAAGAAATTACACCACAAATATTTTGAACAGTTTATTTCACTATTTTTTAGATTTCTTTCCTTTTTTTTTTTTTTTTTTTTTTTTGAGATGGAGTCTGGCTCTGTCTCCCGTGCTGAAGTGCAGTGGTGCAATCTCAGCTCACTGCAAGCTCCGCCTCCCGGGTTCACGCCATTCTCCTGCCTCAGCCTCCCGAGTAGCTGGGACTACAGGTGCCTGCCACCTTGCCTGGCTAATTTTTTTTTGTATTTTTAGTACAGATGGGGTTTCACCGTGTTAACCACGATGGTCTCGATCTCCTGACCTTGTGATCCTCCCACCTCGGCCTCCCAAAGTGCTGGGATAACAGGCATGAGCCACCGCGCCCAGCCCAGGTTTCTTTAAATCTATCTTTGCTAATTCTCTACACTGTTTTGGAGTTTCTGTGGACTTTGTATATATTTCAGTTATTAAGTTTGTGCCTAAGTATTTGTGACTTCCAGTGTTATTGTAAATTGACTTAAAAACATTTCCCAATTATTTGTTGCTAGTATATAGAAACAGTATTTGTACTTATAAATTTATTAAATATAATTATTAATTCAAATAATTATTTTAGACTCCCTTGGCTATTCTACATGTAGCCAATCTATCTACCTACATTTTTAATTTTCTTTTTTTTTCTATTTTTGTCCTGTAGGTTTTTTCATTTGTTTTAGTAAAGATTATAGTTACCTTTAAAATGAATTGAATAGCTCCTCTCCTTCTCAATCTTTTTTTTTTTTTTTTTTGGCTGAGCATTTAGGCAATTTATATGGGGTTGTGATTTGCTTGTAATATCACTACAAAATTTGCCTCATGAAATCATGGGAGTCTGATGTCTTCTGTTGGGATGGGGAAAAACAGGAAGATGTTTTTAAACTGCATTTTTGTTTTTAATCAGCATAGATTTATTATGTTTTATAGTTTTTGAATCAGTTGTCATAAAATTGTTAAAATTATATATTTTTCCATTTTTTCCTAATTTGTGCACCTCAAGCACTATAATTTTTTGGAAATATTTGCTTATGTTTAGTTATATTCTTTTTCTCTTCCTAAGTTTAATTTTTACTTTCACTTTGCTCTTTCCTTTTTCTCTTTTTCTTTCTGTTATTTGTGCTAGAGACCTATAAATTTTATTGTCTTTTCAAGTAAATCATCTTTTAAAATTTATCTAAGACTGTTATTTTTAATGCTGTTTTCTTTTACTTTTCTGCTTCTTTTTAATCATTTATACTCCTTTGGCTCACTTTTGTCTTGTTCTTTTCTGCCTTTTGGACATAAACAGTGTAATTTAAGTCATCCTATTCTTACAGAAATGCTTTCAAATCCAAACAACTATTTTTAATGCTGCTATTATTGCATTTCACAATATTTTATAAATAATACAGCACTATTATTACCAGTCAATTGTCAGCAATACATAATTTCAATTATAATGATTTTCCTTAAACTCTCAATTACTTGGGTTTAAAAAAATTAAAACATATATAATTTTGACAATATTTTCTATTTTATTTAATTTTACTCTTTTCAGAAAACAGGCCTTTCTGATATTCTTTGAAATTTGTTGACACTTTGTGACTTCGTATGTCACATTTTGAGTGATTAAAAAAAAGTGTCTGTTCTCTAAATTTTAGAAACTGAGCTCTGAATATCAGATCAAGCTTGTTAGTTACACTGACACATATTCTATATCCATTGTGATTTTTAAAATTTCCAGAAGGATGAGAGTTTATAAATCTTGTCAATTTCTTCTTATAATGCTTTTTTGTTTATTTGTGTCTATATATATTTCTAGGCATAGTTCCAGTAGTGTTTCATAATTGTTTCTTGTGTGCATCTGTTTAAATGGTATTTGGTCTAACTCTTTAATTCTATTAATATTTGTTTATTTTACATTCTTGTATCATCGAAGTTTCAGGCGGGGAAGAAGAACCACTATGAATATAGTGGAATAAGGACTTTGTAATAGGAATTAGACTTTGCAAATATGTAGGAGCAGCTAATCATGCCTGGCATGGGTGAATGAGTTTAGAGCTTGCAGAAAGTGAGTTATGTCAGTTGTTGCAGTACATCTGCAAGTGGGTGGTGTGGAAGCCTATGGAAGGTTACTGGCTCTTCATTGTTTCTACCTCTATGAGTTAACAGTGAAGAGTCTTGTGGTAGGGATAGGGTCACTTTTTGTCAGCAGGACTGACAGTCCAGAAGCAGAGCTGGACACAGAACAGGGGAAATGCGAAAACAACCGGAACCGCTGACACCTCTGTACTCATCCCTCATTGCCTCTAACTAACAAAGATGTTCAGAGTGTAATGGCCACTGCCTTACTTCATTCCCCAGCCTGAAATCTCAAGGCAAAATTTCTTATGGTCTAACTTAACCCGGAAGCATAATGGAAAGGGAATTCTGGGGAACATAGTTCCAGCTTAGCTCAGTTGACAAAACACAAATTACTATTAAGTGTATTTTGCCTGAAGTTAATATCGCTTCATTTCTTGCTTTCTTTGTATTTGCCTGGTGTTTTTCTATCTTCATAATATTATTAGATACAAATATTTCTATTTTTTCTCATTCCCTGCAAAGACAATATTCTTGAAAAATATTTCTTTAGTATACTCATATTATTTTCCACCTACATTTCACATGTACCTGTCAACTACTAAAATCTGAATTTTCCCACCTACTGCTCCGTAACTGGTACAAGTATTATAAATGACCAGTAAACTTCAAAATGCATTCTAAATTTTTAAGTCTTTATCTTATTATTTCACTTTATACAAGCTTCTGCTCAATTGTCACCTCCTCAGAGGATGTTTTCTGACCACTTCAAGCAAAACAATAATTACTAAACCCAACATTATTTAATAACTTATTTTTTCATAGAATTATTAATAACTGAAATGATGTTGAAATTATATAGTTTATTTCTTCATTGTCTCTCCCACTAATATGCAAGCTATATGAGGGCAGAAACTTTGTATTTCTTCTTCATTATTGTATAAATATATCTCAAAAAAATATTGGAACATAGAAGTTGCTTAATATTACTTGTTAAACAAATGAATGACTGACGCTTATTTTTATGTGGCATCAACTATTCACTATTTGTAAAAACTTATTCTCTATTTTCTTCTTGACTCTCTCTTCCCTTTTTTACCCTATTCCTCCAGCTTGAAGTTTGTCAGTTTTCTTACACTGGAGAAGTTAACATGCACAGATCTCTGTGCATAATAGTGGAGGGGAAGCATAACTAGCTGGGAAGTTAAAATCAGAGAAAACGCAGACAAAGTTTTCAGATATCAGGCAAAATAATAATATATAAATATAAATATTTAATATCTTTTTTTGATAAATTAGAGGATGCAAGTCTCACCTAACACTATTAAAGCTCACAAATAAAAAAAAAATTTACTGGCCCTATAAATCATCTCTATGTGTTGAATTTGCCCCTCCCATTACCAGTTTTTGAAAAATAATTAAAATGTAGAAACAATTAGTGGGCTCATTTGATATGAACGGTGAATGTTATTATAATGTTTGATTATGCTATAAGTCTACAAAGAAATTCCAGGCTTTTCATCATGGGATGAATTTTGGTAGTTATGAGACCATTCTACTCACATTGAACAATTTGAAAATGGGCAGTTTGAAACTTTTTCATAATCCAGGGCCAATGGGAAGGATCAGATTATGCCTCAAACCCTTCACTTTTCTGCTGTGTCATTTCGATGTTTGTAGAATCAGATAGTTTATTATATGAATCGATTTTGTTTATGAAATGAGGCAGCTATGCATTTGGAAAACAGAGGGAAATGTACCTAGAAATAAATTAAAATTCATTTAATTAATGAGAACAATATTTCTAAACTAAAGCCAACCTCAAAAATTACTAAAAATATAGAAATTGTTGTTATACAAATCAACTTATTATTGGAAATGTAGCAAATTTTAAATTCTAAGTAGAAGCCGAGAAAAACTGTCAGTTTTTGTTTTTATTTCTCCTTCATACAAAGGTTAGCTGGGTCAGGATATTACCAGGAAGTGTGAAAATACTTGATCCTTTGTCTTTCTCGGCCAAGAGACAATTTAGCCAAAAAAGAGATTTTACTGAAGGAAAATAGAGAGCAGAGAGTTTATTTAGAGACAAAGTACACTCTGAAAGATGGGAAGAGCAGGCTGCTGAAAGAAAATGAGCAAGCAACAGCCCCGAGAGTTCTGAGTTGGGGTTTTTATTATGTTGGGGTCTTTCTTTAAGTTTTCACCTCTGTTTTAAGTCACTGTCGTTTAGCTTAGTCTGGTTGCCCCATTTCTGCCCTAACCTTAAGTCCCCATCTTTATTCCCACCTGGCTTGTGGGACCTGCTCAGGCTTGTGGGACCCTCCCTTACTGCTAATCAGCATGCATGAGCCCAGTGTTGGATATGAATTCTAGAATTCTACCTAATGGGAGCATTGCTCATTACTACCACACCAGGAAGGTCATTTAGCAGTTAAATCTGTACTCATTGCACCTGTGTGTCTCTTAGCAATTTCTCCTTTACCCTCTTTTCCTCCTTATCAGCATGCAGCTAGCTACATTCTGACAGGTTAACTGCAGAGTGAAAGATTACTGGGCATCTTAAAGGGCATTTCTTCCCACAAAGATATTTCTAACCATCTCTGCATATATATATATATATACACACACACACACACGTATGTGTTTCCATATGCATATATATTATATATTTTTATATAAATATATACATACATATATTTATTTTTTATTTCAATAGGTTTTTTAGGGAGCAGGTGGTGTTTGGTTACATGAATAAGTCCTTTAGTGGTAATTTCTGAGATTTTAGTGCATGCATCACCAGAGCAGTGTACACTATACCCAGTGTGTACATTTTTCTTACCCACCTCCCATCCTTTTCCCTGAGTCCCCAAAGTCCAATGTATCATTCTTCTGCCTTTGCATCCTCATAGCTTAGCTCCTGCTTATAAGTGGGAACATTCTATATTTGATTTTCTATTCCTGAGTTACTTCACTTAGAATAATAGTCTCCAATTCCATCCAGGCTGCCATGAATACCATTATTTAATTCCTTTTTATGGCTGAGTAGTATTCCATGTTGTGTGTGTATGTATACACACACACACACACACATATATATAGTAGTATATATAATTCCTTTTTATGGCTGAGTAGTATTCCATGGTGTGTGTGTGTGTGTATGTATATATACACACACACACATACGTATATACACACACACACACACACACCACATTTTCTTTATCTACTTGTTGATTGATAGGCATTTGGGTTGGTTCCATATTTTTTCAATTGCAAATTGTGCTGCTATAAACATGAATGTGCAAGTATCTTTTTTGGTATAATGACTTCTTTTTCTCTGGGTAGATACCCAGTAGTGAGATTGCTGGATCAAATGGAAGATCTACTTTTAGTTCATTAAGGAATCTCCGTATTGTTTTCCACAGTGGTTGTACTAGTCTACATTCCTACCAACAGTGTAAAAGTGTTCCCTTTTCACCACATCCGCACCAACATCTATTAGTTTTTGATTTTTTGATTATGGCCATTCTTGCAGGGGTAAGGTAGTATCACATTGTGGTTTTTGATTTGCATTTCCCTGATAATTAGTAATGCTGAGCATTTTTTACATATGCTTGCTGGCCATTTGTATACCTTCTTTGAAGAATTGTCTATTCATGTGCTTAGGTCACATTTTGATGGGATTATTTATTTCTTGCTGATTTATTTGTAGATTCTGAATATTAGTCCTTTGTCAGACGTATAGACTGTGAAGATTTTCTCCCATTCTGTGGGTTGTCTGTATGCTCTGCTAATTATTTCTTTTGCTGTGCAGAAGCTTTTTAGTTTAATTAAGTCTCATCTATTTATCTTTGTTTCTGTTGCATTTGCTTTCGGGTTCTTGGTCATGAGGTCTTTGCTTAAGCCAATGTCTAAAAGGGTTTTCCTGATGTTATCTTCTAGAATTTTTATGGTTTCAGGTCTTAGATTTAAGTTTTTGATCCATCTTGAGTTGATTTTTGTAAAAGGTGACAGATGAGGATCCAGTTTCATTCTTCTACATTCCAGCACCATTTGTTGAATAGAATGTCCTTTCCCCACTTTATGTTTTTGTTTGCTTTGCCAAAGATCAGTTGGCTGTAAGTATATGGCTTTATTTTTAGGTTCACTATTCTGTTCCATTGGTCTCTGTGCCTATTTTTATACCAGTATCATGCTGCTTTAGTGACTATGACCTGTAGTGTAGTTTGAAGTCAGGTACTGTGATACCTCCAGATTTGTTCTTTCTGCTTAGTCTTGCTTTGGATATGTACACTCTTTTTTTGGTTTCATATAAATTTTAGGATTTTTTTCTAGCTCTGTCAAGAATGATGGTGGTATTTTGATGGGAATTGCACTGAATTTGTAGGCTGCTTTTGGCAGTATGGTTATTTTCATATTATTGATTCTAGCCATTCATGAACATGGGATGTGTTTCCATTTGTGCATGTCATCTATGATTTCTTTTAGCAGTGTTTTGTAGTTTTCCTTGCAGAGGTCTTTCACCTCCTTGGTTAGGTATATTCCTAAGTATTTTTATTTTTTATTTTTTGTAGCTATTGTAAAAGGGGTTGAGTTGTCGATTTGATTCTCAGCTTGGTTGCTGTCAGTGTATAGCAGAGCTACTGATTTGTGTATATTAATTTTGTATCCTGAAACTTTGCTGAATTCATTTACCAGTTCTAGGAATTTTTTGGATGAGTCTTTAAGGTTTTCTAAGTATACAATAATATCATTGGCAAATAGCAACAGTTTGACTTCCTCTTTAGTAATTTGGATGCCATTTATTTCTTTTTCTTGTCTGATTTCTCTGGCTAGGACTTCCAGTCCTCTGTTGAATAGAGGCGGTGAAAGTGAGCATCCTTGTCTTGTTCCAGTTCTCAGGGAGAATGCGTTCAGCTTTTCCCCATTCAGTATAATGTTGGGCTGTGGGTTTGTCATAGATGGTGCTCACTGCAACCTCTGCCTCCCAGGTTCAAGCAATTCTCCTGCCTCAGCCTCCAAAGTAGCTGGAATTACAGGTGCCTACCACAATGCCTGGCTAATTTTTTGTATTTTTAGTAGTGATGGGGTTTCACCATGTTGGCCAGGCTGGTCTTGAACTCCTGACCTCAGTGATCCACCCGCCTTAGCCTCTTAAACTGCTGGGATTACAGGTGTGAGCCTCTCTGCCCGGCCCACAGATGGCTTTTATTACGTTAAGGTATGTCCTTTCTATGCCAATTTTGCTAAAGGTTTTAATCATAAAGGGATGCTGGGAATGCTTTTTCTGCATCTATTGAGATGATCATGTGATTTTTGTTTTTAATTCTGTTTATGTGGTGTATCACATTTGTTGACTTGTGCATGTTAAACCATCCTTGCATTCTTGGCATGAAACCCACTTGACAAGGGTGGATTAACTTTTTGATATGCTGTTGGATTTGTTTTGCTAGAATTTTGTTGAGGATTTGCATCAATGTTTTTCAGGGATGTTAGTCTGTAGATTTATTGTTTTTTTTTTTTTCTGGTTTTGGCATTAGGTTGATACTGGCTTCACAGAATGACTTGGGAGGATTCCCTCTTTCTCTGTCTTTTGGAATAGTGTTGATAGGATTGGCACCAATTCTTCTTTGAAAGTCTGATAGAATTTGGCTGTGAATCCATCTAGTCCTGGACTTTTTTTTGTTTTTTTTTATTGGTAATTTTTTATTACCATTTCAATTTCACTGCTTGCTGTTAGTGTGTTCATAGCTTCTATATCTTCCTGGCTTAATCTATGAGGATTGTATATTTCCAGAAATTTATCCATCTCCTCTAGGTTTTCTAGTTTATGCACATAAAGGTATTCACAGCAGCCTTGAATAATCTTTTGTATTTCTGTGTTACTAGTTGTAATATCTCCTGTTTTGTTTCTAATTGAGCTTATTTGGATCTTCTCTCTTCTTTTCTTGGTTTTCTTTTTCAAAACACAAATCTTGGTTTTCTCTCACTAATGGTCTATCAATTTTATTTATATTTTCAAAGAAACAGCTTTTTGTTTCATTTATCCATTGTATTTTTTTTTTGTTTCAATTTCATTTAGTTCTGCTCTGCTGTTCGTTATTTCATTTCTTCTGCTGGGTTTGGGTTTGGTTTATTCTTGTTTCTCCAGTTCCATGCGGTGTGACCTTAGACTGTCTGTTTATGCTCTTTCAGACTTTTTGATGTAGGCATTTAATGATATTAACTTTCCTCTTAGCACCATTTTTGGTGTATCCCAGATGTTTGGATAGGTTGTGTCACTATTATTGTTCAGTTCAAATAATTATTTTTTAATTTTTATCTTGATTTCATTGTTGATCCAATGATGACTCAGGAGCAGGTTATTTAGCATGCAGGTTTTAGGTCGTTTCTGGGGTGTGACATTTTCCAGACCTCCCTTTTCTCAGGACTCCCCCTGCTGCTCATGTCTAGCTACTTGCCTACTCTAATAAGAACATGAAGAACAATAGTAGCAACAACAACTATAAGAGAGAATGTACATAATGCAAAATGTCTTACTACTCCAAGACTGGGGCAGGAAACCACGTAGATTTAAGAGAATGGTGGGAAATGAGGCTCATGGTCATCTTTCTGTTCTAACTTCAGTTTAGTTAGTACTTTACAGGAGTACCCAGACTATTTACTTAGATCTTTCCAAGAAGATAAAGCAGCCCTTTGATATAAAATTTATGTTTTCAAAAACTCAGGATATCAAACTTATTTTGAGGAATTATAAATATTCATCAATACTTTCATATGTCATATCATTTCCTAAAATATAAAAAAGAATGATTTTTATGAAAAGATGAATAAAATTTGGAAAGTAAAGATAGACATATATCAGTAGAGATAAAAGAGAAATGTTGGACACAATAAAAGCAGGCAAAATTCAATTTTAGGAATATTACACTAGATACTATTGGTTTAGGGGGATGGGGCAAAGCAGTGGTGTTTTGAGTTGCCTCCAAGATAACCATTCCTAGAGATTAGGATGCCTATAAGAATAAAGATTAGCATTCAATTCCTGCTGAGTATTGCTGATTGGCAGAAGTTTATGGGCCCACATTATATTGTTACCAAAGAATTCTTGGAATAAATTAACATATCCCAAGGTAGTTATTTGAGTTCGGCAAGTTCGGCACCTTAGAATCTGATATCTCTTTCTTGCTCATAAAAATAAAAAGAGAGGAGGCTTGTAAGAACAAAATAAAATTGTAGTTTCATGACAGAGCAAAAAGAAATTGGGCAAGTTGCACACTCACCAACTGGGAGAGCAATGGTACAGATATCCTTATGGATACAATTAATAACAAAATTAATTAGACCAAAAATTTTAAATGGGTTTAATGCAAGGAAATAGTCTACTGAGTTGAGGTGAACCTAATAATAAGCAACTGTTCCTGCCTGTGGTCCAGTGCTTAGGGATGATAATAGAAATTAAGCAGACAGGGCATCACTGGAGTCAGGAAACAGTGTGGGGAAAGGTCCCCATAGGATCTTGAGAGGCGGCCTTGCAAATGCTTCTAACAAAAGAGTCATTGCCATATGGGAAAATTTGGTGAATTACATGTATCAACCAAGAAAACCTACAGATAACACCAGCTACCAAAACAGATTTATAGCTTTCTTCCTTAACCACTCTCTCACACCCGATTGCTACACTGATTCTGAAAGGGCCAAGGGATTCAGGGAGGGGGTGAAACAAGTATAGTAAATGGCAGACTACATTTCTCTTTCCCTACTGTGGTTTTCAAGCTGTAGTGTAGACCCTCATTGAAAGAATACAGAACCTTCAAGTTGGATGTAAGATTTTAAGTTCTCAATTAGCTTGGCTTAGACTTTTAAATACTCAATTAATTACCAAAAATAAAACTGGTCTGATACTTGGTAGCAACCAGAAAAAAGTGAGATCGACTTGAGATATCTTTAAGGGGGTAGAAATTGAGACTGATAACATCTTTTAAAAACAGACATAGGAAAAAAATTTAAGATGTTTCTGATTAACCTTTGTGAGACAGAATCGTTGCTTCTTGAAGATGTTTGTGTCCTAATCTCTGGAAACTGTGTATCTATGACCTTACGTGATAAAAGGAATTTTGCAGATGTGATTAAGTTAAGAATTTTGAGACAGGGAGATTATAATAGATTATCTGGCTGAGTCCAATATAATCATAGGGGACTTCATAAGAGGGAGACAGACAGATTAGAGTTGGAGAAGGAGATATGGTGATGGAAGCAGAGTTCAGAGTGATGATAGAAAGGGACCACAAGCCAAGGAATGCAGACATTCTCTAGAAGCTGGAAAAGGCAAGGAAAACTTTCACTTGAGACTCCAGAAAAAACATAACCCTGTTTATACCTTGATTTTAGAACTTGAGACCTCCAACCTGAACAGTAACACACTTTTCTTGTTTTAAGATGCAAATTTTGTCGAATTTGTTACAGCAGCAACAGACAGCTAATACAAACTTTATTTGTACTAAATGTGAAATGCTATTGTGACAAATATCTAAAAATGTGTCAGTGGCTTTGGAATTGGACAATGGGAAAAGATTGGAAAAGTTTTCAGAAGAATGATAGACAAAGGTTAGGTTTTCTTAAATGGACAGTTAGAAATACAGATGTTCACAACTCTGCTAGGGAGGACTGAGATTTTATGTGAAGAACATGATAAAGGAAACCCATATTATCATGGAGAATACTTAAATAATCAAAAACAGGCTTAGAAATATGAACCTTACAGGTGCAGCTGCAGAGGCTTAAGAAGGAACATTTCATTAGAAGCTTGAGGAAAGGAAATCTTTCTTATATAGTGGCAGAAAGTTTAGTGGAATTGTGTCCTATGGTTATGTAGAAAGTCCAACTTGTAAGTGATGAGCTTGTTTCCAAGCAACCCACTGAAAGTGAAGCCTGGTGTTTTCTTGCTCTTTATAGTAAAATGCGAGAGGAAAGAAACACATAGAAAGAAAACCCGTTAAGCAAAAATGAACCAGGACTTAGTTTTGGGAAATCCTCAAATTTACCCAGATTGTAAAAGACAACAAAATTAGGAGATTCACTGTCAGAAAAAGTGTGCTCTGGTAAGTAAGCCCAGATGTGGCTGGAAAATCTTTTGCTAGTGCCTTTGAAGGCACAAAATGTCATGGTATTCAATTGCACAAAGGGATCTTTGAAGGGATGAGGGATGTGACTCATGGATCCCCTCAATGGCCATTTAAGCAGAAATGAGGAATACATATAATACTATCTAGGAAGTATACTGGGATGAGGGAGGGTAAGGTGGAATCTCTCATCTAATGTAATGAATCCCAGGACAGGCATAAGAAGCCCACAAGGTTCTTCAGAATTTTATACCAGCAGAAAACTGCCAATTTGGACTTAAAGAGCCAGGGATAGAATAAAATTAAAGAAGGCTGTTAGAGTCCCAAAATTCTACAGGCAGGAAACAGGCTGATTAAACTATTCAGCTTAAATTTGTGCTAAACTTCACAAAAAAAGAAGGATAATTCTGACGAAGAAGGCTTGAGTCCAGAGAGTAGAGTCCTTAGCTCAGAGGATGGAGACAAAAACTACAAGAATTATTCTCAGACCTTGAAATCTAATACTGTTTTCCTAGCTAGATTTCAAAATTGCTTGGGACTGGTGACTCTTTTCAAAAAAAAAAAAAAAGACTATTTTTTTAGAGCAGTTGTATGTTCATAGCAATATTGAGCAGAAGGTACAGACATTTTCTCTACATATCCAGTGTCCCCTGCATCCCCAGCTAAAGTGGGGACAATTTGCTACAATTGATGAACCTATATTGACATGTCATCACCACCCACAATCCATAGTTTATATTAGGGTTCACTTGCTATTCTATATTCTATAAGTTTGGACAAACATACAATGTCATGTATCCACCATTATCGTATCCTACAGAGCAGTTTCACTGCTCTAAAAGTTTTCTGGACTATGGGTATTTATCCCTGCCTTCCCCCTAATCCCGGACAACCACTGAGATTTTTACTTTCTTCATTCTGTTGCCTTTTCCAGAATGTCTTTTAATTGGAATTATACAGTATGTAGCCTTTCAGACTGGCTTTTCTCACTTAGCAATATGCATTTAAATTTCCTTCATGTTTCTTCAGGGCTTGATAGATTATTTATTTTTAGTGCCTGGTAATATTCCATTGTCTGGATGTACCACACTTTATCCATTCAATTATTAAAGGACATCTTGGTTGCTTCCTGTTTTGGAAATTATGAATGAAGCTACTATAAACACCAGTGTCCAAGTTTTTGTGTGGACATAAGGTTTTGGCCCCTTTGGGTAAATACCATGCAGCACAATTGCTGGATCTTATGATAAAAGTGTGCTTGGTTTTGCAAGAAACTGCCAAATTTGTCTTCCAAAGTAGCTGTACTATTTTGCGTTCTCACTGCTGTAATTCCTTTTTTCATTTTCATACATTTCGAATGGGAATGTCTATAACTGTTATTTCATACCTGTCCTACCATGATATTTTTAAAGCAGATAACTTGTTTTTCTAGTTTACCGGCAGACAGATGAAGAGGAATTTTGTACCAGAATCAATTATAAGCAGAGACTAACCCATCTAACTTAAAATATTAGGATAGATAACATTGAGTGCTGGAATTGCTTGAGGTTTTGGAGCATGTGGGAATGTGGTTAATGAATTTTGCATGTGAGACAGACATAAATCCTTGGGGGCCAGAGGGTGGATTACGGTAGACACAATAATTATTACCTAATGTTCATATTTTTGTCTTTGGAATCTCTGACTATATTACCTTACATGAAAAAAGGACTTTAAAATTGTGATTCTGTTACATTACTTGAGATGGGGAGAATATACTGGATTATCTGAGTTAGACCAATGTAATCACAGGAGTCCTTATAAGGAAGATCAGATTCAGATAAGGAGAAGATAAGATGATAGAAACAGAGGTCAGAGTGATGTGGGGCCGTGAACCAAGAAATGTAGACAGGGTTTGGAAGCTGAAAACATGAGGAAAGGGATTCTCTCCCATAGCGTCCAGAAAAAAATGCATCCATGCTCACACCTTGATTTTAGGACTTCAAACGAACACTTAACAATCACCACAAAAAGACTGAGATATAAAAGCATTTAGAAGGAAATAAAGTTTGAAATAAATGTTTATAAGAGAGTTCAGGGTTTATAAGGACTAACTAAACAAACAAAAAGCAGGTATTTACAGAAAACAATTATGTCTTATGACAAATTCCTAGATTTTATCATTATTTTGTTCCTAGGGAAACGTAGTAATTTTCTCACATATTCATCCTATCTGAAAGGTTTTTCATTTTTTATACACATGCAGATATCAGTCTTGCAAACTTATTAGGAAATCAGTAATTAACAAAAAAGGCTTAATGTTATTTTTATGTTGGGGTCTAGAACTAGACAGGATGAACTTGCTTCTTCAATTTGCTTTTGTTCATTTTTGTTCATATTTTTTATCTATCTCAGGTTTTAAGTTCCTCCCCTCCCCTCTGACGGTAGAATGTGATGTACCCATACCCATAACGGCAGAAGGACAAGGTGTTAGTTTTTCTCAGAAATAACTTATCATAAATATTTTACTATCATCTATCTATCTATCTATCTATCTATCTATCTATCTATCTATCTATCTATCATCATCTTTTTTTTTTTGAGATGGAGTCTCGCTCTTGTCGCCCAGGCTGGAGTGCAGTGGTGCCATCTCGGCTCATTGCAACCTCTGCCTCCTGGGTTCAACCAATTCTCCTGCCTCAGCCTCCCAAGTAGCTGGGAATAAAGGCACCTGCCATCACTCTCAGATAATTTTTGTATTTTTAGTGGAGATGAGGTTTCATTACATTGGCCAGTCTAGTCTCGAACTCCTGACCTCAAGTGATCTGCCCATCTTGGCTGCCCAAAGTGCTGGAATTACAAGTGTGAGCCACCATGCCCAGCCAACTACCTATCTATCATTTATCTACTTATTATCACATTTTTTAATACTCTTATAGTATTCACATACATGAAAGTAGTACACTTCATTTTCTTGATTTTCTATTTTTGAGCAATTGGGTTGTTTCCAAATTTTTGCTATTATAAATAAAAATTCAGTTGGCATCCTTATAATCAGATCTTTGTGATCATTAATATTATGTATTAACTATTAATCTATATTTTTAGAAGTTGAATTTTGTTTTTAATACTTTTAATTGACATAATAATAGTATGTATTTATGGGGTACATGTGATATTTTGATACAAGTATACAATGTGTAATGATCAAATCAGATTAGGACATTCATACAATGTATAATGATCAAGTCAATTAGGACATTCAACACCTCAAACATCATTTCTTTGTATAGGAAACATTTCAAATCTTCTAGCTATTTTGAAATATACAATAAAGTATTAACTATACTCAACTTACTGTGCTATCGAACAGTAGAACTTATTCCTTCTATCCAACTGCATATTTGTACCTATTTACCAACCTCTCTTCATCTCCCTTTTCCAGCCTCTAGTAACCATCATTCTATTGTTTACCTCCATGAGATCGCCTTTTTAGCTCCCATATTTGAGGAAGAACATACAATATCTTTCTGTGCATGACTTATTTCACTTAACATAAAGATTTTCAATTCCATCCATATTGCTGCAAATGACAGGATTTCATTCTATTTTATGGCTGAATAGTATTCCATTTTGTATATAAACCACATTTTTAAAATCCATTTATCTGTTGGTGAACACAGGCTGATTCTATATCTTGGATATTGTGAATAGTCCTGCAATAGACATGGGGGTGCAAGTATTTTTTTTGATATAATGATTTGAAGTTGAATTTTGAAGCAAACTGCATATCAATCTTAAAATATATAGTTAATAATGGCACACTGTTCTAGGAGTTGTTAACACATTTGTTAAAGACTTTCCTTCAAATTGAATTCTAAAAAGTTTTGAATTCTTTCATACTTATAACCTGTATATTCCCTACTTAACACCCTTGTAGAGAATATTGCATATTAGAAACACATAAGATTAACCTAGTGAAGCAATCTGAAAGTTTATTCCCCATTATCTGAGGACTGTTTATCCAACTTGAAAATAAATCACGCTTTCCATTTGTCCTTTGTTATATTAATATTTGTGGTGTGTGCAGTCATTATGCTCAATGAGTTTAGTATACCACATAGTATAAACACTTGTAAAGTCTGACACTAATGCACGTTGAATCAAGTCCGAAAGGAAATTTCAGGAAGTCGTCTTTGCATTTCTCTCATGGCTAAGTCTCTTCCCTAAGTCTCTTCCCTACAGATGAAGCCTATCAAATTGTCTTCAGTTATTATTGAGTAGAGGTGACCAACTATATGGGAAAAGTAATGAATCATACAGGGATTAATTCTGTTTTCAGTAATTGGCCTCTTCTTCCATGTTTTGCTACTAAATGAGAAATCTTACTTGAGACATAGTAAAGATGAAGCAACTGTTAGCATTCAGGGTTAGCACCTGCTCTGGAGTTCGTGGGCTCATGAGGGCAGCCTAAGTTTTAATTGCTAAGACCTGATACTCGTTGTAGAATAATCCAGATGTATGGAATTAAATGAGATAGGTTGCTTAGCTTGCAACGAGGATAAAATGTCTTTTTAATTTGATTAAGAATATAAAAGTCTGACATTTTATGAAAGATATCACATTTCCCTGGTATATACTTGATTTATTTCTGTTTCTGTAGCTCCAAAACATTTTCAGTATTTTGGTGGAACTGTTCAGCCACTGACAAGTTACGGAATTAGTTGAGGAGTCAATTTGATCAAAAGTTTTAAAGAAATTTCAGTTACAAAGTTTAGTTTATAGGAAAATGAGCTTGAAGTGATTAAATAGCAACTCCCAAGCTGCCAACAACCGGTAGGAGTATAGTGGGGTGGATGTTTGATGTTGAAATGTAGGCATATCAGAATGTATGAATTATTTTGTGTACAGGAAAATGCCATTTCAAATAAAATTAAGCTTACTTGCTCAAACAGGAGGAAACCCGAATCTCTCCCATAGACACGGGATCAGAGGACTAAAGGGAATTTTTAAAGCATTTGAATTTGAGTCCTTGAATGAAGCAAAGCCATTTCTGGAGACAGGCATTCCACAGGGAACACTTTGAGGTACAGTGCAGTTCCTTAAATTTTAGAAATTCCACTTTAATGCACTGTGGATGGCCAGTAGTAAGTTTAAGATCATTTCAGGCTCTAAGCTGTATCAGTGTGATTATTTGTGTTTAATATTAAAGGTTGATGTTTAACTGAAGGCAGAGAGATTAATAATTCCCCACAACTTGAGCTATATGCTTGTTTCAAAATTATTATCCATTCAGAAGCCAACCTACATTGAAGGGTCAGCAAGAAAGTTCATAGACTGAGCATTCATTACCAGGCTAAGAAAAAATATCTGCAGGCGTTTCTAACAGAGACACATGGCTGCCTCATAAGGAAAAATATAAATTTTATCAGAATGACAATAAATTTAGTTTACGCTTTTGTACATATTAGTGCTTTTACTAATATAACTGTTAACTATCTATAGGTCCTACTGTGAAATACATAAAATGTAAATGTGTTAGAAAATAACAAAAAAAAATCTTTTGCCTGCCTCCCCCATACAATTCTAAGTTTAAAAAAGCCTAGGCATTCTTACAGATATATTATGTTCACTGAAACATTTCAAGAAATTTTGAGTTCCTACCTTGTGGCAAGAGCTTTTGTCTCTGCTGGAGAATCAGCCTCAGTGAATCTTGATCTGAAGCAGCTGTTGAGGCTTCCAAACCCTGTCCTTGCTTTTATATACCCAGAGGAAACTATTTTATCCTATATCAAGCAACTCTCTCAAAACATTGCCTTTTCTTAGAAATTTGATTTTCTGATGTCTTGTGACTTGAGATATTTGAGTGGCAAACATAGAAATTTATTTCTGTAACACGATATTGCTAAAACTGTGGGCCATGTGATTGGATTGGCTATTAGAAACACATGTGATTATTTTGCTCTGTTGTTTCCTTACACCTTTCAAGAAAGCTCAGCTGACTTATACAAATTTAATCTGCTCCAGGTCTTTCTCTGTAACATGTAGAACAAAAATTTTTGAAGGATTATATCGTCTACATCATTTTTCTATTTTTGGGCCTAGACATTTATATTTCTAAAAACCTTTTCCATAGCCATTAGCAAGTTAGTCACTGTTCAAACAAATGTTCATGTCTTCACCACTCTGAGATAGTCAACCTGGAAGGTACTCTTGCATAAGTCTAAGATGAAATATATGCCTGACCTTGATCTATCCTCCTATCTGACACTCTGTTGATACTTCTCACTATATCTTTTGTTAGGCATCCACCTATAAAAGTTTCTTAGTCCCTCTTAACATGTGCCATAATGGCATCTCAATCTATAGTAACTACATAGCCTTAAAATTCAGTTAATTATGCCAGAAGTATAATATAATCAACTTCTCGGCTTTTCTCTTTTACATATACCAAATAGTATGTGAGTGCTCAATGTCTTCAATAACTTTAGTGTGGATTGCTTTTGTGAGTGACTCCTTTTCTTATGTCTTGAAGATTTCTCTTAGTAGTTTGTTTTGTTGTGGAGTTATTCCAGTTTGCTTTTTTCCTCTTGTTCTCAGTTAAGTTCCTTTGGTTCTTATTTGCCATTCCTGAACTAGGCAAAGCTAAACTGTTGCCCTCTTTTCTGGTATGATTATTATAAACAATAAGACGTGTGTGGATGTGTGTATATTATATCTCCTTTTACACCTAATGGTGGGTTCCCTAATATCCTAAGCATTCTTCTGTTTGAATACCTCTTATTTTCTGGTTTCAATCTATGGATCCTTCTTCATTTTTTCCCTTTCATATTACTACTGTTCTAATTCAGACTAGAAGACCAAAGCCTACTTTTAAAGGTGACCTCAAAACATACACCTGCTTTCTAAATTCATTTCAATCCTCCTTTAGTATTTGAGTACATTATTTCTAGTGGCAGAATGTTTCAAATGTAAGCCTATATTAAATGTATTTCTTTGCCTTTGGAAATTATTGGAAAATAGTTTCACTGAAATTTTTACTTTACCATATTCATGAGGTATCTATATTCAAAATATAAGCAAATGCAATATTTTCTGTATATCTTACCTTTTCTTTGGTAAAATAGATAATGTCACTATGAGTTGAACCCACAGTCAAGATACTAAACTCAACAACTATAATCAAGGCTTGTGAAGCAAACAGTTCAGGACTAACAAGTTTATATGATTCAGAGGTAACTTCAGAAGCCCATGAACAAGCCAATGAATCTCTGAAACTGTTTTCCAGTTTCCTCTTTCACTTGGTAGTTCAAAATGATAGAGAAAGAACACATTTTAAAAAATCATCTAAAGCAGCCTTCTAAAGCTGAAAACTAGCAATCTGAAGACCCAGGTCTCATGCATCAGTTAGGGTTTATGTAACTAAATATAATAAAATGCATATTGGCCAATAACTGTTAAGCAAGCATACACAGATTTATTCTCTCTCCCCTCCCTTTGTCTCTTCTCCATCTCCCTTTCCTCTCTTTTTTTTCACTATAGAGTTTATCTGCTTTTAGAGGAGCCAGGTCTTGATGACTCCATTTCCTCTGTCATCTAATTTCAGCATCTTTTCTACCTGCATCTGAGTTTACAAACGCTAACTAAAGATGTTTACATGATATTCCTGCTGGAGTCAAGTTTCATTACTCTGTTAAAATCTTTGGCCTTGGTATTTGGTAATTTTCTCTGGTAATATCAATCTTCAAGGTTGTTTTAAAAGTTTACTGTTCTGTTAAGCCCCTGTACACTAAAAGTTTGGTGTGCCAATAGCTTACTCTTCATCTCTATTGATTGTAAACAATAATACTTATACAAAAAGACAAACCTCAAGTAGAGACAAAAATTGGCTTTATATATAAACCATACAGTGCCCAACAGCCTCTCAAAACACAGAGATTTCTGGGAGAATGGGGTTTGTATCTACTGATTCCAGCAGCAATCTGAAAGCAGCCAGGCCTAAAGGCAAGGCTTGCCTGATTCGCCTATTTAGGGTAGGCTGGAGACACTGAATAGGAGAGAATAAAGATCTAGCCGGGCAGGTTCTGCAGGATAGCTGCCTGCATAGTGCCTAGAAGTCCTTAAAATTCTTGAAGCAGATGGTGAAAGAGAAAGTCAATCACTAGTGAGCCATTGCCTTTTACTTAGTCAATAGATGACAGGCTCTCAACAATCATATTAGCTAGGGCGTGACAAAGGGGCAAGATTAGAAGCACCTGGGGAGCTTTTAAAGATTCTTATGTCCAGAATTCTGGTGTACAGGATGTACTCAAGTCTAGTTAAATAAGAATTTCTGGAAGTGGGAGCCAGGCTTCCCAGATTAGTCCAACCTGGAGCAAAGTAAGGGAACAAATGAGCTACATGTTTTTACTCTACATACTCTCTTCATGGAAGATGACAGAAATCTCCTTTATGGAAAGTTAAAGATCGAGGAAAAGAACAAATTACTTGTCTCTGAATCTCATATTAATTTTATAGATGGAAATAATAATACTTTACTTCTGAGTGATTTTTAAAAAATCAAATGGTATGATGCAATAAAACATCTTGTACATAATTATTCAGTATTTTTCTTTGTCAGAAGAAGGTAGTATATTAATCATTATTTAAATATAAAAGTAAAGCATTACCGTAATGAATTCCTGGAATTTTGTGTTGCAATAGCATCCATTCTGAGTCTAGGTTTAACTTTCTTAAACGAGAAGCTGGGCTTAGTAACCTTTGAACATAGTTTCTAGGTTCTCTGCTTCCTTCTAGTTCCTCAGTGTAGTTGATCCAGTTATCTGCCTTATATAATCACCTCCTAGTGACCACCTCCCTAGGGGACTGCTAGATACAACCGACTTCATTTACCCACTGACCCCCACAACTCACATAAGCCATGCAAATATGCTGTAGCAACTACCTCTCAGTCACATTGTGACCCACCTCCCTGCCCTCTGCCATGGAACTCAACCCACCGATTAGAATTCACCAAGAGAACCCTGCTTGGGTAATGCCCTGGTCCCCAGTAAAGTCTTTGGTCCCTTGGTCTCTCCCTTGACCCCCTCCTGTTGGTTGAAGATGCATGTTCTGCATGGCTCCCCACTTCCCGTTGGCCCTGCAAGGTGTGCCGCCCTCTTCTCTCTGTGATCTGTGAGTGATCCACTGCTTCTGTTATTTCATGTGTTTTGTTTAGTTGCCTCATCGGATTCTCACCTGACTGGCACATCTGAACCTAAATACCTAACTTCTTTCCTGGTCAGGGCTCTCCTAGACAGTGGCTGTCTTGGCAGGCATAAACTGAACCTGGGTCAGACCAGAGCTACAAGGGCATTTGCCAGTATAAATAAGTTTCCTGTGAAAGGGACACCTGGTCACAGGTTGGGCCATTAGGCATTAGGGCTGCCCATGAACATAAAGAAGTATCCCCTGAATGGCACATTGTAAACATCCATGACCAAATCCCCTGGAGCTCTGTTAGGAAAGGGCTAGAGTTTACAGCCACTTCCCTCTAGACAAAATTAGAGGAAAATACGACTGCCCATTAATGCATCCTCATTCAGCTATCAGTAAACGTCTATCTCCACACCTTTTGAATTCTCACTATGTGTTTCATCAGAACCAGATGGTGTAATCTAAACTGTTGCTCTATATGTCTTAGGATTTATTGGCATATCTGTTTCCAACTGTATCATCAATGATATACTTCATGTAATTATACATTCAAAGAAAACAGGAAAAGTAATGCAAGTGATAAAGGCATAGTATCAATGAGATTTGGAAACATTTTTCTTCAGTAGTGTTCATTGCATTCTCTGATTTAAAGTAGAATTTTAAAAGTGCATTCCAAGTTATAGATAAAAAGCAATAACATTCTCTCTAGAAATTCAAACTGTCAGTCATACTGTGTACATTCTCATTGGTTAATTTAATTTGTTAGCTGTATTTGGGAACTGCTTTGAAGAAATGAGAAATCTTTGATGTAAACTTTTCCTTCTCTTGTGTTCCCCAGTTCCAGATAAAATGGAGTAGTCACTGAGATCTGCAAACAATCTGAGCAAAACGATCTTAAGTCCTTTGGAAAATATCAAGGCCAAAATTAACAAAAAGGTGCATCTGAGTATTTTTGAATTATAATTAAATATAAATCATTTAAATATAAAGATTTTCATTTATGAGAATAGTATCAAGGCACAATTGAACGCTTAACAACTTATTTCCAGTCAAATCACTCAAAGTCTGTTAAATATTGTAGTCATGATTGAAAAAAATTACACAATTTTATACGTATTTTGTCATTTTCATTTTCCTTAAAAAAATCATACTTAATGTAAGTATGTGCATAAAAAGCATCAAACTTTGCAATGTCTATATCTAATAAATCTTGCATATTGACATTCTGGGGCTGAAAAATTGCCCCCAGGCTACTCTTACTCCACATATATTATCTCATGGCAACCTTAGATGAGAAGTAAATGCAACCCCGCTATCTATTTTTCATCTTTTATAAACCGAATTTTAAAAAGCTACGTGGATCTCATATACAGTATGCAGGGATTCTATCCCAATACACACCCACCAGAGGGCTGTCACCTCTAGCTCTTGCACCCCAGACACTTCTCATACATATAGTGCCTTCTTTTTCACTGAGTCAGGTCAGAATCAGGCTACAGTGTACCAGGACACAGTTAGGTGTTATCCTTGAACTAGATGAAGTAATCTTTCACATTTATGTGCTTTATAGTTAAAACTCATACTATCTCTTTTAATTCCACAACAAGTATATACAGTTCGTTCATTCATTCAAGTTTCAACATTTTGTCAAGCACTGCCCTTGGGGTGCTGGGATTATGAACATGAACAATATGGTCTCTCTTTTAAGGAATTTACAATAAACTTTGCAGGGAGAGTGTATTAGTTTCCTATTACTGTGTAAAAAAAACTACAAATTTAGCAAATTGAAACAACACTTATTTGTGAGCACACAGTTTTGTAGATTAGAAATCTGGACAAGGTTTAATTGGGTTCTCTGCTTAGGATGTCACAATGCTAATATCAAGGTGTTGGCCAGGCTAGTCTCTTATCTGGCGGCTCTAGGGAGAAATCTGCTTAGAAGATTGTTCAAGTTGTTAGCAGAAGTGCATTCCTTAAGGCTATAGGATTGAGATCCTTATTTTCTTGCTGGCTGTCAGCCTGGGATAATTTCTTCTACTGGGGATTTCTCATCTCTAGTGTCTGTTCTCAGGCTCTGGAAATTAGGTGATTCTTTAACCCTTCTCTGCTAAATTCTGTTCACCCAGATGGCAGACCGAACTCAAAAAAATACAAGCATCTCTCCCCACAATTACATTTCTCAAATCTTTTTGTAATATTCAGCAGCCAGAACCATTGAAACTCTTAATGAAGATATTTTAAAGTTATTTATTTTGTTTTAAAATTATTTTTGAAAATGTGTATCTTGCTCAGGCACGTTGTTTTAGATTGTCTTACATAGTATCTTCATGTAAACACACAATAACCAGTCACAATTTCCAATTTAACATCATGCAGATTATTGTAGTAGTAAGATTCTCTTTTAGGTGGCAAAATAGACAAGGTAATCAGCAATAGGTTCAAGGGCTACAGAAATGTCAAGAAAGATATGGAATAGGAAAGAAATAAGTCATTGGTTATATCTTAGATTCAGATAGTGTTTTCAGTTGCGCAGTGGGAACAAAAGCTAGATTGCAGGGGGTTGATTAGGAAAATAATATAGAAAAAAAAAAAAAGGCCGGTCACAATGGTTTACGTCTGTAATCCCAGCACTTTGGGAGGCTGAGGTGGGTGGATCGCCTCAGGTCAAGAGTTTGAGACCAGCCTGGCCAACATGGCAAAACCCTGTCTCTACTAAAAGTAGAAAAATTAGCCAGGCGTGATGGCACAAGCCTGTAATCCCAGCTACTGGGGAGGCTGAGGCAGGCGAATCGCTTAAACCCAGGAGGTGAAGGTTGCAGTAAGCTGAGTTTGTGCCACTGCACTCTTGCCTGAGTGACACAGCAAGACAGACTCCGTCTCAAAACAAACAAACAACAACAACAACAAAAACAACACAAAACAAAAAAATGAATGTAGATGACTTTCTCCCTAGGGTGGCTTGTGAAGTCCTAATTTCACATCCTTTTGAACACAATAGATATGCCCGCAGGCTCTGGAGACGATTCTGGGCTCAGTGGTTTCACTATTCCTCTTGTTCATCTATTCATTGCCATAACCCATTATATTGGGATTTGCAAATGGACATTCTAGCTTTTGTCACAAATATGCAGGCTGTTGTTGTGTACAAAGGGAGTCAATATTTGTCTTCTTCCTAACCTCATACCACTCCATTAAAGAACCGGAAATAAATAAATCAGCCATACCAGAGAGCCAGCCATTCTATCCTAAGTGTTCTTTGTAAAGCACTTTTGAAAACTAGAATTTCATTATGTAAGCATTACAAATTGGCAGGGGGACGTGGGGGAAGGAGAAAAGAGAGCATGGCCCTGGTAACTGATGTGAAGGGGACCTAAAATCCTGATCATGAGAACTCTGAAAACAGTCGAAGCAGAAGAGGACTGCCACACTAAGAAAGTGACCCAGTGGAACAGAGAATGGATCCAAGGTCAGGCTGTCTCTTTTGGTAACAATGATGTAGAGCATCTCTCTCCTAGAGTCATGCTGTCCTTCAGGATGTTTTAAGCATAAAACACACATGCACATGGTAGAATTAAATGGTTTGGAGTTATGGCTATTATCCCAGTTTTCTTTAACATTAGCTGCATCTTTCCAATGCAGCAACATGTTATTTCAGCCAATGAATTTCTGACATAAACTGTAAAAGAATGACCTTAGGCCCTTCCAGGTTACTGATGCTGTTAGATATTATCCTTCATCTTTTTTAACATCAGGTATATTCTAAGGCCTTTAGAGTTAGAAGAATGTCAGAGAGAAAATATTAATGGGACTTTAGTGCCAACCACTTACACAGTGTTTTAGTTTTCTATCGTTTCTTTCCTTTTTCCTCACTCTCCAACTTCCCTGGAAGCTCACAAGGAGTAAAAGCATGTCCTCTAATGTATTTCACTAAAACGTTTATAAAAAATACTTTTGCAAATCGAGGGAGAGATTTTTTTTTTTCAAGTGACAGAAACATAGGCCACAAGAAGTTCTGGGGAAAGAGGAGCTAGTTTGGTTTGGGGCTTAAATTTTACTATCCCATCCAAAATAGCGGAGTTTGACATGCTATTTCCCAGATTACAAGATTTAAATTATTGCTTTGCCTCACATCATCAGTACTTGCCCTGAAAGTTCTTCCCAAATAAGTACTCCCTCAGCTCATAAACTTTTATATTGTGTTTTCCACTGTGCATTGCCCCTTCAATCAAAACTGCTCTTTATGGTTTAAAGTTTGGGAATCAGATGATCCCATTCAGTTGTGTTTCTCATAGGCACTGATGTTTGAAGGAAACCATTAACCTGTTTGTGGAAGGAAATTTCAAACCCATAAGGAGGTGGGGAAATTAAGTCATTTACACATCCCTTTATCCCCTCTCCTGTTTCAAGGAAACCTACCCCAATCTTGCCTGACTACTAATTTGTAAGAAAGATTCTAGAATCCTGAATGATGTTATCTGAAGCTCTGTTTTTGAATACAGAGAGATCATAAATAACATGTTGTATTTGTGAAGCTTAATAACTCACATATATACGCTTATATATGTCTATGCTATATACATTTGTGCTACCCCCCTCCTGCCTGCCCACACACATGCTTTTGATTGTGGCTGGCTATTCTTTTCTTCCTTCAGTAAAAAAAATGCCAAATTTTGGGTAACCCAGAATGAAGACTGCACTTTCTAGCCTCCCAACAAGGTATGCCTGTTTGACTAGAAGAAAATACATAAGAATTTTATTTTTATAATTGCAGAGTGTGGCTGCCTTCCTAATATGATACAAAAATAAAAATTCATAGAAGAAAATACTGACAATATAGGAGAAAAGACTATGTCAATATGACAAATAACAACCCAAGAAAATTGTTTGTCAATCATGTGAACCAACAGACCATTTTTCTTAATATCAGCAATCTCAACATGTCAATGAAAAAATGTCCAATAACTCAATATGTAAGTGAAATAAACAGAAAATTCACAGGAAAGGAAATATTAACAATGAGTCTTAAACCTAAGAGAAAAAAGCCAAATCCCCTTTGCTTATAATAGAACCACAAATTTTAAAAGATTGGCAAAGGTAAAAGGACTTTGATATGCTTTGTCAAGGGTTTGAAGAAGTTTTCTCTCAAAATTGCTGATGAAATATAAAATGGTAGCACTTCTATGGATACCATTTTCAACATATATTGATAATATTAATGTTTATCTGCTTTTTACCCAATAAATACATTTTATGCCAATGTGATTTCATTGCTGCAAAAATTTGTGCATACCAGAAATTTCTGTAATAGAAAGCGTTTAGAAATCCCATTATGAAGTGAATGATTAACAGATTATAGTATATGGTTAACAGATGATTAACACATGCATTCAATGTAGTACTAGACAGTATTAATAATTAAAAATATATAATTATTTCCAATACATATTGTTAATTGAAAAAAGTCAAGTTATAGAATAAATGTATATTGTGCTATCAGCTCTTAAAAATGAATGTAAAATTAACTACATAAGAAATGACAATTTTTGACTTTAGGAAGGTTATTAGTAAGGCTGAGCCATAGTAATAGTAGGGTAATTGCTTTTAGCTATATTCTTTTGTTCTTTTTAAAAAATTGGCCATGAATCTATAGTAACTATTCATCAGCCTTTTAATTCAAGATTTTTCTTCCAGGTTAGTGCTACTCTCCTCCTGACTGACTATCAATCTGGATTGTCCCTTTGTGCTTCAGTCACCTGAATGTTCATTTAGATTACTAATGCATCAGAGAAAGAGAAAGTGAACTGGCATTCCTTAAGCACAGCATTATTTATTAAACTGAAGTGCTTTGCAAAATGTTCTTGTGCACATTTAATCTTCATAACAGATAAGAAAACATGGAAACTGGGAGCTAGAAAAGAGTTGCTATTTCTTGAATGCCTACAATGCTCTTGGCACTTTACATACATTCTATTTTTTCATTTCTCATTGGAGTCCTCTTATTAACCATACTTTTAAAATGACATATGTTAAGTACAACCTTATGAAAAATCTTGCCCAAAGTTAGCCAACTGAAATAAGTCAGTACTGTAATTCCAACCCGGTTTATTTATTAATAGAAACACACATCAAAAAGTTTAGCAATAACAATAACAATAAACAACAAACACAACAAAACAACAGACAACAAAACAACATCAGTCTTGGTACATGCCATTGTTGGCTTCAGCTTCTATCTCTGATAATTGCCCTCAAAGGGTACAGAGTTACCTTTGTCACTTCCACGCAATTTTTAATGCACTGTCCAAATCTTTGCTTTAGAAATCAGAAGAAAATGTGATATATTTTTAAAAGAATGAACTTAATCCCTGTGAATTCCTTTTAGTTAGACCTTACTATTTTACATTTGGAGCGATATTACCATTTTATCTCAGACATCATCCATTTCCACCTTCACTTTTTAAAGATCATGTCTTTCTAGGTTTTTGGTGGGAAAATATGGATATTTTATGATCATTCTTGAGTCAGTACCACACTTCATGTATGTCTCTGATGCCTGATAACAATGTGGGATTTCTGCATAGCTATCTGCCTCCCATTGTGCTGATACCTCTGCATAAATGACTAGAGACGGTGACTTTGGAGCAATTCATATTATTTTATTTCCTGTCCCTTTGTTCTCTGCAGTACCACCACTGAGCCTTTACTTAATCTCTTTGTCTAAAATAGGAATAATAAGTAAACTGACTAATGTGGCTTTGTATTAACAAATGAGACAATAGAGTGCCTAGTACAGCACCTGGTTCATAGTCAATGCTCAACAAAAGTAATTATTATTAGTAATATATCACTTTTGATTAAATTTCGAATAGAAAAAAGACATATAAGTATAACAGTAATTTCTTTAAAAGTTAAACTTTCTAATATTGAATTACTTTGACCACCCAGTTCCTAAAAATTTTTCCCTGGCCAAATGTTATTGTGGTTTATTAATGGGCTCAAGGTCTATGCTATATTGCTAACTTCTTTATTACTTACCAGTTCAGTTAAGTCTTTCATGCTTTTTTTCTATCTCCAAGACTCTTTCAATTTCAAATAAAGAAAAATTTGATTATATCTTTTTCCATGTCTCTAAGCACTCTGTTCTTAAGAACTAATATTACGTGTATGTCTGCATACATAATGGGCCTGTATGTGTGCAGTTTTTATCCAGCTCCTCATCCTTTTATTATCCAATTTTTTTTTACAAAATTATTATTATTTTGTATAAACTCTGGACAAGAAACTTAAACATATAGCCACTGTTATCTTACCCTTACAAAAGGCATCTGGATTTCTGCTTGAATTAAGAAAATTTCCTAGGAGCATGAAGGTGCTAGACTCCTTTTCTAGAAAGGGTGAAATGTGTCAAGGTGTGGATAAAGGACATCTGCAATATGTTCTTAGTAAGAATATGAACACAGTTATCCATGGGGAAGCACTGAAATGCTCATCTAGTGGCCTTCATATTTTTTTAAAGGACAAAAGTCTAAGAGCCAAATATGAAAATATTGTCTCTCAGTAGAAAAAAAATAGTAATTAGTCAGATAAAGTCTATCTAACAAAAGGTGTTTTACAGTGAATTTAAATATTCCAAAAAAATCACTCAAAATTAGAATTATTTTTATGTGTTTTGATAATTTTTAAAATAAAAATTTTCATTATTATACAACTCCGACATGAAGAAACCTGGAGATCTCATGAAAGTCAATTAAACACGAAAGACAAATTAAATTTCTATTCAGCTTTTCCTGCTACTTTAAAAAAGCAATGGAAAATGAGAAGAATAATTTTACCTAGATAGTATGCAGAGTAGGTAATGATCTTGAGACACAGCTAAACCGTGAACCATCACCCACTGGTGAAAGACCTGCTGACTTGTCCTGACTGTGAATCTCTATGAAGCTGGTGGTAAAATTCTCTGAAGAATCATTACTTAAATATTTTACATATATGCTATTTTTCAAATTATTAAAACCCATTTAGAATAAAAATATAGTGAACTGCAAAATATGTACTTTTGTTCTTTCATATTTCATATTCCAGTTTTTACTATAATTTCAATATAAAAACCCATGGCTTCCTTCTATATCTGATTAGTAATCCAAGACAAGTCCGAAGGAATTGTCAAGTGTACTAAAAGGTATACATTCTAAAGAGTTTTAAAATTGTTTTAGTAGATTTTTAGTTTTAATTCACATTCTACTCTCTAAAATGTAAATGTTAACCTCAGAAATAACAAAGTTATATATACATACATATATTCCTGCTAATCAGACAGTGAATCTGTGAGTGTAATTTTATGTAAAATGTTGGCATTTTTAGGTTTGATACAATTCTATTGGCCAGAGCTTGCTTTTCTCATTGATACATGCCGAAACTCTCAGTGTGTAACCTTTCTTCACCCCTTGTTCCCTGTCCCATTTTGATATTCAAAGTGAACATTAATAGTCTGAATATCCTGCTTTGGATGAACTTTCAAAGAGCATTTCTTACTTCTATATGCAGTGGTGACTTACATCAAGTTTCTGGTGTCCTGGTTGCCATCTTCTGCTCCTATTCTCCAGCACATTCCTAGAATTGAGACCAGAGACATGAGAATATGAGCCAATGTGTCTGGCATCTTTATGTCCCTTCATATAGAGGCATACTATATGCTAGGCATAAGCAGACTTATCAAATGGTAAGGTTATCATTGTTTTCTACCAAGGCTTTTTAGGAAAAAGAAGTTCTGTTTGGTGAGGCATTAATTTAAAAAATTCAACACCTCGCTCAGACCCAAAGTGTTATAAGAGTATATGCTTCATAAGAAAGAAAATATTATTTTCACCATACATTGGATATGACACTTTATATAAATTAAAATAACATCAGCAAGATTCATCTCATTAAACATTTAAGCATTCAATATTTAGTCATTAGAGTAATCGTTTATTGGTTGGCAAATACATTTCTATGGGTCATCTTATGATTAAACTTCAGTTTATATTCCCTTCCCTGAGTTCAATTGGAACCCAGAAAATAGAGCTGCCAGAAATATCTATATTATGTTATTATTTATAATACATGTAATGATCCATATCTGCAATGTCATTTTAAAAATGTCATCATCATACCATCACTTTTGGTAACTAGTACATAGACTATGTTTGTAGATATCAGTGAACTGCATGCCAAAATCAGTATATTTTGAAGGAGGGAACATTATTTGTTTAACATTTTACTGCATTTGCACTTATCAGGGTCCTTGTGCAATCATGGAGTAGGACATCAGCACACATAATTTCAGCCTGAAGAAATCACTTGTTGGATTTTCATATTATCTAAACAGTTATAGGGCAAGATTATATCAGTGCATGAATTTTTGGAAATGGCTTATTTCACAAAGGGTCTCTGATATTTATGCATTCATAAATTATAAAAGAAGACAATATTTTTTTCTTAATGGATTACATGTGTAACTATAAATAGAGAAAGAATTCTAGTTTTGGTTACACAGTGTTTAACAACTTCATTACTAGTGAGAAAAACCAAGGACTAAGTATTCAGTGGGGTGGGTACTCATTTCACATATTTTATAATAATTCAATACTAATGTTGGTAGGAGGTCAAGATTTATTGATTCAAAACATCAATATAAGGAATTATAATATGTCATAGCACTTTCTAAGAATCTGAATATACAGACTATTTTTGGCAGTTGAATTTGGCTCACTTAAATTTTCTTTCAGTATATGAATAGGAATCACTGAACAAATATTTGTTATTTAAAAGGAGAGTTTTCCATTATTAGATTAAATTTTAATTTCTAAAAAGGTAATGGCAATGTTAGTATAGAGGTGGCATAAGAGAGGGATGTTCAAAAGCAGACCTAGTTCTAGAAGGTGACTGAAAAGAGTCTAACCTAGTCCAAAACCATTTATTATCAAACATACTTGATGGCCTCTCTACCACACATATGTAGAAAGGTGATATTTAGGACATATTAGAACATATATACACATATATATGTATACTTTCCCATAATTAGAGTTGACACTTGATAAAAAACAAGTCTAATGAAGTTTAAATCACACCAAGTTTAAAATAAATGGTAAATCTAATTTGTGTAACTCTAACAGTTGTCTCAAGTTACAAAGTTTTGAACTGCATACTTTAAAGAATTGTTTTTATTAACATTATTTTTCTCTCTTGAGCCATAGGAAATTGTATATTCTTCTTGAAATACTGTGGTACAGTGCTAATATCAATAGTTAGGCAGAGCTCTATATACTTTAAGGATTGGTTGATATCCACAAAACTAAGTGACTTAATAGAAAGCCATCATATCTCTGTTGCAGAAATGTTTCACGGTCAGAACAATATTATTTTTAGCAAGTGATTTCAGATATGCTCCAAATACACAGAGATATGAGTAATCCAAGCCCCAAATTCTAATTCCTAAACATACTTTATTTAAACAGCTCTCACTAAAAACCCATGGTAGCAATTAGACATTAAAGAATCTCATTAACAGTTTTAAAAACAAACTCAGGTACATTATTATATGTCAGCATTTTTGCTTATCTTGGGTAAATAATAGGGAATGTGTTAGCTGGGTCTTATGGTAAGTTTATATTTAACTTTATAAGAAGCTACCAAACTGTTTACCAAAATGACCATACTATTTGCATTCCCATTTGCAATACATGTGAGTTCCACGTGTTTGTCAACACTACTTTAGCTGCCTCCCATAAATTCTAATGTATGTTTTAATTTCATTAAATTAAAAATATATTCTATTTTTGTGCCAGGCATGGTGGCCTCTGCCTGTAATTCCAGCACTTTGGGAGGCCGAGGTGGGCAGATTGCCCGAGCTCAGGAGTTCAAGAGCAGCCTGGCCAACACGGTAAAACCCAATATCCAATAAAAACAAAAATTATTTGTGTGTGGTGGGGCGTGCCTGTAGTCCTGGCTACTCTGGAGGCTGAGGTAGATTGATTGGTTGAGCCTGGGAGCCAGAGGCTGCAGTAAGCTAAGACTGCCCCACTGCACTCCAACCTGGATGATAGAGTGAGACTCTCTCTCAAAAAAAAAAAAATCTATCTATCTATCTATCTATCTATCTATCTATCTATCATCTATCTATCTATCTATCTATCATCTATCTATCTATCTATCTATCTATATCTATGTGTGTGTTTGTGTGTAGTAATTCTATTTTCTTGTGTTTTCTATTTTTTCTTATAAATTATTTAAAAGTCTACTGTTTGATTTTCAAATATGTGAGGGTTTTCCAAATGTTGTTTTGGTATTGGCTTTTGATTTAACAGCTATATTGGCTGAGAACATACTTTGCATCATTAAATTCTTTTTGATTTGTTAAATTTTGTTGTATGGGCCAGATATGGTTTAGTTTGGTGACTATTTCATTCGTTCTTGGAAAGACTGTATATTCCCTTGTTTGGTGAATGGTATGTAAATATTAGGTAGGTTGTGTTTCTTGATAATGTTTAAGTCTTCCATATGCTCATTGATTTTCTGTCCATTTATCAATCACCAGAGAAATGTTATCTAAAATTATGAATTTTTTCTAATTAGTTTTATTAGTTTTTGCTTCATATGCTTTGATGCTGTGTTAAAGTCCATGCACACTTAGAAGTGTCATGTCTTTTTAACAAATGACCTCTCTTTTTATGTAATATTTCTCTGTCTCAGATAATATTGCTTTGAAGTCCACTTTGATAATAATACAGCTGTTCTCATATGTGTTGGGTTAGTGTTAACAATTTATAGCTTTTTAAAATCCTTCTACTCTTACCACATACATATTTTGATATTTAAATGTTTCATAAAGTACATAATTAGGTTTTACTTTTTTTAATCCAATATTAAAAACTCTGTCTTTTAATAGGTATACTTAGACTTTTTTCTTGGTATAATTATTGATGGTTTGCTTAAAATGTACCATCTTGCCAGTTGTTTTCTACTTATTCAATTTCTCCTTTGACTTTTTTCTTTTTCCTTTTTGAAACTAGTTGAATATTATCATTCTATTTTACTTTCACTATTGGCTTTTTATTTGTGCCTCATTTAAAAAAAATAGTGGTTTCCAGGCCGGGCGCAGTGGTTCACACCTGTAATCCCAGCACTTTGGGAGGCTGAGGCGGGTGGATTACCTGAGGTCAGGAGTTTGAGACCAGCCTGGCCAAAAAGGTGAAACCCCGTCTCTACTAAAAATACAAAAATTAGCCTGGCATGGTGGCAGGTGCCTCTAATCTCAGCTACTTGGGAGATTGAGACAGGAGAATCGCTAGAACCTGGGTAGTGGAGGTTGCAGTTAGCCAAGATCTCACCATAGCACTCCAGCCTAGGGGACAAGAGCGAGACTTCATCACACGCACACACACACAAACAAAAAGAAAATTGGTTTCCCAGAGTTTAAAATATACATCTTTAATCTTTAGTAGAACTAAAACAATAATTTTCCTAAAAAGAAAAATTAATAGACAATGTGAAACTTCTTTACAAAGCATTTGTTTAGGCCAGAAAAATTGAAAGTGGTAATGGGACAGTGTCAATGCCTGAGCCTAACATAGTAGATGCTCCTCTCATAATTTATAATTGTATTGAGATTCAGAAGTAAACCTGGCCCAAATGATGTAGTCTGGCATTCCTTTCCTGACTACTCTACATGTCATCTGACTTTTTATACATAAGACTTGGCTTGAAAGAGAGCAATTCAGTTGTCATAAGTTCTGCTATGACCCATGTTCACCTAGACATTAACTTCTTTACCTGGCTGTGCCCTAAGCATAAACTTGGGATCTGGAAACATTAGAATACTTTTGCTGATCTGTTTGTATTGTGTAACCTGATTTTGCTTTCTGCTCTATTAGATTACTGTGAATATTGAATTATTGGCTCCAATATTTGGTTCTTTTACCTACTCTCACCCCTCAGATCCATTCAAATCCTATGGAATCTGCAGCTCCTCTTGTTAGTGATGGAGTGTAATTTCTTATCTTTTGACTTTGGGGTTGGCCCTGTGACTTGCTGTGTCCAATGAATGCTAACAGATGGGATACAAGTAGAAAGTTGAAACACATCTTTTATGCTTCTTCCATCACCACAAGAACCCGCTATAGCTGGCCCACTAGCCCAAGAAAGATAAGAGATGTGAGTGAGGAGCAGACTGGTACTCAACCTGAAGGTTAGAGCCAAGACACCCTAAATCAACCTAGATCAGCAAACTCCTAGCTGACCTCAGACATGTGAGTAAGAATCAATAATCATTTTAAGCCACTGAATTTTGAGATGATTTTATATAGCATTATTGTGACATTGGCTAACCAATACAGCAACTGATATCTGCAGTTGTAGTGCTGCCCTAACTAAAACCTAAAATATGTTGAATTTGTTTTGGGACTAGGTGGTGAGGAAGAGTAAATTTTTTTAAGGAGGCTAGAAAAATATGGCTCATGCTATGTAATGGCTACATATTTTGGTGTGACTCATTTGTGGTAGTCCAGAAGGCAAATAATTTTACCTAGCGAACTCCTAGAATTACAGAAGATTTCAAGAAAAAATATTAGAAGTGTAGGCTTGTAATTACTAGCTGCATTTGACAGGATATATTAAAAAAAAGAAATAAGCTCAGAAGTAAGCTTAGGTTGTAATGAATATTGAGAAAGCTCATAGAAAGCCAAGAAATTTTAGAACAAAATAATTTTTTCCAATAAAAAATGTGGCCATTAAAACACAACCTTAGTAAACAGGTTAAATCCAGGGTGTCACCAAGAAAGTCTCAGTGTGAAGATCAAATCAAGGGTGTGACTGTCATGCATTTTTAAAAGACCTCTCAAAGGATTACGATGGCACTCAAATGAGCATTTCACCCGAAGCTCTAGGTAATTAGAAAGATTGTGGACATGGTCTCACAGAAGTATAAGGTGCTCAATATATATAAAATTACCTTTAGAGAAAGATGCTTTTCTAGAAAATAAGTGATTTTAGTAATTTGCAGTTGATTGAAGTAAATCACATGGAGAAGCAAGAACATTTTTAAGTGTACCGTATTAGCAAATATGCTGTAGACTTTATAACCACTGTACACTTAGGCTACACTGAATTTATAAAAATATTTTTTCTTTCTTCAATAATAAATTAACCTTGGTTCACTGTAACTTCTGACTTTACAAACTTTTTTTTTAAGTTTTTGACTCTTGTAATAACACTCATCTTAAAACACAAACACATTGTCCAGCTGTACAAAAATATTTCATTTTTTATGTTTTTTTTTTAAGACAGGGACTTGCTCTGTTGCCAGGATGGAATGCAGTGGTATGATCATAGAACACTGCAAGATCCTGCCGTCTCAGCCTCCTGAGTAAATAGGGCTACAGGTGTATGCCACGATGCCTGTAATTTTTTAAATATTTTTTTCTTTTTGTAGAGGTGGAGGTCTCCTATGTTGCCTAGGCTGGTCTTGGACTCCTGGCCCCAAGTAATCCTCCAGACTCAGCCTCTCAAAACACTAGGATTACAGGCATGAGCCACTGAGCCTGGCCAACTTTTTTTCTATTTTTAACATTTTTTGAACATTTTTTCTTAAAAACTAAGATACATATGCCACATTGTCTTAATCCAGTCTATCATTGTTGGACATTTGGCTTGGTTCTAAGTCTTTGCTATTGTGAATAGTACCACAATAAACATACTTGTGCATGTGTCTTTATAGCAGCATGATTTATAATCCTTTGGGTATATACCCAGTAATGGGATTGCTAGGTCAAATGGTATTTCTAGTTCTAGATCCCTGAGGAATCGCCACACTAACTTCCACAATGGTTGAACTAGTTTACAGTCCCACCAACAGTGTAAAAGTGTTCCTATTTCTCCACATCCTCTCCAGCACCTGTCCTTTGTAGGGACATGGATGAAGCTGGAAACCATCATTCTTAGCAAACTACTGCGAGGACAAAAAACCAAACACTGCATGTTCTCACTCATAGGTGGGAATTGAACAATGAGAACACATGGACACAGGAAGGGGAATATCACACACTGGGGCCTGTTGTGGGGTGTGGGGAGGCGGGGGGATAGCATTAGGAGATATACCTAATGTTAAATGACGAGTTAATGGGTGCAGCACACCAACATGGCACATGTATACATATGTAACTAACCTGCACGTTGTGCACATGTACCCTAAAACTTAAAGTATAATAATAATAATAATAATAATAATAATAATAATAATAAAACTAAGATACAAGTACATAAATTAGCCCAGGCCTACACAGGGTCAAGATTATCAATATCCTGTCTTCCACCCCACTTCTTGTATTACTGGAAGGTCATCAGGGAAAATAACACTCATGGGGCTGTCATCATCTTTGATAACAATGCCTTCTTCTGGAATACCTCCTATAGGGCCTGCCTGAGGCTATTTTATAGTTAACATTTTTTTAAAAAGTAGAAGGAGTACACTTTAAAATAATGATAGAATATACAGTAGAGTAAATACATAAACCAGTAACATAGTCATATGTTATCATTATCAAGTATTATGTATTATATTAAGTATTATGTATAATACTATGTGTTACACTTTCATACAATTGGCAGCACAGCAGGTTTGTTTATACTAGCATGACCACAAAAGTATGAGTAATGAGTTGTGCTAAGCCATTGCAATGACTACGGCTAAAATATCACTAGGTGATAGGAAATTTTCAGCTACATTATAATCTTATGGGACCACCATCATAAATGCAGTCTCTCATTGACCTAAACATTGCTATGAATTCCATGATGTGGTATGAATTTAAATTGTGTATCAGCTTTTGGATAGTGATCCCATTTGGATTAGGAAAGAAAGTTAAAGGGTTAAGGTGTGGTTTTAATTCTGTAACAGTTTACTCAGTTTTACCAGAAAGAATCAACACAGATAGGTTAGTATTTATTTATTATCTGTGGTAAGCACACAGAAATTGCTTATAATTTTTCTATAACTTTCTGTATATTTGCTATATTTCATAGATAAAATTGCAAATTCAAGCAAAAGAAAAATGTAGTCCTGTTTAAGATAAAATCCTTTAAATCATCAGAAGCCAATTTATGTATAATAACAATTACTGAACATGCAAATAGAGGGTACTTCAATATGAATACCCAAAGTGACAAAAATTAATTTTATTCATATGAGGATAATTTTTAAATATTCTATTTCCAAACCATCTAGCATCTAGAAAAAATATTGGACTTGGAGCCAGAAGACTGGGCAAAGACATTAGCTCTATCATTTATTAAGCACGGGAATTTTAATTCACTTCTATAAGACTACCTTGGTTTTCTCACCAGTCAAATGAGGAAATGAATTATAATTTTGAAGATCCTTTTAGGCCTACTGAATAGATCAAGTAATTAAATAACTATCTAGCCTGTGTTGTTATTGTCTGTTTTCCACAGAAATAAAATATACAGCTGAAGGCAAATAACAAATATATCCAATATATATTAGTTTTAAGTCTCTTCAGATTTACTTAGGCTCCCAATTAATAAGACTATAAAAACACAGAGTAAAAGAATACAGAATCTGGAGACAGGCAAGTTTGGGATAAAACCCCACTTCCCAATTTGCCCACTTCCTACTTTTGTTTTTTTTATGACTAAGCATTTTTTCTTTACTCTTGTATATGGTAGTGATATCAAACTTGTTAGGCTTGTGGTAAGAATTTAAGATACTACATGTAACATACCTGTCATCATTAGCCTTGTTTTGTTGTAAATTATCATCTTCAAATAGGGTGATGCTTTAGGGAAATCCATTTATCATTAACTGTATTTTCACCAAGTTACTTAATTTTGCTAGACAGTTCCTCTAAATGTCCAGTTTAGGCTCCTGTAGTGATTGAACTTAACAAAGCTTTTTCAGACACCTAGAATATATCTAATGCTATGTGCTAAGCAAAGATACAAAAGTAAGCCCTATACAATACCGTAAAAGTATGCTCCAGTCTTGAACCTTCTAAAAATTAATCAGGACTAGAAGCAGCTAGTGTGCATGGCTCTCATGAAGAGGAATGGAAGGGGTGAGTAAATATAGCACCTTCAACTGAAACATCCAGCTACTCACATTGAGCCTAATAAAGGAAACAACCCATGGAGAATGGAGAAAAGCAAGGTAGGATGATGACCCACCTGGGAATGACATGTCGCCAAGGGAACTTCCCCCACCCAGGGAAGTGGTGAGTGAATGTTTAACCCCAGGAACCCATGCCTCTCCCTCGGATCTTTGCAACCCTCAGGTCAGGAGGCCTCCTCATGAACCCACTCCACCGGTCTGACAAACAAAATTACTTAGAGTCTCGTCAGAGCAGCTGGTCAGGTGTGCACAGAAACCCAGGAGCCTTAGATACTCAAGTTCTCTGGGTTTCTCAGCAAAAGTAGCTGCAACTCTGGCAAAGTGGGAGGTTAGACCATTATACATACCCCTAGGAAAGAGGCTGAATCTAGGGGGCTGAGCAGTGATAATCTGTAGGCCTCACTTCCACAACACCTCACAGAATAAGACCCACTAGCTTGGAATTTCAGCCAGCCACTGGTAGCAATGTTGCACCCCACTGGATGGAGCTCCTGGAGTGAGGGGCAGGCCACCATCTTTGCTGTTTGGGCAACTTAGCCTTTCCAGTCTTCGGGTTTGGAGAATCTGAGCTTACTTGGGTGGAGGCAGTCCCTGAGCACAGCACAGCTGCTGTGGGAAGATGTAGCCAGACAGCTTTGTAAAGTGAGTCACCAATCCCATTCCACCTCACTGGGCAGGACCTCCCAAATGGGGTCTTCAGCCACCCATGCCAGTGCACTCCAACCATAGAGACTGAAAACTTCCCTGGTACAGAGCTCCCAGGGGAGGGGCTGGCTGCCATCTTTGCTGTTTGAGTGATTTAACTATCCTGGGCATTGGGGTTTGGAGTCTTTGAGGTAACCAGGTGCTGAAGCGGACCCCCAGCACAGCACAGTTGCTCTACAAAAATGTGGCCGGACTGCTTTTTAAATTGGGTCCCCAATCCCATTCCTCCTCATTGAGCAGGACCTCCAAACTGTGATTTCCAGCCATGTCCTACAGTTGCATTGGGGCTGGCAGTAGGTCCATACCTCCCTGGGGTGGAGCTCCCAGAGGGAGGGCCAGGCTGCTGTCTTTGCTTTTTTGCCACCTTCACTGGTTGATACCTCCAGGTACTAGAAAATTTGAGGTGACTAGGGAATGGAGCAAGCCCCCAGCATACTGCAGCAGCCCTTTGGGAAGGTGGCCAGACTGTTACATGGGTGCCTGTTCCCATAACTCCTCACTGGACAGGTCCTTCAGGCCTGGGCCTCCAGCCACTTGCCGCTGGAGCTATTAAGTCAGTAGCAACTTGGCAACTGCCTGGGTGGAGTCTCTGGGGAAAATTGAAAGCTTCTTTGCCACTGCTTCTTCAGTGGAACTGGTCTTGCTACCCTCAGAATAATGAAGGAACAAAGACTCTAATTGCTTTATCCACACCTCCAACAAGCTGCAATCGACCCAAGGAGAGGAGGACAGTCCATCTCCCATGGGTCCCACCCCCTCACCCCCACTGTTTGTCAACAGACAAGAAATCCCTGGCTTGGGCCCACAGCACAGACCCTTCATCCTGGGCTAATTGCACTGAGCGATTGCTGACCTGAATTTCTCTTGGGTGGAGCACTGAGGAGATAAGCAAAAGACCCTTGGCCGCAGTGACTACTAAGGTCCCTTCCTTTGCTGCCTCCAAGTTGGGGAAGGAGCATAAATACTGAGATTGCTACAGAGCTACAGTGGGCAGCCCAGGAGTGCCAAGCTGTGATCTACAGCCAGCACTCAACGGGGAGAGGAACCCACACTTTCAGGGCATTGAGAGGGAACACAGCTGCAAGCGTAAGGAAACACAGGGGAGCCACACAACTGAGCCATTTTACCCACTGCCCAATAAGCCTAAGTGCCACCTACTGGATCACAGCCCAAAGCTTCAACACCAAAAATACCTCTCTAACATACCCGTCTCTGAAACCAGAGACAATAAGTCAGCTTCAAATAAAGTTCCTGCACAAAGCCTCAGCCCAGTGAAAACATCCAGAAAATAAGTTTATTGACTGTACTCAATCTACACTGCAGTTAAAGGAATACCCACATACAGAGATGAGAAGGAAGCAATGAAAGAACTCCAGTAACCCAAATGGCCAGTGTCATATGTCCTCCAAATGACTGCACCAATTCTCCAACAAGAGTTCTTAACTCTCGCTAGGCTGAACTGGCTAGAATGACAGAAATACAATTCAGAATATGGATGAGAATGAAGATCATCAAGATTCAGCAGGATAGCAAAACCCAAGCCAAGTGAAAAGAATCGCAATAGAGTGATACACTGAGTATGAAATTGCTGGCATAAAAAAGAACTTAATGGGTCTGATAGAGCTAAATAACAAAATACAAGAATTTCACAGTGCAATCACAAGTATTAATACCAAAATGAATCAAGCTAAGGAAATAATCTTAGAACTTGAACTTGAAGACTGGTTCTATGAAATAAGACAGACAAAAATAAAGAAAAATAATTTTAAAAAGGAATGAATGAAACCTTTGAGAATTATGCGATTATATAAAGAAGCCAATCATTGGCATCCCTGAAAGGGAGGAAGAGAAAGCAAACAACTTGGAAAATGTATTTCAGGATATCATCCACAAATATCTCCCCTAACCTTGCTAGAGAGGCCAACAGCCAAATTCAGAAAATACAGAGAATGCCTGCAAGATTCCACAGAAGAAGAGCATCACCAAGACACATAATCATCAGATTTTCCAAGGTCAAAGTGAAAGAAAGAATGTTAGAGGCAGCTGGAGAGAAAGGGCACATCACCTACAAAGGGAACAACATCAGGTTAACAGCTGAGCTCTCAGCTGAAACCATACAGGCCAGTAGAGACTGGGGGCCTATATTCAACATTGTTAAAGAAAAAAATCTTCAACAAAGTATTTCATATCCAGCCAAACTAAGCTTCCTAAGCAAAGGGGAAATAAGATCCTTTTCATATAAGCAAATGTTGAGGTAGTTTGTTACCACCAGACGTGCCTTACAAGAGATCTGGAAAGGAGCACTAGGCTAGGTGCCATGGCTCCTGTAATACTCTCAGGACTTTGGGAAGCTGAGGTGGGTGGATCACTTGAGGTCAGGAGTTTGAGACCAGCCTTGCCAACATGGCAAAACCCTGTCTCTATTAAAAATACAAAAAATAGCTGAGCATAGTGGTGTGTGCCTGTCGTCCCAACTACTCGGGAGGCTGAGGCGTGAGAATCACATGAACCTGGGAGGCAGAGGTTGCAGTGAGCTGAGATCACATTACTGCACTCCAGCTTGGGCAACAGAATGAGACAGGAGAGACTGCTACCAGCCAATACAAAAGCACACTTAAACACATATACCAGTAATATAAAGCATCCATACAAGCCAACATAGTAACAGCTAACAACACAATGACAGGATCAAATCCACACATATCAATATTAACCTTTAATGTAAATGGGCTAAATGCCCCACTAAAAATGAAGAGTGGCAAGCTGGATAAAAAAGCAAGATCCGATGGTATGCTGTCTTCAACAGACCCATCTCACATGTAATGACATCAATAGGATCAAAATAAAGGGATGGAGGAAAGTCTACAAAGCAAATGGAAAGCAGAAACAAGTAGGGGTTGCTATCCCAATTTCAGACAAAACAGACCTCAAACCAACAAAGATGAAAAAAAAAAGAAGGGCATTACATAATGATAAAGGGTTCAATTCAGCAAGAAGACCTAACTTCTAAATATATATGTACCCAACATGGGAGTAGCCAGATTTATAAAGCAAGTTCTTAGGGTCCTACGAAGAGAACTCCACACAATAATACAAGGAGACTTTAACACTCCACTGACAGTTAAGACAGATCATCGAGGCAGAAAATTAACAAAGATATTCAGGACCTAAACTCAACATTGGACCAAATGGATCTAATAGACCTCTACAGAACTCCTCACCCCCAAACAATAGAGTATATATTATTCTCATCACCACATGACACATACTATGAAACTGACCACATAATTGGACATAAAACAAACCTCAGCAAATGCAAAAGAACCAAAATCATACTAAACACACTCTTGGACCAAAGTGCAATAAAAATAGAAGTCAAGACTAAGAAAATCACTCAAAACCATGCAATCACATGGACATTAAACAACATGCTCCTGAATTACTTTTGGGTAAATAATTAAGTTAAGGCAGAAATCAAGAAGTTATTTGAAACTAATGAGAACAAACATAGTTGTTAAAAGTTAAGGCAGTGTTAATAAGTGAATTCATAGCACTAAATGTTCACATCAACAAGTTAGAAAGATGTCATCTAACAACTTAACATGACAATGGAAAAAATTAGAGAAGCAAAAACAAATCAACCCCAAAGCTAGCAGAAGACAAGAAATAACCAAAATCATACATGAAGAGAAGGAAATCAAGACATGAGAAACCATTCAAAAGACCAATGAATCTGAGTTGTTGTTGTTGTTGTTGTTTTGAAAAAAAACTAATAAGATAGATAGGCCATAGCTAGACTAATAAAGAAGACATGATCCAAATAAACAAAATTAGAAATGACAATGCAAATGTAACTACCAACCCCACAGAAATAAAAATAATCACCAGAAACAACTACAAACACCTCTATGCACACAAAGTAGAAATCCTAGAAGAGATGGATACATTCCTGGACACATACATGCTCCCAAGACTGAGCAAGGAAGAAATTGGTACCCCAAACAGACTAATAATGAACTCCAAAATTGAATCAGTAATACATAGCTTACCAACCAAAAAAGCCCAGGACCTGATGGATTCACAGCCAAATTCTACCAGATATACAAAGAAGAGCTGGTACCATCCCTACAGAAACTATTCCAAAACACTGAGGAAGAGGGACTCCTCCCCAATTCATTGTATGAGACCAGCATCATCCTGATACCATAACCTATCAGACAAAACAAAAAAAGGAAACTTCATGCCAATATCCTTCATAAACCTCAATGCAAAAATCCTCAACAAAATACTGGCAAACCGAATCCAGCAGCACAAGAAAAAGCTAATCCACCACAGTCAAGTAGGCTTCATCCGTGGGATGTAAGGTTGGTTCAACATAACCAAATCAATAAATTTAATTCATCACATAAACAGAACTAACAATAAAATCCACACGATTTTCTCAATAGATGCAGAAAAGGCTTTTGATAAAATTTTACACCACTTCATGTTAAAAACTCTCAATAAACAAGGTATTGAAGTAACATACTGTGAAATAATGAGTCATCTATGACAAACCTGTAGCCAACATTATATAAAATGGGCAAAAGCTGGAAGCGTTCCCCTGTAAACTGGCACAAGACAAGGATGTGGTCTCTCACCATTCCTATTCAACGCAGCATTGGAAGTCCTAACCAGAGCAATCAGGCAAGAGAGAGAAATACAGGCATCCAAATAGGAAGAGAGGGAGTCAAGCCATCTCTGTTTGCAGATGATATTATTCTATATATAGAAAACCCCATAGTTGCAGCCCAAAAGGTCCTTCAGCTGATAAACAACTTCAGCAAAGTTTCAGAATACAAAATCAATGTACAAAAATCACTATAATTCCTATACACCAACAACGCCCAAACTGAGAGCCAAATCAGAAAGGCAATTTCATTTCCAATTGCCATAAAAAGAACAAAATACCTAGGAATACAGCTAACAAGGGAGGTGGAAGAACTCTACAGTGAGAATTACAAAACACTGCTCAAATAAATCAGAGAAGACACAAACACATTGAAAAACATTCCATGCTCATGGATAGAAAGAATCAATATCATTAAAATCACCATACTGCCAAAAGAAATTTACAGATTCAATGCTATTCCTGTCAAACTACCAATGACTTTCTTCACAGAACTAGAAAAAACTATTTAAAAATTAATATGGAACCCAAAAAGAGACTGAATAGCAGAGGAAAGACTAAGCAAAAATAACGAAGTTGGAGGTATCACATTACCTGACTTCAAACTATACCACAGGGCTACAGTAACCAAAAAACATGGTACTGGTACAAAAACAGACACATAGACCAATGGAACAGAACAGAGAGCCCAGAAATAAGGCCACATACCTACACCCACTTGATCGTCAAAAAAGCTGACAAAAACAAGCAATGGAAAAAAGTCTCCAGATTCAATAAACAGTGCTAGGATAACTGGCTAACCATATCAGAAGAATAAAGCTGGAACCCTTCCTTACACCATGCATAAAAATCAACTCAAGATGGATTAAAGGCTTAAATGTAAAACCCAAAACTATAAAAACCCCGGAAGACAATCTAATCAACCATCCTGGACATAGGAACAGGCAAAAATTTTATGACAAACACATGAAAAGCAATAGCAACAAAAGCAAAAATTGACAGTTGGGATCCAATTAAACTTAAGAGCTTCTGCGCTGCCAAAGAAACTACCAACAGAGTAAACAGATAACCCACGGAATAAGAGAAAATACTTGCAAACTATACATTAGATAAAGGTCTAATATCCAGCATCTATAAGGAACTTAAACACATTTACAAGAAGAAAACAAATAACCTCATTAAAAAGTGGCCAACAGACATGAACAGATACTTTTCAAAAGAAGACATACATGGAGCCAAAAAGCATATGAAAAAAAGGTCATTATCACTGATCATTAGAAAAATGCAAATCAAAAACACAAGTGTGTTTGAGTCCCTGCTCTCAGTTCTTTTGGGTATATACACTTAAAGGGTATTGTTGGGTCATATAATTCTATCCTTAATATTTTAAGCAACTGCCAATACATCTCACACCGTGAGAATTGCTATTATTAAAAAGTCAAAAAATAACAGATGCTGGTGAGGTTGTGGAGTAAGGGGAAAACTTATACACTGTTGGTGGTGGTGTAAATTAGTTCAACCATTGTGGAAAGCAGTATGGCTATTCCTCAAACAGCTAAAAGCAGAACTACCATTCGATCCAGCAATACCATTACTTGGTATATATCCAGAGGAATTGAAATCATTCTGCCATAAAGATATATGCATGTGAATGTTCGTTGCAACACTATTTACAATAACAAAGACATGAAATCAACCTAAATACCCATCAATGACAGATTGGATAAAGAAAATGTGGTGCAGATACACCATGGTATACTATGCAGCCATTAAAAAGTAACACTATCATGTATTTTGCCGGTATATGGATGGAGCTGAAGGCTATTATCCTTAGCAAAATAACACAAGAGCAGAAAACCAAATACCTCATGTTCTCACTTGTAAGTCAGAGCTAAATGATAAGAACTTAGTAACACAAAGAAGGAAACAACAGATCATTTAGGCTACTTTAGGGTGTAGGCTGGGAGAAGAGAAAGGAGCAGAAAAGGTAATGGGGTACCGGGCTTAAATCCTAGGGCATGAAATAATCTGTACAACAACCCCCCTGACATGAGTTTACCTATGTAGCAAACCTTCACAGGTATCCCGAACCTAAATTAAAAGTTAAAAAGTGAATCATCTTTTAGTAACCCAAATATCAGCAGTAATAAAATTAGTATCATACTGAAGAATATCTGCCATTAAAATACTATTACACTAAAAGTCAAGGCCTTTTCCATTCCTTTGAATATTACTGTTACTGCATAACTTGGTTCTAAGTGATGTGGCTTAACTTAGTGCAGGGAAAAGCTCTCAACTATTTTAATCCTCTAGGGTAGCAATTAATTCACAGTAAGAAGTCTTAATATAAAGGAATTAGTAAGATATTGTGTCAGCTTTTTTGTTATAAAATACTGCTTTTAAAATCCAGCTTCATGTGTGAGACCCAGTTCAGTTTAATTATTGTAACTTAGTGACATATTGTTAATGAGAGTGTCATTAAATATGTTAGCTATTAGAATAAGTGGGCTATAAGTGTTTTTTTCTGTGATTTTAATAAAATCATGGCATAAAGTATTTATGCTTCCTAACTATTGAATTTTTAAAATTCTACTGATAACTTCCTTTTCCCAGTCTGTGGATGTAAATGAAATGAAATGACTATAAGTTAAGGCTGCTAACATAATATTAAGGCTGCTGCAAATGTAAAATATTTTTTCTATTTATTGAATGATGACCATGTTCAAGTTCTTTGCATATATTACCTTTAATCTTATTAATCATACAAAGTTAATAATATCCTCTTACTACTGTAGAAGAAATGGAGATTTAGGTGTTACTTATTCTTTCTAACCATTTAGTAAGAAGCTGAGGCACAATAGGAACCTAGTTCTGTTTAACAGGTTTTATTTAAATTTCATAATGTTTCCACAATCCCATGAAACTTCAATAATGATGTGGCACTTTGGGAACAGATGCTAGAACTTTCCACAGGTTCTATGGCATCATAAAAATGAGATGAGCAATTGAGTTATAAAATATTACCTGTAACTTGCTGATCAGTTACTGGCTTGTTCAGACCTTAATGCAATTCCTTGACTGGCACCTAAATATAAATAAGATATGCTAAATCGCAGTGTGTGTTTAGAAGAAATCAGATGGAAGGAGGTATTGAGGCAAAAGCATATAAGAATTCAAAATATAAGACATTGAATTAGAGCCTTCAGTAGCAAGCAGAGGTCAGTTTTCCAGGAAAGAGAAACTTCCTCTATCCTTCGGATCTCTGTCCACTTATTCCTCAGAACAGTGCACATAAGGTGATATGGTTTGGCTCTTTGTCCCCACCCAAATCTCATCTCAAATTGTAATTCCCACGAGTCCAGAGAGGGAACTGTAATCCTGACGTGTCAAGGCAGGAAAGTGATTGGATTATGGAGGCAGTTTCCCCTACGCTGCTCTTGTGACAGTGAGTGGGTTCTCACGAGATCTGATGGTTTTATAAGTGGTGGTTTCCTCACTCTCTCCTCTCACCTGCCGCCATGTAAGACATACTGGGTTCCCCTTCCGCCATGATTGTAAGTTTCCTGAGGCCTCACCAGCCATGCGGAACTGTGAGTCAATTAAATCTCTTTTCTTTATAAATTACCCAGTATTGGGCTGTTCTTTATAGTGGAATGAAAACGGACTAATACATCAGGGCACATGGTTGACAGTCTATCACTTTTGAGCTAATGCTTAACTTCTGTCAGCCTTCTCTCTCCACAAGCTTCCAGAGCCCACAGAGGTAGGCTTTCCTTTTACTTACTGTCTCTGTCTACCCAGGATTTCCCTGACTCAAAACCCTGTTTATTCTGGTTTTAATGTATTAAATGAGGGAGAGGAAATAGAAAATATCTTCTCTTTAAAAGTTGCCTCATTTTCAAGCCAGACAGTCTTCAGCAAAGTGCTCCATTTAACATCGAAAATCTTTATTTCTCTTTGAATTTCTTCTGTAATATCCCAAACCCACTTCCATTCCCCAGGTCCCCACAAAGCCATATAGATGTGTATCTAATAGGACAGTTGTATGTATGGATGCACAAAATAGTAAATTATATAAATGTTATTTTTGAAAATATTAGTACAATTAAGATAGTCATCCACGATTTTATTTTCTATAAAAAGATTCTTAATACATGATCTCATTCTGGTGGCACCATGTTGCCTGCCTTTTTTCTTTCCTCCACACATATAATCCTCCCTATTCTTCAAGTCTTATATGTACCACAGGGATCACCATGAGCGATCCAGCCAGCAGTGTCATGGTTTCATGGGCTCTATCTATGCCCCATAACTCTTCTGTTTCATTGTTGCATATGCGGGTGGTAATGCTTTTTTCTTATTTACTTATTTCTCAGAAATTATAGAAGCTTTAAAAATGCAGATCTTTGAGAAATGGGAAAAGCAAATCGAATATTGCGACTGGCTTAAAGAGGAAGTAGTTTATTAAAGATGGCTGAGTTGAAAAATCTTTTATTTTTGAGTTTGGATCCTTTTAAATACCTCCCTTGTTTGCCATTTGCCAATCTTAAGGCAGAGGATGAAGGCACCTTTTACCAAATTTTGCTTAAAAATCCTTAATGCTTTTGCATTTGCATTGGATTCAACACAATTTTAGGCCTTGAAACTCTGACATCAACGTATTGAGGACAGGTGTTCATGGCTCCTCATAATTATTTTGAAGTTTCTGTGGAAGAACATTTGGTTTGCTTGATAGATATTTTATACATGTGTATTTGTTAGATGAGAGAATATGACAGGGGTGGGCCTGAAGCTCTGAACACATTAATGGTTAATGGGTTTAATTTCCCATTATCAATCATACTACTTCTTTATGAAAACTGATAAATAAATAACCTACTTCCCTAGAGGATTCAGTTTGAAGGAGAAAATGATGTTTGTCCCTAGGATGGATTAATTGAGCTACTAAAATGCTACAAGCTTTACGGAAAATGCTAACTCTCCTTTAGCATGCAAGTTGCCTTCCTATTTTGATTAAGCAGGCACACAAATGATGTCATGTGAGCACCCAGTGAGCTGGCAGCTGCCTACAAGCTAGAGAGAGGGGCCTCAACAGAACTGACCATGCTGACACTCAGGTCTCAAACTTCAAGCCTCCAGAACTGTGGGAAAATAAATGTCTGTTGTTTCAACCACCCAGTTTTAATATCAGTCTTGACATTTTATTATGGCAGCCTGAACAGGCTAACACAGTGAGCAATATAGTTTTTGTTTTTATTCTATCTTAAGAAAAATATAATGGAATATGGTTAAGTCAATACAAAATACATATATTCTTAATATATAGTCACTAGATATGTGTTGAATAAATGAAAAATATTGTGAGGTCATCTGGGCAAAGTCCAAACATTTCAATATTAGTGGACATTTTATTTCTGTGACATATTATTACTTACAATTTATTCAGCTTAAAAAATGTTCACCGTGTATAAACCTGTAATGAGAGCTTTCAAAATATTTCTATAGTCTTCTCCTCCAGAATGTAGAAATAAAGTCTTTTTATATATGATTTTTGTTATAAAATCTTTGAGGTCATTAAACCCAAGCATGCTTTGAAAACCTCTTTTGCCTAGGGTCTTCTCTGTTCTGTAACAAAGCTTTCTGTACATAGGGCAGATGTTCCAAACTCTTTCCCTACCTGTCTTTAAGCAGTTTATTTTTGCTTTTTTCCCCTTGTATTTATTACAAAAGTAAACATAGGTCATCAGCATTAACTTCTAGGCAAAATAAAAATATATTACATTCAATATATTATAGTTCAGTTACAGTTCATCATAGTATAGAATGTATCATTCTTATGGGGATGGGGAATTGGTTTCAGAAAAGATTTTTACAGTGCATATGGGGGAACCTAAGAACAGATTTAGAGGCTCCTTTATTAAGTTTAAGTGGCATTATGAAATCTCAAACAACAACTGACTGCCTATATGTGCCATAATTTCAAATTTTAGCATTTGGCAGGGTTTGAAAAATAGAGAAATCTATTTAATTTCCATCAAGGAAGGACAAGAAAATAAAAATAGGAGTGGTAATACCAGGATGAGGAACTAAGGTCAAGACATTCTTAGTCAAGACATTCTCTGGGGAGAATGAGGCAGTGATGTCCTCTAGATGTCCAGCCATAAGGAGGAGACAGGAGTGGGGTGTACACGAACATCTTACAACTAGATTGACCTTCTCACCTCTCCAAGGGGTCAAATTGGGAAGCCACCATTCAGTCATTCTTCCCTGTTCCAGAAAGACTGTTTGTCCATCAAATGATTCATTTTGCAGCATCTATCTGTTCATTAATTCATTCATTTATTCAAAGACATTTATGGACTGCCTACTATATGCCTAGTACTGGTCTAGGCAATGGAGATACAACAATGACTGAAACAGAAGGCCTCTGTTTTCATCAAGCTTACTTTCTTGTGGTAAGCTACAGTGCATAAACACATAAATGTATGTACAACACCGAAGGAAAACAAAGCAGGATAAGGGAATAGAGAGAGATTTAAAAAGGGAATTCTTAAGCTGGCTGGGGAGGAGAGATGTCAGATATGGTCTTTCTAAGCAGCGCAGAACAGAGTAAAATGAGGGGTCAGACAGATGTCTAGGGAAAGAACTTTCCAGAAAGAGAATAGTAAATGCAAAAGCCCTGGATGGGAATTGTCTGCAGGACTAACAAAAGGGAAAGGAAACCAGCATAGCTGGAATGACACAGGCACAGGATAAAGTGTTAGGAAGTAAGATCTGAAAGGAGTGAAGGGGCAGTTTATGCAAATCTTTATTCTGTAAGCTTGGAAAACCACTGAAGGTTATGAGCAGAAAAGTTATATGGTTTTTTTCTTCTTCTTGTTGTTGTTGTTAACATGTTGCCCTAAATATAAAGTAATCTGGGAGGCTAGGCATGATGGCCCACGCCAGTAATCCCAGCAGGTTGGGAGGCCAAGGCAGGAGGATTGCTTGAGGCCAGGAGTTGGAGACCAGCCTGGGCAATATAGCGAGACCCTGTCTTTACAAACAAACAAACAAAACTTAGCTGGGCATGGTGGTGCATGCTTGTAGTTCCCACCTACTTGGGAGGATCATGTGGGAGGATTAATTGAGCCCAGGAGTTTGAGGGCGTAGTGAGCTGTGATTGCTCCACAGCACTCCAGCCTGGGCGACAGAGTGAGACCCTATCTCATATAAATAAATATGTAAATACAGAAATAATTAAGATAATCTGGAATTATTTTTTAAATTCTCTATATTGATTAACTCATGTCATTCATGTTCTTTTCTTGATAGCCACACAATCATGTTCTTGTCTTGAGAGCCACACACATCTTTATCTTCATCTTTGTGGCATGTGCTCGTTTTTTTCATGTCCAAAGGAATAAATGTTAAGGTGACCTTTCTTCAACTATTCTACATTATATGTCTGTAAGGACTTTGGGCAACTACTTACATTCTCTTTACACTAGTTTGCTTACTTGTAATTTGGAATTAATTTCAGTGTCTTGCTCACAGAGTCGTTCTAAGGATTGATTGAGATATTATATATAAAATATTTAGTGTATCATCAGGTATAGAGTAATTGTTTTATCAATATTTTCATGATAATGTTTATTAATATTATCTCACACTTACCTAATGGTGCTACAATTCATCCACCATTATGACAAAAAGTACTATAACACCATCTAAATGTTACCCTGGATTCTTCCTCTATTTCTTAACAGTCCAATTTCTACACATTAGACACAGTAAGCTTTTCAAAATGAAAAAGTGCTTATATTATTTCCCTTATTGTAATGCTTCGATAGCTTCCCAATGAATAAAAGTAAAATCCAAACTCACTACAATACCCTGACTGATTGATCTGGAGCCTGATGTTCTCATCTTTTATCACTCTCCTCTTCACACAATTGACTCTGAGTAACTTGCCCTTCATCTTGGAACCTGCCAAATTCATTCCCCTTCAGGGCTCTTACACTTGCTTGACCTGCCCCAGATCTTTGCAATAGTGGTCCTTAATTATTCAGAACTCAAGTCAATTTTGTGTCCACAAAGATCTCATTCTTAACAGAGGTATCTAAAACAGTTATTATCCCACTTCCCAGGATCTCTCTATTGCAATATTCTTTTAAATTTCTTCCTAAAACTTATTTCTTTAAGCATATTATCTGTTTGTATTTGTCCATTGCAAAATAAGTTCTATGAAGATCAGAACTTCCTTTGTCTTGCTCAATATGCCATCTCCTGAACCAAGGATAGCACTGAAACATGATAGGAACAAAATTAATGTTTGTTGAATGCATGAATGTACTCATATGACACATCAAGGTTAACAGAGACCTACAAAAGCTGTAGTAAAATTCATCACCTTCACAAGCATCTCAGAGGTATCTCAATCCATCCCAAACTTTCCCACCCACTCAATAATTCTTCAGTGGATTTCTTCAAAGAAGATTCTCAATATGGACAATTCAGAGTACCAAACTGTATTTCTTAAAATAGTTTCCAACTAAATGAATAGATAAATTGGCATCACCTGTATATTTCAGTCTAACAGCCCATGCATTAATTTGATAAACATCTACTAAGACCTGAATCCCTTTATTACTATTTATTCAGGGTCTTGAAAAGATTCACATGCACATTGTTCATGTCTTTCAATAGCAAACTGCATCTGGAAAGAAAGTGAAAAATCCAATCAATCATCTGGAATACTTCAGTGTTTTCATTTTTTTTTGTAATCCACATGAAGAAACTTGTTTTATATTTTTAGCACACACATAAACATATTTCTTTATGCATATAATTGAAACAAAACTTTTGCATTTCCTTATTTTATGTGATACACTAATATATTTTATCCTATCCTATTCTTCATTTCATTTTTTGAAAATGGTGGAAGTCCATTTCATAGCTTTTGATTGATTTTGTAACCCACTAATGGGTCATAATCCACAGTTTAAAAACAACAACAATTTGAATCCAAACACATGAAAATATCTATTTGGAAGTATATATATATATATATATATATATATATATATATATATATATACACACACACACACACACACTATATATGTACACATATATATACATATATATATATGAAGCGCAGATATTCTTGGTTTTTATGATGTTAATTTAATTATTGCCTAAGTTGGGTTGCTCAGAAATAAAACTTAAGGTAAAGATTATCTTGTACAATGTTTATTTGACTTTAGTAATATGGACCTTAGTTTTTTTTTTTTTTCCGGAAGCTTAAGTACCTATATACTATGTAATTGTAAAGTACATCTGATAAAAGGGTAGCTACAAATTTTTTCAGATTATATAATACACACACACACACACACATAGACACACACAGACACACACACACACACACACACACACACACACTTCTTGCATAAGAAGGAAGAGAAAGAACAGGAACAGGAATGGGAGATAGCAGGGAAGAAAATGAGAAGGAATTTCTGGATAAAAATAACCCTCCTTGAACTCTTTTTTCCAGAGATGTTTAGTTAAAAAACTGATAAGCCAAATTATTAAATGTCTACGATGGCAATAAATTATAATTTATACTTATAACAATTTGAGAGTACATTTTTGATGTTAGTATATTAAATGCTCATATGTAGAAAACCACCTGAAGTTTAGCAGGACAAAATATACTTTACTCATGAACACTTATAAAAGTGCCTTTTGCATACATTGACTCCATATTCATTATATATATACATATATATGTATATAGAGAGAGCACATATATATTATATATAGAGGGAGCATATATATACGCTGCTTCTCTCAACAAAGCACTATTTCTCTATTACCAGGGAATTTGAGTAGCTGATTCCCTGGGGGGAGTCCATATCTTCGATATTGCTTCCTTCCTAAGTCCTTTGTAAACCCTAATTCTGGCGGAATCTGTGCTATTTCCTCTATACCACTGCAATCACCTCTTCTCCAGCAGGGGATAATAGTAAGTATTGTGATGATATGTGATTATATGCTCAGGGCAGTCTCTATTTATGCTTATTTTTCACTGTAATTATTCATCACACCCCCATTCACAGCCAAAAATGACACAGGCTTGACAATAAATTTTATGGCATCTACACTATTGAACTCCCTAAGCCCTCCCATCTCTTTATAATAATTAAAGAATCTATCATATAATGAGCAGTTGTCTCATGCTTTAAACAGCCTAACTCCTCTTTCCAACAATACCATAAATTAGATATTATTTCCACTTCACAAACTAGGAAAGGTTTGGCGAGATAAAGAAATACAGCCAAAGTAATATAATTAGCAAATAGAAGAGTCAGCATGAAACTAGAATGTATTAGACTATGAAATACATCTTCTTAGAGAGTGTGTTATTCTGCCTCCCTCTGAAGAGGAGCAGGTCCTGCTGTTGCTACAGGGAGGTGATGGGATTTTGACTACTCTTCATTGTATGTGGCTGAGACTGTGCTTTTAGGCACATGACTTCACATAATGCATAATTGAAAACTGGAGCACATTTTCCCCCCAGTGATTTTACTAAATCATTCCTTTGGTAGAACTTCTTAAAGGGAAATATATGGCATAGAGTTGTTAGTTTTTATAGTACTATTATACTATGAGTAAGCAATGTTATTGATTAAACAATTAACTTTTGGATTAGCCTTGTACATTTATATTGTAATATATCATAACACTTTTCTATGGGAATATATATTACAAATCATAAACTTATAAATAAATATTAAAAAAAAATTATCATAAGTTTGAAACTGCCTTCATTATCTGCGATGTATTTGATAAAGTTCCCAGTGATATGCAAAAATCTCAGGAGTTTTCTTGGACTTGAATACAGAGGAAATCTAAATTTACACATCATTATTCCAAACAAGCTACTAAAACTTCACTGCAAGAGGGATGAGTCATTTTTGATCAATATCCATTTATAGACAAACCACAGAGTGAGTGTATTAATTTAGAATTTTAAAAGTGAATTACACACTTTCATCAAACCAACAAAAGTGTACATTAAATGAGGCTGTGGTAACACAGAGCTCAAAGACCAAGTATTTATTAATAAAATGTAGGCTTTCTCTTCTTAAATATGTTAAACACATTTCCTTAATGTTTGTAAAGAGAGCTGAGAACCTCAATTCATACTCTATGGGAATCACTGGAACTTTTTCTTAAGAAGAAAGATAATACTGTACTTGTTCTTAGCCTAAAAGCTAAGAATTGATAAAAAATAAAAAATATATAATATACTTGCTTTTAAATTAAGAGTCAATAAGTAAGTACTCCGCAGAGGTGGAAATGAAAGGCTTTGTTATTAGCCAGCTGCTAAGTATGTAGAAAAATTTTGGTTGAGAAAAACAGTAATTAAACTGAGCTTGTTTGCGTCTTATAAATGATACCAACTTCAGCAACAAATAGATGAAAAATAATATTTTCAACCTTCAATTTGAAGTCAAGTCATTGGGGAATTTGAATAGAAATTACTAACCAAACTTAATATGCTGTTAATCTATTTCCTATGGCCTTAATGAATGACTAACAACAATTTCTGCAAAAACTAACAAACAAACAAACAAACAAAAAACCTAAATTACTCTTCCAGAGTTAGGATATTAGAAAAGTTTCCTAGTGTAGCATTTCCAGAGACATGAGTATTTTAAGTGCCTTATGTTTTGGTTACATTTTATTATATTAATCTATTTAAACTACCTATCTATATAGTCTTTGGTAAATGCCTGATTCAAGTAATTTCAGTTTCCATTTCTATATTAATATTAATATGTGATGAGATGATTGTCAGCAAACTTAGAATAACATATATAAGAATATGATATATACGTAAGTGTGTGTACGAAAAGTATGATATGAATAATAGCAACATGCAAGCCAAAAATCTACCCCCTCACCCACTTCTCACAAAAAAAAAAAAAAAAAAGAGAGAGAAAGGAAAACAAAAAAGAATAGTGATTACTCCTTTGGTAAAACTTCTTAAACTTAAGAAATCCTAGGAGATGTTTTCTGGTGTAGTGTATTATAAAATAAAATGCTTTTTTTGGGAATATGAGGCCATTTCTGCCACTAACCATTTGTTTCACTTAAAAGGTAACACATCTTCTCTGATCCTCCATTCCCTCATTTATAACAGGGAGCAGCAAACTAAAGAACAAAATTTAGCCTGAATTTTGGAATAAAATACCAAAAATAAAGTTTTATTGGAAAAAAAATGACACCCATTTACAAATTGTTCATGGCTGCTTTCTCATGTCAATGTAGAGTAGACTAGTTGCCACAAAGATTGCAGAGTTTGTGAAACCTAAAATATTTACTCTCTTTTTATAAGAAAGTTTGTCAAACCCCTGATTTATATAAAATAAAATATTATTTAAGCTTTTCCCTAATTCCAGTACTCTAATATTCAGTACTAATTTTTAAAGTAGATTTGAATTTTAAAAAGTATACTCAGTTTTACTTACATATAGTTTAAAATAAAGAGTCATAATAGTTGATGACAGAAACAGTAATTGTATACAATGCTGAATATGACAATGGGTAGCTTAGATATTTCAGAGGCACAAAAATAATTATACTGAATTTAAGACATATTATTATAGAAAAACCTTTCAAATGGTCATGGGAAAATAGGACTCATTTCTATATATTTTACTTTTAAATAGTCATTATGGAAAAAATTCAAATATCTTTCAAGTAGCCAACATGGGGAAATATATTTAGGCTTATTTTCATGTTTTTAATAAGTAAATCTTATTTTATTATAAATTATGTTTTTGGGTACAACATATCAGTGCTTAATGCTTACAAAAGCCTCTATCTGACCTTATGTGCACCAACCATTGCATGCATCCCAAACTAAGACACACTTGAGTGAATGATTTCTAATGTCCTTCTCCAAATCTAAAAATGCCTGTGTCAAATCCTCTGGCTGTAGTATTCTTTCCTGACTTGTCAATTAACTATATCAGTTTCCAATCTGTGTGAAAAAAAAACTTGGAATAAAGCAGATTTACAGTAAATATTTTTATCAAACCATATGCCCACCACGTTTATATTTCATAAGCAGGATAAATAATATCTCATGCATAAGTGGTCATCTGTATTTCAAATGTGTATTACAACCATAGTCATTAGTAGAGTAATATTTATTTCAAATATTTCTGTATTTTTATTGATATGAAAATCAGATTCTTCTACTAAAAATAATTGGAAACCACTAGAAATGACGTTTAAAAACTCTTCTGTCTTCTAGAATTGTTATTGCCTCAGTTAAATGTGGAGTTTCGTTTCCATGCCATTTTAAGTTTGACTTGGTCTCACTATAGCAATAAAATACTTATGATAATGTAGGAAGTGGACTGAAATGACAAAAGTATGTATGTGCACATATAAACAATAATACAACTGATAGAGGGTAGAGTTTCATAATGCGTTATAATTTAATCTCATCAATGACTGGCTGTTACAAAGACTTCATCATCCAGTGTATCACCAGGAAAAAAATGGCCCTGCATTCAACTTAGTTAAGAAGTGCACATCTCAGTAATAAATATATTTGGATAGTTGAAAAACATAAATGCAATCATGGACAATTCTATTTTACTTTAAAAATGTAGAACTCCTCCATGCCCTTATGCAAGAAAGAAGAGGGTTATGAAGGAGAAGCACTTGAAGAAGATCAAGGAAGAAGATCAAGGAAGAAGACTGAGCAAAGAATAAGCCTTTTTTTTTTTTTTTTTTTTTTTTTTGACGGAGTCTCGCTCTATCACCAGGCTGGAGTGCAGTGGCACGATCTTGGCTCACTGCAACCTCCAAATCCCTGGTTCAAGCGATTCTCTTGCCTCAGCCTCTTGAGTAGCTGGGATTACAGGCACGCGAGACCATGCACAGCTAATTTTTGTATTTTTAGTAAAGGCCATGTTGGCCAGGATGGTCTTGATCTCCTAACCTCATGTTTTGCCCACCTTGGCCTCCCAAAGTGCTAGGATTACAGGAGTGAACCATCGCACCCAGCCAGAATAAGCTTTTTAAAGAAAAGCTCATGTACATCTTAAAAACAAAAGCCATAGGAAGTATTTCCAGAGTGATGGGGTGTTGGCCTTTAAAAATGTACTCCTTCATAAAAGCAATAAGAATGCTGGCAAAATTGTTAAAATCAACTTTTTCAGAACTTTAGAAATTACCAAAAGCTTTCTAAGAAGCATTTATTTAAGGGAAAAAAAAGTGTGGCTTTTGGTAAAACATTGAATTTTATGGCATGTTAAAATGCCCTGTTCCTGTTCCTTCTCTCTAGCTCCATTGTAGCTTTGCAAATGAACACTGTTAAGAACTGTTAAGATCAGCAAACTAGTAATCACTGGAGGGACAGAATGAGTTTGGAGTGCCCCAAAATGTCACATTTCTGAGAATTGTCATTCTTGTTTGAAAACTCCATTGAAAATCCCATCAGAAAACTTGTCTTTATTTGGCTTGACTTAAAGTTCATAATATGAAGAAGGCTATGTTCAGTGCATTTGTCAAAAAGAATTAAAAGCAATTGTTTAACATCATACTTGCCTGAGGTGGTGATGCCAGTTGGCCCAAACAAGAGGATGACCAAAATATATTTAAAAGGAAAATAGGCTGGGTGCAGTGGCTCACGCCTGTAATCCCAGCACTTTGGGAGGCCAAGGTGGGTGGATCACCTGAGGTCGGGAGTTTGAGACCAGCCTGACCAACATGGAGAAACCCCATCTCTGCTAAAAATACAAACTTAGCCAGGTGTGGTGGAGGGCACCTGTAATCCCAGCTACTCAGGAGGCCAAGGCAGGAGAATCGCTTGAACCCGGGAGGTGGAGGTTGCGGTGAGCCGAGATCATGCCATTGCACTCCAGCATGGGCAACAAGAGTGAAACTCTGTCTCAGAAAAAAAAAAAAAAAAAAAAAAAAAAAGAAGAAGAAAGAAAGAAAGAAGGAAGGAAAGGAAAATATAAGAATTAAGATATCCACGGGAGACTTTACAAGCTTGGATGTATTCTTGAAACTTTAAAATCAGACACACACACACCCACGGCTGTGTACATCCTAGAAAAGATCGAAGAAGATCCTCATTTATCAATACTGGCTGACCTTGAGGCTTTGTGTGAATAGAAGGTAAAAATTAAGTAATAATTTTAAACCCACGGAACACTGAAGGAATCATCCCAAAACACACAGAGTAAAAACTGAAACAATTACTAGCTTAAGGTATTTAAGGAAATCTCTTCCCAAATATTAGCTGTTCACTAAGCTATAGAGCTGAGACTTTAGCATCTGCCATACACCATGAAGAATACAAACTTTTACGGAATTTTTCCATGAAAGTCACTAAACAAAAAAATAGAAACGAAACAAATGCCAGGAGGTGGGGTGGTGGGGAGTAATCTAATCCCTAGAGTTGCTATTCCACATTTTAAAAACATGGATAGTATTTAATTAAAATTTACAAGACAGGCTAAAAAAAAAAAAAAGGGAAATTATAACTCTAATACAGGAATAAAATGAGTCAATACTAACTGTTCCTTACAAGCCCAGATGATGGACTTACTAGACAAAGACTTTAAATCACCAATTATAAACACATTTCTTAAACTAAAGGAAACCATGTCTAAAGAATTAAAATAATATTTGAGAATAATGAATCACCAATAGAAAATGTGAGTAAATACATAAAAATTATTTTTTTAGAAAATAGAAATTTTGAAATAGAAAAGTACAGTAAATAAAATGGAACAACTTTACTAATTTTTTTCTTTTGCTCATCCCTAGGGAAACTCAACAGCATATTTGAACTAGAAAAGAAAAACATCAGTAAACTTGAAAATAGGTCAAGTGAGAGTATGTACTCTAAGTAATCCAATGAAAAATGAACAGAACATCAGAATCTATAGAACAATATCAAATGTGTCATATCATAAATAATGTGAGTCCAAGAAGAAGGGAAAGGGGGACAGAAAGAATCAAGAATTAATGGCCATAAACTTCCTAAAATGGATAAAAACATTAATCTACACGTCTTATTTGCTCAAGGAACTCTAAATAGTACAAATTTAAAGATATATAAACTTATACATAAAGTAGTAAAAGATAAAAAGCCAAAGGGAAAACATAATAATCTTGAAAGCAATAAGAGAAAAATAATTTCTTCATACAAAAGATTCTCAATGTAATTAACAGCTGACTCCTTATCAGAAACCATGGAGGCTAAAACAGATTGGAACAACATAATAAATGTTGAAACAAAAAGACGATCAACAAGAATTTTAAATCCAGCAAAACTGTTTTTAAAAATGAAAAAGAGATTAGGACATATATAGATAAAAAACAAAAAATAATGCTAAAATTATTTGATGTTTATAGACTTGCCTTACAGTAAATAATAAAGTGAATCCTTCAGGCTGCAATGAAAGAACCCTAGGCAGTAACTCAAATTCACACAAAGAAGTGAAGAGCACCAGTAAAGGTAGCTACGTGAATATATATCAAAGATAAGATAATAGATTTTTTAATTGCAAAAATTTTTGATGCAAAGACAATTGAATAAAGCAATCATTATAAAACTTTGTGAATGGGCTTATGACATATAAAGATCCCATTTGTATTACAAATGGTAGGACAAAGGAGGGTAAAGGGAATGGAATTATATTGGAGCAAAATTTATGTATGCTAATGAAATTAAATTGGTAGTAATCCAAACCAGATTTTTTGAAAAATAAGATAGTAAGACAATTCAGATTACAAAATTGGGAATGAAAGTGGTGGCATTACCACAAAAATTTAGTAACTTAGAATGAACAATTTTTTATAAAGACATATATTGCAAAATTGATTCAAGAAAGATTAGAAAAACTGAACAGTCCTATAACATTTGAAGAGATAGAATAAGTAACAATGAAAACCTCACAAAGAACAGTCCAGGCCCGGATGATTTCACTGTTAATTTCTACCAAGTATAAAGAATGAACCTTAATTCTTCATAACATCTTCCAAAAATAAAAGAGGAGGGAACACTTCCCAACTTATGCAATGGGGCCATTACGACCATGACACCTAAATCAGATAAAGACATGGAAAAAAAAACAATGCTGGAAACCAATATATCTTATAAATATATACATGATAATTTAAAAAATACTACTGGGAGGCCAAGGCAGGCAGATCACAGGGTCAAGAGATTGAGACCATCCTGGCCAACATGGTGAAACACTGTCTCTACTAAAAATACATAAATTACCTGGGCGTGGTTGGTGCACATCTGTAGTTCCAGCTACTCAGGAGGCTGAGGCAGGAGAATCACTTGAACCTGGGAGGCAGAGCTTGCAGTGAGCTGAGATCACGCCACTGCACTCCAGCCTGGCGACAGAGCGAGACTCCGTCTCAAAAAAAAAAAAATTTCCTATAAAAAGTATTATTTACCATCACCAAGTAGGAAATATCCCAGATGGTAAGGTTGGTTTAACTTACACAATTCAATCAATGTGATATATCACATTAAGAGAAAAACAGGGAAAAAAAAACTCACTCCACTATACAGATTCAACTCACTAGGTACATTAAAAAACACATAAGAAAATTTAACACTAATTTATGATTAAAACACTCAACAAACTAAGAAAATGAAGAAACTTTCTCAACCTGATTAAAAATATCTATAAAATCTCACAGATAACCGTGACTGAATGTTTTTTTTCTCTAAATTCAGGAACTGAAACGGATATCTTCTCTCACTACTTACATTCAGCATTATATTGTAGATTCTAGCCAGGCCAATTAAGCAAAGAAATAAAATAAATAAATAAATAAATGGTACCCATTTATAAGGAAAGATACCTCTGTTAGCAGATGACATAATCTTGCATACAGACAATTCTAAGAAATAGACAAAAGAACTTTGGAACTCATAAACTAATTAAACAAGGTAATAGGATACAACATCAATATATAAATAACAACTGTATTTCTATACATTAGCAATGAAAAATCCAAAAACAAAATTTATAAAACAATTCTACATCATGTAGTATACATTTAACCAAAAGAGTGCAAGACAAACACATTGATGACTACAAAATATTTAAAGAATTTAATGAAGACTTAAATAAATGGCAACACATCTCATATCAGTGTGTCAGAAGACTAAATATTGTGAAGATGATTTCTTCCCAAATTAACCTACAGATTATTTGGTCATCCTGTCAAAATCCCAGGGGTTTGTTGTTGTTGTTGTTGTTTTTGTTGTTGTGTTGCTGTGCAGAAGTTGGCAAGCTAATTAATATGAAAAACAAGGCACCCAAAATATGCCAATCTTGATAAAGAACAAAGCTGGAGGACTCTTCCCTATTCCAAAGCTTGTAATGAAGCTGCAGTGATGAAGAGAGTGTGGTACTGGCATAAGACTAGACATACATCAATAAGATAGAATTGAGGAAACTAAAATAAACCCTTATATTTATGGTCAGCTGCTTTTCAACAAGGGTGTCAAGACAATTCAATGGAGGAAAAAAGAGTCTTTTTAACAAATGATGCTGGGCAACTGGTTAGACACATGCAAAAGAAATGAAGTTGGACTTTTACCCCATACTATTATAAAAACGACAACAACAAAACCCTCAAAGTGTTCCACAGACTTATATGCAATAGCAAAAATAGAAAACTCACATAGAAAAATAAGTCTTTGTGATTTAGATTAGGCAATATTTTCAATGTATGGCACCAAAAGCAAGAGAGACACAGGAGAAAAGTAGATACATTGGAATTTATCAAAACAAACAAACAAAAAAGTTTCTTCTACAGAGGTTGCCATCAAGAAAGTGAAGTCAAGAAGTGAAGTCAAGCCACAGAATAGGAGGAAAGGCTGACAATTTATCTATCTGATAATTCCTGTACCCAAAATATAAACTCTTAGAACCCCACAATAAAAAATAAATAACACAATTAAAATGTATATAAAGGTATTTAGTGGATATTTCTCCAAAGAAGATATACAAAAGGTAAACATACACAGGAAAAGATGCTCATCATCATTAGCAAGTAAATGCAATTCAAAACCACAATATGGTACTATTTTATACCCATTAGACTTGCTAAAATAAAAGACAGAGAATAACAAGTATTGACAGAAATGTGGATAATTAGGAGCCCTTATGCATAGCTGGTGGGATAATGAAGAAGGGAAACAACTCTGGAAAACATTTTGGCAATTTCTGAAATGCTAACATAAAGTTAGCACATGACCTAGCAATTTTACTTCTAGGTATATACCCAGAATAATTAAAACTACATTTCCACATAAAAACTTACAGATGAATGTTTACAGAAGCATTATGCATAATAGCTAAAAGCATAAGCTCTAATGTACATAAACTGAAATAAAAATTTTATTTATTTTTATTTTTTTATTTTATTTTATTTTTATTTTATTTATTTATAAATAAATAAATATTTTATTGCTGCTGCAACAAATTACCACAAACTTCATGGCTTCAAACAACACAAATTTATTTTCTTACATTTCTGGAGGTCAGAACTCTAAAATCATTGTGTTAGAAGGCCTGCATCCCTGCTGGGAGATCTGAGAAATAATCTGTCTCCTTGCCTTTTTCCAGTTTCCTGAGTCCGCCTGTATTAATTGGCTTTATTTCCTACCTCCATATTCAAAGCCAGTAACATAGGTTCTTCTCTTTCTTCTGAACTTCTATCTTTCTCTACAAATCCTTGCAATCCAAACTGGATTTTGGCTGTAGACACCTTTCTAGTTCCTAGAACGAAGACATTTGTGAGATAACCTATGTTTCCTAACCTGGGATTTCTGAGATATCTTTGCACCATTCCTGAAAATTCTCTCATTTGTGCTTAAGGTATTTTGATTAGGATTCTTTCACTTTCAATCAAAACACACTTGACTAGGATGAGTTTTATCCTAAAGGCTTTATTTGAAGCCAGCCCAATTGTCCCATAGAACTGATGTTTATGGTTTCTCTTGAACAAACATAGAAATTGACCCTCCCAATCTTAAAACTTAAGAAAGATGCATTTGTCTTATCTGAGTTCCGTTCTCAAGAACCAAGCACCAGGTCTCCCAGATAGTATGAGGAACTGAAACTTACTGGATCACTGCATCTGGACATGAAATGCCAGTTCCTGCAACCATCATAGTTGCCTAACCAATGGCCTGCTTCCTGTTGAACCCTCTCTCTTCCTCACACCTCCCTAATTTATGTTTTTCCACACACCATTACATTTTTTCCCTGCTATATAATCCCTTCATTTCAGTTGGTCAGGCAGATAAATTTGAGACTAATTTCTCTTCTCCTTGGCTGAAGAACCTGATTGAAGTCTTCTTCCCTGGCAGTGCTCATAGTTTCAGTGATTTTCTTTCTGTGCAGTAAGCGGCAGGACCTAGATGGAAACCCTGGTGTTTCATTAACGTAATCTTTCTACTGGCCGGGTGCGGTGGCTCACACCTGTGATCCCAGCATTTTGGGAGGCTGAGGCAGGTGGATAATTTGAGGTCAGGAGTTCAAGACCAGCCTGGCCAACATGGTGAAACCCCATATCTACTGAAAATACAAAAATTAGCTGGGCATGGTGGTGCACACTTGTAATCCCAGCTACTCTGGAGGCTGAGGCAGGAGAATTGCTTCAACCAGGAAACAGAGGTTGCAGTGAGCCAAGATTGCACCACTGCACTCCAGCCTGGGCAACAGAGTGAGATTCCATCTCCACTCAGCCAAAAAAAAAAATCTTTCTACCATGCCTCTCTGACTAAACCTCCACTTTACCTCCCTTTTCTTCTTTTCCAATCACCACATACTTTTTCTTCCCTATTTTATACTATGCTCTGGTTTCTCTCTAGATCATATAAATCTTTTGCCTGTTACTACAAACATACTGTAAATTTGAAACAATTCACAAGACTAAATATTTAAAATTGAGTGGAATCAATAAGATATTTTTATTTCAATGTTACAAATTATAGTTTTATTATTTACTAAAGCTCTCACTTTGGGAAAGTTCTGTATTTGCTGTTTCTGCAGTTTTAATTTTTATAAAGTGAGAAGACTGACATTTATGCCTTCTAAGGTCTACTCCAACTAGTTGAATCTATGACACCTACATTTATTAATGATAATGCAGTGAGAGAGGCATTTAATTAGCTCCTGCAAAAAATCTAGCTAAAATCTAATGAGGGCTTGAGCTATGTGTCATGGTATCAGGGATAGAGCTGTAGGGCAGAATCCAAAATAAAAGATAAATATCCATGTACTTTAATAATTTTATTATAATAAAAATTTAGAAAAATGAATTGGATATTTATTTTTCATCTTAACTAGAAGAGGCAATTGCCTTACAAATAATTAATTTTTAATCATTAAATATTTCCAGTAAGGGCATATTCTTGACACCCTTACGGGAGGAGGTGATAATACACAGTTTTAAGAACCTTAACTTTATGGTCAAATTGCCTGATGTAATGTTTCACAAAACAAAATGTGTGGGCTTTCAGTATCAGAATTCACCTGTAGCACTTATAAAACTTATTTAAATTATTTCAGAGCCCTGTTTTACAGCCACTGAATCTATATTTCTGGAAGTGAATGTTTGCACTCATCATTTTTACCAAAATCCCCAGGTAATTCTCATACACATTATGTTTGAGAATAACCAATCCGAGTTCAAACAATAAGTAGGTTCCCATTTTGTTTGGAAATATTTTACAATTACATGTTTCTTTAGCAGCAAAAAGGTAAGATCATTTAATTAAATTACTTAGGCTGATTTGATGACTTACATAATGCAGTAAACAGTAGCTATAATAGCATTTTTATAGACTGTTATTGTAGTGAGATGTTGACAGTGTTAGTTTGTAGACAAGATCAGTTGGTAGACTAATAGAACAGCTGGTAGAGCAGTAGACCAGTAGAAAGGCAGTGATTCATACATTGGTCAAAATATTCTTATAACTCTAAGATGAAAGTAATACTTAAATATTTTCAAGTCCAGATGGCCTTTAGTGAATTAATAGGGTCTCTCTGAGAACTTCACCATCAAGTATTGTATAGACTACTGGAGCAGCCAGCCCATAGTGGTGGAAATAACCAAGCCTGAATTTCCTGATATAGCAGATACTGCTAGCTGTTAGCTCAAAATCCATTCCCTTAAAAGAGTCCCATTTTTGTTTGATAGAAAAAAATTACCCAGCTGAAAATTTCCCAGCCTACCCTATGGATAGGGCAGATAGTGATAGTCAATGAGACATTATGGAAGATTTATTCCTGTCACATTTTCTCCTCCTTGTCACTCCATTTGTTCTCCTGCCTGGAACATAGGCTGGGGGCTGAAAGGTAGTATATATCTTGTGACTAACAACAAAGATGAAATCAGTCACATCTAAGAGTGGCAGAATGGAAAAATTGTATGAGTTTCATGACATCTGCTGCACTAGTCGTGACAGCCTTCTAGATTTCCTAATGAGAAAAATAACTTCATGTTTGATTAAATTACTATATTTACATTACTATTGCTTGTTCTTCAGTATAATCTGTAACTGATATGATTGGAGAATTTTTAACAAATTGACTTTATGGTGATGGCAAGGGTTTCTTTACTTCATTCCTAGTAATACATTTGAAACAAATACCTTCACCAGACGTTGCCCAATAGAGCATACCATTTTGTTAATAATAAGGTGAGCTCCTTTTATCTGAATCCTATACTGATGAAATAAAAAATAAAATTATAATATAGAAATACTCAAAATAAAACAGTCACTTATCAAATTGGTACCCTCCTGAATACATTATATTTGCATAAGATCAATCCCATACCCCAGTGTTAAAAATTTTCTGTCTGTTACTCAGAAAATACAAGGAAAATCTCTTTAAAAAAATGAAAATAAGTTTTATAGAAAAATTTTATAGAAAAATATTTCATTAAGTTTATAAAAGTGATGTTAGGGAACTAATAAAGAAGCTCTTGACAAATAGAAAAAGTGAATTGAATAATTTCTTATAATGTGACCACTTTTGTCTTTTACAAAATTACACAAAAATGTTAGCATTTCATTAATCATTTTTTCTAAAAATCACGAAAGGGGTAAATTCTAAGTATTGTTATATATGACAAAATAAAAGTTAATAATATTTATGTTCAAGCTGTGATCTGAACTTGTTTTATTCACAGTTTATTATTTACTTAACCAAGTGTAGTAACTACTTACAATACCCATATTAAATGTCAGACATTGGACTAAATATTTCATATATTATCTATAGTTTTCACTATTATACCATATAAGCATTCATATTTTTACTTATCTAGGAGAGTTTGAAAGAGATTTAGTAACTTTACAAAGTCACAAACATGATTGGCCTATACTCAAATAAAAAATTTCATTTTAGTCCAGTTTTGAATTATTTCCATTTTGACAGTTCACATTAAAACTTTTCAAACTTTTACCAGTTTTGGGTGAACTCTCTTTTCTAAGTTCCTAAACTTTATCTGTAAACTCCAAACAGTAAAAAACACACAGAAGATATTTAAAAATCTGTTGATCATGTAGCATCACATTAAAGAAATTAAAGAACAATGATTTGTTATAACATATATTTGAATAAAAATAGCTTTTTTTTAGAAGATCTATAATATTTCTGACTCTATTTTCTGGAAGAGTCATATAGTTTGGATTTTTCATCCCCTCCAAATCTCATTTTGAAATTTGATCCCCAAAGTTGGAGGTGGGGTCTGGTGAGAGGTGCTTGGGTCATCGGGGTGGACCCCTCATGAATAGTCTGTAGAACTACGAGCCAAATAAATATATTTTCTTTATAAATTACCCAACCTCAGGTATTTCTTATAGTTACATATAGTTCTTTTAGTTATAATGTATATTTATAGTCTTATTCAAATTATTTATTCTTGTGTGAGTTTTAGTAACTTCTGGTTTTCAAGGAATTTGTCCATTTTATTTAAGTTACCAAATTCATAAACAGAGTTGTTTATAATGTTTCTTTATTATCTTTTTAATGTTTATAGGATCACTAGACATGGTTTCAATTTCATTTATGATTTTTATAATGGGTGCCTTCTCCCTTTTTTCCTGGTTAGCCTGCTAGAGTTTTATCAATTATACTGAAGTTTTGGTTTTATTATTTTTCTCTATTGTTTCCTTGTATTAAATTGTGTACATTTCTATATTATTTTTTATTATTTCTTTCTTTAGATTTAAGTTTTTATTGCTCTTCTTTCTCTAGATTCTTAATGTAGAAGCTTAGATTATTTATCTTACATCTTTCTTCTTTTCCAATATGTGCTTTCAATGCTGTAAATCTCCATCTAAGCATTGCTTTCTCTGTATCTGATATATTTTGATAAGTGTGATTTTCATTGAGTCCAAAATGACTTTGCTTTGTGTTGAGATGTCTCTAACACTTGTGTTGTTTAGAAGTGCGCTGCTTATATTTAGGATAGTTAGTTCTTCTTGTTGAATTGATCACTTTACCATTATGTAATGGCCTTCTTTGTCTCTTTTTATCTTTGTTGGTCTAAAGTCTGTTTTATCTGACACTAGGATTGAAACCTCTGCCTTTTTTTGTTTTCCCTTTGCTTGGTAGATCTTCCTCCATCCCTTTATTTTGAGCCTATGTGTGTCTCTACACGTGAGATGGGTTTCCTGAATACAGCACACTGATGAGTCTTGACTCTTTATCCAGTTTGCCAGTCTGTGCCATTTAATTGGAGCATTTAGTCCATTTACATTTAAGGTTAGTATTGTTATGTGTGAATTTGATCCTGTCATTATGATATTAGCTGGTTATTTTGCTCGTTAGTTGATGCAGTTTCTTCCTAGCCTTGATGGTCTTTACAATTTGGCATGTTTTTGCAGCGGCTGGTACCGGTTGTTCCTTTCCATGTTTAGTGCTTCCTTCAGGAGCTGTTTTAGGGCAGGCCTGGTGGTGACAAAATCTCTCAGCATTTGCTTGTCTGTAAAGTATTTTATTTCTCCTTCACTTATGAAGCTTAGTTTGGCTGGATATGAAATTCTGGGTTGAAAAATCTTTTCTTTAAGAATGTTGAATATTGGCCTCCACTCTTCTGGCTTGTAGAGTTTCTGCCAAGAGATAAATATATATGCACCCAATACAGGAGCACCCAGATTCATAAAGCAAGTCCTGAGTGACCTACAAAGAGACTTAGACTCCCACACAATAATAATGGGAGACTTTAACACCCCACTGTCAACATTAGACAGATCAATGAGACAGAAAGTTAACAAGGATATCAAGGAATTGAACTCAGCTCTGCACCAAGCAGACCTAATAGACATCTACAGAACTCTCCACCCCAAATCAACAGAATATACATTCTTTTCAGCACCACACCACACCTATTCCAAAATTGACCACATAGTTGGAAGTAAAGCACTCCTCAGCAAATGTAAAAGAACAGAAATTATAACAAACTGTCTCTCAGACCACAGTGCAATCAAACTAGAACTCAGGATTAAGAAACTCACTCAAAACTGCTCAAATACATGGAAACTGAACAACCTGCTCCTGAATGACTACTAGGTACATAACGAAATGAAGGCAGAAATAAAGATGTTCTTTGAAACCAATGAGAACAAAGACACAACATACCAGAATCTCTGGGACACATTCAAAGCAGTGTGTAGGGGGAAATTTATAGCACTAAATGCCCACAAGAGAAAGCAGGAAAGATCCAAAATTGACACCCTAACATCACAATTAAAAGAAATAGAAAAGCAAGAGCAAACACATTCAAAAGCTAGCAGAAGGCAAGAAATAAGTAAGATCAGAGCAGAACTGAAGGAAATAGAGACACAAAAAACCCTTCAAAAAATCAATGAATCCAGGAGCTGGTTTTTTGAAAAGATCAAGAAAATTGATAGACCGCTAGCATGACTAATAAAGAAGAAAAGAGAAGAATCAAATAGACACAATAAAAAATGACAAAGGGGATATCACCACCAATCCCACAGAAATACAAACTACCATCAGAGAATACTATAAACACCTCTACGCAAATAAACTAGAAAATCTAGAAGAAATGGTTAAATTCCCTGACACATACACTCTCCCAAGACTAAACCAGGAAGAAGTTGAATCTCTGAATAGACCAATAACAGGCTCTGAAATTGAGGCAATAATTAATAGCTTACCAACCAAAAAAAGTCCAGGACCAGATGGATTCACAGCTAAATTCTACCAGAGGTACAAGGAGGAGCTGGTACCATTCCTTCTGAAACCATTCCAATCAATAGAAAAACAGGGAATCCCCCCTAATTCATTTTATGAGGCCAACATCATCCTGATACCAAAGCCAGGCAGAGACACAACAAAAAAAGAGAATTTTAGACCAATATCCTTGATGAACATTGATGCAAAAATCCTCAATAAAATACTGGCAAACCGAATCCAGCAACACATCAAAAAGCTTATACACCATGATCAAGTGGGCTTCATCCCTGGGATGCAAGGCTGGTTCAACATATGAAAATCAATAAATGTAATCCAGCATATAAACAGAACCAAAGACAAAAACCACGTGATTATCTCAATAGATGCAGAAAAGGCCTTTGACAAAATTCAACAACCCATCATGCTAAAATCTCTCAATAAATTAGGTATTGATGGGACGTATCTCAAAATAATAAGAGCTATCTATGACACCCCACAGCCAATATCATACTGAATGGACAAAAACTGGAAGCATTCCCTTTGAAAACTGCCACAAGACAGGGATGCCCTCTCTCACCACTCCTATTCAACATAGTGTTGGAAGTTCTGGCCAGGGCAATCAGGCAGGAGAAGGAAATAAAGGGCATTCAGTCAGGAAAAGAGGAAGTCAAATTGTCCCTGTTTGCAGATGATATGATTGTATATCTAGAAAACCCCATTGTCTCAGCCCAAAATCTCCTTACACTGATAAGCAACTTCAGCAAAGTCTCCGGATACAAAATCAATGTGCAAAAATCACAAGGATTCTTATGCACCAGTAACAGACAAACAGAGAGCCAAATCATGAGTAAACTCCCATTCACAATTGCTTCAAAGAGAATAAAATACCTAGGAATCCAACTTACAAGGGACGTGAAGGACCTCTTCAAGGAGAACTACAAACCACTGCTCAATGAAATAAAAGAGGATACAAACAAATGGAAGAACGTTCCATGCTCATGGGTAGGAAGAATCAATATCATGAAAATGGCCATACTGCCCAAGGTAATTTATAGATTCAGTGCCATCCCCATCAAGCTACCAATGACTTTCTTCACAGAATTGGAAAAAACTACTTTAAAGTTCATATGGAACCAAAAAAGAGCCCGCATCGCCAAGTGAATCCTAAGCCAAAAGAACAAAGCTGGAGGCATCATGCTACCTGACTTCAAACTATACTACAAGGCTACAGTAACCAAAACAGCATGGTACTGGTACCAAAACAGAGATATAAACCAATGGAACAGAACAGAGCCCTCAGAAATAATGCTGCATATCTACAACTATCTGATCTTTGACAAACCTGACAAAAACAAGAAATGGGGAAAGATTCCCTACCGAATAAATAGTGCTGGGAAAACTGGCTAGCCATATGTAGAAAGCTGGAACTGGATCCCTTCCTTACACCTTATACAGAAATTAATTCAAGATGGATTAAAGACTTACATGTTAGACCTAAAACCATGAAAACCCTAGAAGAAAACCTAGGCAATACCATTAAGGACATAGGCATGGGCAAGGATTTCATGTCTGAAACACCAAAAGCAATGGCAACAAAAGCCAAGATTGACAAATGGGATCTAATTAAACTAAAGAGCTTCTGCACAGCAAAAGAAACCACCATCAGAGTGAACAGGCAACCTACAGAATGGGAGAAAATTTTTGCAACCTACTCATCTGACAAAGGGCTAATATCCAGAATCTACAATGAACTCAAACAAATTTACAAGAAAAAAACAAACAACCCCATCAAAAAGTGGGTGAAGGATATGAACAAACACTTCTCAAAAGAAGACATTTATGCAGCCAAAAAACACATGAAAAAATGCTCATCATCACTGGCCATCAGAGAAATGCAAATCAAAACCACAATGAGATACCATCTCACACCAGTTAGAATGGCGATCATTAAAAAGTCAGGAAACAAGGGGTGCTGGAGAGGATGTGGAGAAATAGGAACACTTTACACTGTTGGTGGGACTGTAAACTAGTTCAACCATTGTGGAAGTCCGTGTGGCGATTCCTCAGGGATCTAGAACTAGAAATACCATTTGACCCAGCCATCCCATTACTGGGTATATACCCAAAGGATTATAAATCATGCTGCTAAAAGACACATGCACACGTATGTTTATTGCGGCACTATTCACAATAACAAAGACTTGGAACCAACCGAAATGTCCAACAATGATAGACTGGATTAAGAAAATGTGGCACATATACACCATGGAATATTATGCAGCCATAAAAATGATGAGTTCATGTCCTTTGTAGGGACATGGATGAAGCTGGAAACCATCATTCTCAGCAAACTCTCGCAAGAACAAAAAATCAAACACCGCATGTTCTCACTCATAGGTGGGAATTGAACAATGAGAACACATGGACACAGGAAGGGGAACATCACACTCTGGGGCCTGTTGTGGGGTGGGGGGAGGGTGGAGGGATAGCATTAGGAGATATACCTAATGCTAAAGGATGAGTTAATTGGTGCAGCACACCAACATGGCACATATATACATATGTAACAAACCTTCATGTTGTTCACATGTACCCTAAAACTTAAAGTGTTATAATAATAATAATAATAAATGAAGTGTGCTGCTTAATCTCCATGTATCTTAGGGGTTTCCACCTAGCTTTTTCTTATTGATTTCTAGTTTTGTCACATTGTGGTCTTAGAATATACATTCTCTACAAGTATAATTTCTATTCTTTTACATTTTTTTGAGGTGTGTTTTATGGCCCAGTATATGGTCTACCTTGTTGAATGATTCATGCAACTTTGGGAAGAATATTGAGTCTACTGTTGTTGAAGGAAATATTTGATAAAAGTCAATTAAATCCAGTTGATTTATTCTGTTCAATTATACCTCATTTATATATTGCCTGCTGGATCTACCTATTACTGAGAGAATTATGTTGAGATCTCCAATACAACAGTGAATTATCTGTTTCTCCTTGGAATTTTATCAGTATTTTCCTAATTTTTTTTTGGTGCCCTGTTGTTGGGCACAGACAGATTAAGGATTCTTACAACTTCTTGGAAAATTATCTCTTTATCATCATGTAATGCAGGGGTCCCCAACCCCAGGCCATTAAAGGGTCTGTGGCCTGTTAGGAAATGGGCTGCACAGCAGGAGGTGAGCAGCCCAAGGGCAAGCATTACTGCCTGAGCTCTGCCTCCTATCAGATCAGCAGTGGCATTAGATTCTCAAAGTAGTGTGAACTGTATTGCAAACTGTGCATGTGAGGGATCTAGGTTGTGCGCTCCTTATGAGAATCTAACTAATACCTGATGACATGAGGTGAAACAGTTTCATCCCGAAACCATAACCATGCCCCTTTCTCCACTGTCCATGGAAAAATTGTTCTCCATAAAACCAATTACTGGTGCCAAAAAGATTGAGGACCACTGAGGTAATGCATTGTACTACCTTAAATTAACTCCTTATCCCTGATAATTTTCTTTTTTCTGAATTCTGCTTCTACCGAAATTAAAATTGCTCCAGCTTTCTTTTGATTAGTGTTAGTATAGTCTATGGTTTTTATTCCATTAATTTTGAAATATCTGTGTTTTTATATTTAAAGTGGGTTTCTTGTAGACAACATATAATTGTCTTTTTTTTTAAGTCTGCTCTGTCAGTCTCTATGTTTTAATTGATGTCTTTAGACTACTGGTGTTTAAAGTAAATTGGGTTAATATCTATCATGTTTGTAAGTCTTTTCTATTCATTGCATTTGTTGTTTATTTCTTTTTCCGATTACCATCTTTCTCTGCCTTCTCTGGTTTTAACTGAGCATTTTATAATTACATTTCTCTCTTTTGTTACCATGTGAACTATGTTCCTTAAAAATTATTTTAGTGGTTTACCCTCAAGTATTAACATACATTTATTTTGAAATCAAGTCTACTTTCAAATAACACTATACCACTTCATGGGTAGTGCTGGTATCTTATAACAAAGTGTTCCCAATTCTTTCCTCTTGTCCTTTATAATATTGCTATCATTAATTTCACTTATTCACAACTGTAATTGCACTCAATATGTTGTTGCTATTAAATGTTATATTAAATAGATAAATTAAAAATAAGAAAAATAAAAGATTTTATTTATCTTGATTTATTCTTTCCCTTATGCTTACTCTTTCTTTTTGTAGCTTCAAGTTCCCAACCTATAACATTTTCCTATTTTAATATTTATTGCAAGGTAGGTCTACTGGTAGCAAATTCTTTCAGTTTCTGTTTGAGAAAATCTTTTACTCTTTTACTTTTAAAGAGTGATATCTCTGTATGCAGAATTCTAAATTGATGTTTTCTTATTTCAACACAACTTCCAATTTATTCTTGCTTAAATGATTTCTGAAGGGAAGTCCAATGTAATCCTTATCCTTTTTCTTCTACAGGTAAGTTTTTTTTTCTGAATTCTTTCCATATTTACTCCTTGTCTTTGGTTTGCTGAAGTTTGAATATGATATGTGAGATCTTTTTATATATATCCTGCTTTGTTGTCTCTGAGCTTCCTGAGTCAGTCGTTTGATGTCTGCCATTAATTTTAGAAACCTCTTGCCATTATTACCTCACATATATTTTTGCTTCTGACTTTTTCTTCCTTTATTCCCATTATATGTACATTATACTTTTTGAAATTCACCCACAATTCTTTTATATTCTTTTTTCTCTTTAAATTATTTTTCTTTTAGTTTTGGTAGTTTCTACTGACATATCTTTAAGCTCACCATTTTTTTTTCCACAGTGATGTCCAGTCTATTGATAAGCCCAGCAAAGATATTCTTTATTTCATTACGGTGTTTTTAATATCTAGCATTTCCTCTTGATTCTTTCTCAGAATATCTAGTCTCTGATTACATTATCTTCTATTTGTTCTTACAGGCAATCTACTTTGTCTATTTGAGTTCTTAGCATATTAATTGTAGTAATTTTAAATTTTCAATCTGATAATTGCAAAATCTGCTATATCCAAGCCTAATTCTGATGCTTTCTTTATATTTTCAAACTATATTTTCTTCCTTTCTTTTAGCATGCTTTGTAACTTTTGTTGAAAGATGGATATGATGTATTGGATAAAAGAAACAGAAGTAAATAGGCCTTTACTATGAATTTTTATATTTATCTTGTTAGAAGTATGGCTGCATTTACTGTTTGACTTAGCTTTAGGCATTAATGGCTAAAATTTTCTCTAATGTGTTTGTTTCCATCTTCTCTGTTTTTCTTAGTTTTTTTTTTTTTTTTTTTTTTGAAACTCCTTCTTAAATAGAGTCTATGTCTTTCAGCTCTTCCAGTTGTGATCCACTGATATTATACTGGAGCTCTGAGGATATGGTGGTAAAGTTTTGAAGAGAAGTATTCTATAATCTCATGCTTATATCTCCATTTTTTTTAGTGGACCTCATTCTCTGGACTATGACCTTCAGAACAGTTTTCTACCTTTTGTTCTCACTGCATGTGAGACAGGAAGACTGGAAGGGACTTCAGTTGTTCCATTTGCCCTTCTCAGTCAGACAAAAATCAAGCAAAGTAGTTTCCCCCAAAGCTGGCCCTTTCCAGGGAGAATAGGACTCTATGGGCAGATTTCAGAATGATTACTCTTTCTTTTTCCCTGCTGGAAGCATGAGGTGATTTTTCTTCAATCTTTACTTAAGAACCTAATGGAGTACCTGGAGGCAAATCTCACAAAAATGTAGGGTCATCCTAAGGTGCATTCCTCTAGAATTTTTAACTCCCAAGCTAGCCCATGGCTTAGGCTCTAGTGATTAGTCAATTGTCATTTAATTGTTTCTACCAGTTGCTAATTTGAGTGGAGGGTCCCTGCTCCTTGTAAGCTCTGATCCTCTGTATTCAGTCCAGTTGTGACTTCAATTCTCTGGTTAATTTTTAGTTTTTTCAGCTTCTTTATTGTTGTAAGAATTGTAGTCTTGACCTCTAAATTCTTTATCTGTTAAAGCAGAACTAAGAAGTATGATAAATAACTTTTCTTTACAGTTTTATCAATTTACATTTTCACGAACATATAATTTTACTTTTTAATACATGTCAATTTGATGGGCAAAATATTAATTTGCTGCTATTCTTTACATATATTTGCTACTGAGATGAGATATTTTCATATTTTGCCATTTGTTTTTCTTGTTTGTCATCTGTAAAGATGTACAGATGTAAATTGCTATAAAAATCAGATAAAAAATAAGGTCAATCTTGAAGAATAAAAATAAGCACTTCTCACTGAATACATTTACAGCAAGAAATGGAAAAATATAGTAAACTTTATTTGACTTGAACCCAATAAAACTGAATAAATGTTTTAATTTTTAAAGTGGATAAAAAATTCATGACACAAAGGAAAATCTTGAGAGAAGGAATTTTTCTGTAACAGACAAAAACAAAATTGAAAATGCTGAAATATAACCTACAATAGAGAAAGTATATATACTTCCTTAGCAAGAAGATAAATTTAAGAAAGAACAAAGAGAAGAACATTATGAGGTATTTTGAAAACAAATTTAGGAGTCCTAAAGTACAATAATAGACTCTCATAAAAGGCAAAACAAACAAACAAACAAACATAGAAGGTGTAAGACAAAATCAATAAAATAATTTTATTCTTTCTAGCTCTGGATATTTTCTTTTGTATCTTCTGATTGAAAGTACCCATAAAGAACCTGGTTACAATAATAAAAACTTAATAAGAAAACATATCCAGGTTTTCAAGTAACATTTTAGCATAAAGAAACATCATACCCTCAATGAAGAAAAAAAATTAGACTTTCTACGTATGAAGGAAAGCATGGTTTGCTTTAGATTCTCAGTTACCTTATGTTTCAGGAGCAGAGGAGCAATGATTGTAGAGTTTTGTAGTTAAAAAAAAAGTGATATGTAAGATAAAGAAGCCAATTTTCTTAGATATACTAATATTTAGGAAAGTCACCAGTTTTACATTCCTCAACACATGATTTAGAATATTTCAGCTAAGAAATGCATACATCAAAAGATATACAAAATACATCAGAAATGAATAACTCAGGAAGTAGGAAACTGTGGTATTAAAAACTAGCAAAAATCAATGAAAATCAAACAGTAATCAGAAGTATTGTTTATGTATTATTTATGTATTATTCTTTCATCAATAGTTTACACCCCCAAATTATCAGTGTTCTGTACTGTTCAATAAGTTAAGAAGCAGCTTTGGAATATAAATTTTAATAAGTTTACCATGATTTTCTAATGTATGGTCTTGGCACCAAACTTTTGAGAAGTATTCTTCCATGTTTTCATTCAAAGAAATCCCATGATTTTAATTACTATCTGCATGCTACTATATCCTAGGTGTATTGAATATTACTCTAGCTAAGAGTTATCCTCTGAGTTTCATGTGTAGAAACGCAACTGCTCTCTCAACAAATCCCAACAAACTTACTTGAAAGTTGAACAGGCATTTCAAAGTCACTATATCAAAATAGAGCAAATTCTATCCCCATTCCTAAATCCATAACTTGTCTAGTGTTTCCTTAACTCACACAATGGCATCACCATTTATCTATCTGAACATCATTATTAGAGAGTTAAATAATTTTACCTATAGATATCTGCTGCAAAATTGTGCTATGTATAAATCTTAGCAAAACAGCTTGGGCTTTTTCTTGGTAGTCTGTATTTTTATTCCTTCAGTTTGTTTTATTATATTTCAGGCTTTCCAGAATAATATTTATTGTTGAAATGGATTGATAGAAAACCTTGCATTTTAAAAAAAATTAGTGGGGATCTTTAAAAGTCTTACCATTAATTATAATATTACTATAGGCTTTTGATTTATATTTACTCAAAATTTTATGAGATTTTAAAAAATCATAAACGAATGTTCATTTTGTGAAATTATTTTCAGCTTTTATGTCTAATTCTTTGCTATTCTTTAATATGTTAATGTGATAAATTACACCGATTGTTTAAAATTCTGAACTATCCTTGCATTCTACAATAAACTCGCTTTATTAAAATGCATAAATTCTTGGATGTAATACACCATGAACAACCAAGAAATATGTACAAGAAGGTATAAAACAAGAAAGTTTTAGATGCTTACACACACATGCTCACATACACACACAAGCACAAACACACACAAATAACCTAAGTCTTGTCTAAAACATCTTCATGGCAATGCTCATTATCAGAAAGAAATGGAATAATGTCTAAAAGTTTTGAAGAAAAAAAGTGTGGCCAAACAAACTTAATGCCACCAAATTGTCATTCATGTACAAAGGTGGCAGATTCACAGCATGCAAGAACTCTGGTAATTTAGTACCTATGCAACCTACCAAAAAACATAATTAAAAAAATTAAAAATCTTGTTTAAAACAGCCAACTAGAAAAGAATCAAAATAATAGACTAAAAAGTGAAAAGCCTGCTTTATAAATGTTAATGGCAAGCAATTAATCTATTTAAATATATATTTAAGGCTAAACAAGGATGAGAAGTTTAAATTAGGGAATGTGAATGTTATATCTACTGAAAGAAAAACTATGTAATTATAGGAAAACCTTCCTAAGCTTACCAACAGAAATTAGAAGTCTTCTTTTAGAGGAAGAACACTTCTGGAAGATGTAATTAAAGAGGACAGTTTTAAAGAAACACATTTTTCTTCATGTTTTATATCAGCAAATTTATAGATTTTTTCATGTCTAAGACAGAGAAAACAAGACATACTGCTTTAGTTATTAATTTTATAAGGTATCCATTAGAAGAATGAGGAATACACTGCTTATTTTCAAACAATCAGAAATATTAAAAAAGAAAGAAAAATGAAAACTGTAGAGCAAATGATAGAAAGGAAAGTGAACAATAAGGAAACATTAAGAAACTAATATCGATGGAGGAAAGGACCATTTTTCAAATGGTATAAATAATTACAACCCAATTTGTATGACATTTACAAAAAACATACCCAAAACAAAGTGACTTATGATGGCTTAAATTAAAAACGTGAAAATATACCTGATAAGATTATATTAAAGCAAAAAAATGTACAAAGAAAAAGAGAGACAGTTATGATAAAAGGCATAATATGTTACAAATTATACTATCAATCTGTTTGAACCAAATGATAGTAGCCTAAAAATTCATAAATACAAGGTTTAGAAAATGAAAAAGAAATTGATATCAGCAATCTAATTGTCAAATAATCTTCTTGATGTATTAGAAACAGCACCAGAAAATTAAATAAAGTACAGATTTGTGCTTAAAATATTAAGAACTCAACAAAGACAAATAAAACCTTAAGTTTCTATTTCATGAAATTTGTCCTAAATAATTTTGGCTGGAAAGTTTTAATGCAAGAGTTACTCTTTGTAACTGTGGTCATAGAAATAGAAGTATGTTATTTAACATATTTACAAAACATCAAGGACACCAACCAATCACAATTTAGAGGCTTCAATTAATCAATCAAAGTAGAAATTAGCCCTGAAAAAGCAAGCTATACTACTACATGGAAATAAAAATGCATGTTTTGAGGAACTGTACATCCTAAATCATCTCATCAGAAAAAAACTAATTGACAATATACTATTTATTATTTTAGTAGAATGAGCTCTTTAATTTGGGGAATACAAATTAATGTTTTATTAATTTTAAATTTTAATATAATTCCAAGGTTACAGAAATTTTGCAAGAATAGTTTAAAGAACAACTGAATACCACTTACCCAGATTTAGAATATTTATTTTACCCCATTGGCTTTATTATTATCTCTCTCCCTAAAATATACGAACATACAAGAGAAAGAAAAAGAAAAAGAGAGAGAAGGAAGTATTTTTCTGAATTATTTAAATATAAATTACTAACATTGTTCTCATTTACCCGTAAATTCATCAGGGGTATTTACTAATAACAAGAACATTCTTTTTTATAACACAGTGAAATTATCAAAATCAGAAAATTTAACACTGACACTTGGAATTATGTCATGTACAGTCCACGTCTAAATTGTCATTTTCTGGATATTAGTCCTTTGTCAGAGACATTGTTTGCAAATATTTTTCCCATTATATAGGTTGTTTACTCTGTTGATTATTTCTTTCGCTGTTCAGAAGATTTTTAGGCTGGGTGCAGTGGTTCATGCCTGTAATCCCAGCACTGGGAAGCCTAGGCAAGCGGATCACTTGAGGCCAGGAGTTTGAGACTGGCCTGGCCAACATGGTGAAACCCTGTCTCTACTAAAAATACCAAAAATTAGCCAGGCGTGGTGGTGTGAGCCTATAATCCCAGCTACTCATGAGGCTGAGGCAGGAGAATCGCTTTAACTTGAGAGGTGAAGGTTGCAGTGACCCTAGATCACGCCGCTGCATTCCAGCCCGGGTGACAGAATGAGACTCTGACACACACACACACACACACACACACACACACACACACACACGAAGATTTTCAGTTTAACTCCCATTTATTCATTTTTCATTTTGTAGGATTTGCTTTTGATGTCTTAGTCATACATTTGTTGCCTAGACCAAGGTCAGAAAAGTTTTTCCCAGGTTTTCCTCTAGGATTTTTGTAATTTTGGTCTTACATTTAACTCTTTAATCCATGTTGAGTTAATTTTTTTATGTTCTGAGAAACAGAGGTTCAGTTTCATTCTTCTGCATATGGCTATCCAATTTTCCCAGCACCATTTATCGAATAGAATGTCCTTTCCCCATCGTTTACTTTTGTGGACTTGGTCAAAGATCAGTTGGGTGTAGGTACGTGGCTTTATTTATACAGTCTCTATTCTGTTACATTGATTTACATGTCTATTTTTATACCAGTACCATGTTGTTTTGGTTACTATAGATAGCCCTGTAGTGCAATTTGAAGTCAGGTGGTATGATGATGCCTCTAGCTTTGTTCTTTTTGCTTGATTGCTTTAGCTATTTGTATTCTTTTTTTTTTTTTTTTTTTTTTTTTTTTTGTCCATATGACTTTTAGAACAGTCTTTTTCTAATTCTGTGAAACTGACACTGGCGATTTGATAGGATGGTATTGAAACTGTAGATTGCTTTGGGAAGTAAGCTATTTTAATGATATTGATTCTTCAAATCCCTGAGCATAGGTTATTTTTTCATTTGTTTGTGTCATCTACAATCTCTTTCATTAGTGTTTTGTAGTTCTCCTTGTAGAGATCTTACAGCAAGGAGGTAAAACTACAAGTTTTCCTTCAAAGCACAAGGAAAGTTTCACAAGGTGAAATTATGAGATCTTTTGTAGTTTTTCTTGAGTTCTTTCACCCCCTTGGTTAATGTAGTCCTTAGTATTTAATTTTTGTTGACTATTGTAAAGAAGATTGTGTTCTTGATTTTATTCTCAGCTTGGTGTACAGAACTGCTACCAATTTTTTTTTTTTTTTTTTACTTTTAAGTTCAGGAGTACGTGTGCAAGTTCATCATATAGATAAATTGTGTGTCATGGGCATTTGGTGTACATATTATTTTGTCACCCAGGTAACAAGCATAGTACCTGGTAGTTTTTCTATCTTCACCCACCAAAAGTCAGATGGTTGAAGATATGCAGCCTTATTTCTGGGCTTTCTTGTCTGTTCCATTGGTCAGTGTGTCTGTTTTTGTGCCAGTATCATGCTGTTTTGGTTACTGGAGCCTGGTAGCATAGTTTGAATTTGGGTAATACAATGCCTCCAGGTTTATTCTTTTCACTTAGGATTGCCTGTTGAATTATAGAATAGTATTTTTTTTCTAATTCCGTGAAGAATGTCACTGGTAGTTTAATAGGAATAGAATTAAATCTGTAAATTGCTTTGGAAGTATAGCCAGTTTAAAAATATTAGATTCTTCCTATCTATGAGCATGAAATGCTGTTTCCTTTTTTGTGTCATCTCTAATTTCTTTAAGAAGTATTTTGTAATTCTCATCGTAGAGATCTTTCACCACCCTAGTTAGCTGTATTCCTAGGTATTTTATTCTTCTGTGGCTATTATGAATGGGATTGTATTCTTGATTTGGCTCTCAGTTTGGATGTTGTTGCTGTATAGGAAAGCTATTGAATTTTGTACATTGACTTTGTGTCCTGAAACTTTGCTGAAGTTGTTTATCACATCTTGGAACTTTTGGGCAGAGACTATGGTGTTTTTAAGCTATAGAATCGTATCATCTGCAAACAGAAATAGATAATTTGATTTCCTCTCTTTCTATTTGGATGCTTTTCATTTGTTTCTTTTGCCTGATTGCTCTGGCTAGTATTTCCCAAACTATGTTGAATAGGAGTGGTAAGAATGGGCATCCTTGTCTTCTTTTTGTGCTCAAGGAGAATTCTTCTAGCTTTTGCTCATTTAGTGTGATGTCAGCTGTCGGTTTGTCATAGATGACTCTTACTATTTTGAGGTATGTTCCTTCAGACCTAGTTCATTGAAATTTTTTATTATAAAGAGATGTTGAATATTACTGAAATTTATTATTGAATATTATTGAAAGTATTTTCTATATCTATTAAGATGATCATGAGATTTTTGTTTTTTCTGTTTATGTAATGCATCACATTTATTGATTTGTATATGTTGAACCAACCTTGCATCCCAGGGATAAAGCCTATTTGATAATATTGGATATCTTTTTTGATACACTGCTGATTTTAATTTGCTGGCATTTTGTTGAGGATTTTTACATATATGTGCATCAAAGGTATTGGCCTAAAGTCTTCTATTCCTTTCTTTTTCTTTTTTTTGGTATTGTTTCTGTCAGGTTTTGATATCAGGATGACGCTGGTCTGGTAGAATGAGACAGGGAGAAGTCCTTCCTCCTCAATTTCTTAGCATAGTTTTAGTAGGAATGGTACCAGCTCTTCTGTATACATGTGGTAGAATTTGGTTGTGAATCTTTCTGGTCCTGGGCTTTTAGTGGTTGGTAGATATTTTATTACCAATTCAATTTCAGAACTTGTTATTCTTTTCAAGGATTCAATTGCTTCCTAGTTCAGTCTTGGGAGGTGGGATGTTTCCAGGAATTTTTCTATTTCTTATAGATTTTCTCACTTGTGCATAGAGGTGTTCACAGTAGTCTCTGAAGGTTTTTGTGTTTTTGTCAGTTCACTGGTAACGTCCCCTTAGTCATTTCTGATTATGTGTATTTGAATCTTCTTTTATTCTTTATTAGTCTAGCTAGTATTTATCAATCTTACTTATTCTTTGAAAGAACCATCTCCTGGATTTGTTAATCTTTTGTATAGTTTTTTTGCACCTCAACTTCCTTTAGTTCAGCTCTGATTTTGATTATTTCCTGTCTTCTGCCATCTTTAGGGCTGGTTTGCTCTTGTTTCTCTGGTTTATGTGTCATGTGAAATTGTTAATTTGAGATGTTTCTAACTTTTTGATGTGGGCATTTAGCACTATAAACATTCCTCTTAACACTGCTTTATCTGTGTCCCAGAGATTATGGTATGTTGTATATTTGCTCTCATTATTTTCAAATAATTTCTTGATTTCTGCCTAAATTTTATTATTTTCCCCAAAATCATTCAGGAGCAGGTTCTTTAATTTTCATGTAATTGTATGCTTTTAAGTGATTTTCTTAGTATTGACTTCTATTTTTATTGCACTGTATTTCAAGATTGTGGTTGGTATGATTTTGGGTTTTTTGAATTTGCTAAGGATTGTTTTATGGGAAATTGTGTGGTCAGTTCTAGAGTATATTCAGATGAGAAGAATCTCTATTCTGTTGTTTTCACATGGAGTGTTCTGAAGGTGTCTGTTAGGTTTCTTTAGTCAAGTGTCAAGTTCAGGTCTTGAATATCTTTGTTAGTTTTCTTCCTCTATGATCTGTCTAATACTGTCAGAGGGGTGTTGAACTCTCCCACTGTTATTGTGTGGTTATCTAAGTCTTGTCATAGGTCTCCTAAGAACTTGCTTTACGAATCTGGGTGTTTCTGTGCTGGGTGCAAAATATATTTACAATAGTTAAGTATTCTTGTTGAGTTGAACCCTTTAACATTATGTAATACCATTCTTTGTCTTTTTTGATCTTTTTTGGCTTAAAGTCTGGTTTGTCTGTAATTAGAATAGCAATCCCTGCATTTTTCTGTTTCCATTTGCTTGGTAGATTTTTCTCCATCCCTTTACTTTGAGCCTATGAGTGTCATTGCATATGAGTTGGGTCTCTTGAAGACAACATATAGTTGAGTCTTTATTCTTTATCCAACTTGCCACTGTGTGCCTTTTAATTGGAGCATTTAGCCTGTTTACTTACATTCAAGGTTAATATTGATATTTGCAGATTTGATCTGGTCATTGTGTTGGTAGCTGGTTATTATGTAGACTTGATTGTATCATTGCTTTACAGTGGCAATGGTCTATGTACTTAAGTGTGGTTTTATGGTGCTATATAAGGAAAGGAACAATCTTTCCTTTCCATATTTAGCACTACCTTAAGGGCCTCTTGTAAGTCAGGTATTGTGATAATGAATTCACTTAGCAGTTGCTTGTCTGAAAGGGATCTTATTTCTCCTTCATTTATGCAGCTTAACTTGTCTAGATATGAAATACTTGTCTGAAATTTCTTCTCTTTAAAAATGCTGAATATAGGCCCTCAATCTCAACTGGCTTGTAGGGTTCCTACAGAAAGGTCCGCTGTCGTCCTGATGGGGTTCCCTTTGTAAGTGACCTGCCCCTTCTCTCTAGCTGCTTTTAACACTTTTTCTTTCATTTTGAACTTGGAGAATCTGATGGCTATGTGTCTTGGATATGATCATCTTGTATAGTGTCTTGCAGGGATTCTCTGCATTTCTGAATTTGAATGTTGGCCTCTATAGCAAGGTTGGGGAAATTTTTATGGATGATATCCTCAAATATATTTTCCAAGTTACTTGCTTTCTCTTCCTATCTTTCAGAGATGCCAATAAGTTGTAGATTTGCTCTCTTTACACAATACCATATTTCTTGGAGGCTACGTTTATTCTGCTCTATTCTTTTTTCTGTATATTTTTCCTAACTCAGTGATTTTGGAGAACCACACTTCAGGTTCTGAGATTCTTTCCTCAGCTTGGTCTATTCTTCTATTAATACTTGTAATTGTATTATAAGATTTTTGAGGTATGTTTGTCAGATCAGTTTGGTTTGTTCTTAAAATCACCATTTTGTCTTTTGTCTCCTGTATGTTTTACTGTATTCCTTAGACTCCTGGGACTGGGTTTCAACTTTCTGAATCCAAATGATATCCATTCATATCCATATCCTGAGTTCTATTTCTGTCATTTCAGCCACTTCAGCCTGGTTAAAAACTATTGCTGGGGAAGAAGTGCAATTGTGTGGAGGTGAGAAAACACTCTGGCTTTTTGAGTTGCCAGAGTTCTTGCACTGACTGTTTCTCATCTGTGTGGGCTGATGTTCTTTTAATTTTTAAAGTTGCTATCTTTTGGATCAGTTTGTTTGTTTGTTTGCCTTTATCTGCTTTGATGCCCTTAGGAGTTTGTTTGTTTCTGTTTTTTTTAATTTTATTTTAGAATTTCTCCCATTCTATTTTATTTTATTAAATATGCAAAACTTAACATGAGTCAATAAATCAAACTTGTACACAAAAACTAGAGTCAGAGAAGTAGAAATAGCATACTGGAAGACTTCTACCTCATCCCTGCCCTCCTTTAAAAGGGAATGACTTACATTGTTTCTTAGTTTATCCTTCCATGTTTCTTTTTGCAAAAATAAGCATGCCTAGATATACTTTCTTATTTCTACTCCCCTTTTTCACAAAAGTACCATTTTATGTACAATATTTTACTTTTTGCTTTTTCTTCTCACTTAAAAATCACTATATATTAGTTTATAGAGATTAACATTGTTATTTTTATAGGTGCACGGTTATTCATTGTGTGTATATAGGAACGTTTATTCAATCACTCTCTTATCTATGGGCATTTTGATTGTTGCCAATATTTCTACTTTCTAAAGCTTATTTATAGTTTCAACATAATCTGACATTTGATCAAGTTTTATGAATCTTCCATGTGCCTCTTAAGAAAATGTATATTCTCTGTTATCAGAGTATAAATGTTAATATATTTTTGTATCTTGTGTCTTATATTTTGTGTTTTTCAGGATTCTAAATTCTCCTATCATGCTTCTTTTTTCTCTTCATCATTTTACTTAAGATTGACCTTTTAAAATATTCATCTATGTATTTACCTTTGTGCGCATGTCTTTCAGGATCTTAAATTTCCTCTCTTGCTCCTTTTTTTCTTTTACCACTCAGTCTCTAAACGATACCACCACTCACTTTCTTTTCACTCTTACTTCTCTCAGAAGCACTGTTTCTAAGATTAATACTTTGAATCCCATTCACTTGCAGGTCCCTTCCCTGTAAATGTTATATGATCTACAAGATTCTTCTTCATTATTTTTGCACGTAGCATGGGTTTTCTCTTTCTGGGGGTGATTTTAGCTCTTTTTTTACTCATACTCCTTCCATGGACCCAGCTAATCCTTTGTAAGTCTTGGAGCAAGACCTCTGGAAATAGCTCTTCTGGAAACAGCTCTTCTGGAAATTGGAGTTTACTTTTCTATATAGAGGTAATTTGATGTTTATTTTGTTTCTGTCTTCTATATATACTCAAGGCATGATATTTGAAGTTTATGTGGATAGATTCAGAGTTGTGCAGCTGCTATTTTCTCAGCTAACAACCAATTAAAATTTAAAGGTCTATTATCAAAAGTAATGACTTCTAGAAACATTGTTACTTAGACCTATTTGATAATAAATTGGTCTCAAAAACAGTCAACTGAGGCAATTTCTGTTCTCTGAGAATAAAATATCACCTTTTTTAATGCAGGAAACATGATTTTCTAGTACTTAAAGAATAGAAACAAGCATATAGATCACTTGAAATCATTTTAAGTTCATTAAACTAAAAGAATAAAAGTAAATTGTGGGTAGAGAAAGCAAGTACACCACCCTATATTTTAATAATTTGAATTATCTGGTTGGTAAGCAGGCAATTTTTGTGGAACTTGGACTTTTAGATTAGTGACAAGATTCAAGATCCAAGCATTATTTACTGGAACTTTATATTGAACTCAAGCAGCTTAATTCATAATGTGCTCCTTTCCACAAAGGATAGGGAAAACAAAATCAATAAGTACTCAGAACAGTCTTCTATTTTTCCTACAAAACTTCCCTTCAAGTTAATAAAGAGTGAAAAAGTCATTAATAATGGGATAGTCTTAACAAAAGTTTCCTTGAGTTCATGTAAAATATTTTCCTCAGGAATTCAGACATGTAATTTGTCAAGGAAAGAACCTGTTATAAAAATAAATGCAGGGGGTACTGCTGGCAAGATGGCTGGATAGGAACAGTTCCAGTCTGCAGCTCCCAGCGAGATTGACACAGAAGGCGGGTGATTTCTGCATTTCTAACTGAGGTACCTGGTTCATCTCATTGGGACAGGCTGGACAGTGGATACGGCCCAAGGAGGGCAAGGTGAAGCAAGGTGGGTCATCATCTCACCCAGGAAGTGCAAGGGGTCAAAGAACTCCGTGTCCTAGCCAAAGGAAGCCAACTGGGACTGTACCGTGCACTCTGGCCTAGATACTGTGCTTTTCTCACAGTCTTCACAACCCGCAGACCAGGAGATTCCCTCTGGTGCAGATGACACCAGGGCCCTAGGTTTCCAGCACAAAACTGGGCGGCCATTTGGGCAGACACAGAGCTAGCCGCAGGAGTTTTTTCTTCATGCCCCAGTGGCTCCTGGAATGCCAGTGAGACAGAACCGTTCACTTCCCTGGAAAGAGGGGCTGAAGCCAGGGAGCCAAGTAGTCTGGCTCAGCAGGTCCCATCCCACAGAGCCCAGCAAGCTAAGATCTACTGGCTTGAAATTCTTGCTGCTACCACAGCAGTCTGAGCTCCACCTGGGATGCTTGAGTTTGGTAGGGGGAGGGGCGTCCACCATTGCTGAGTCTTGAGTAGGTGGTTTAACCCTCACAATGTAAACAAAGTCGCTGGGAACTTCGAACTAGGTGGAGCCCACCTCACCTCAGCAAGGCCACTGCAGCCAGACTGCCTCTCTCTAGATTCCCTCCTCTCTGGACAGGGCATCTCTGAAAAAAAAAGACAGCAGCCCCAGTCAGGGACGTATAGATAAAACCCCCCCACCCCTGGGACAGAGCACCTGGGGAAAGGGGTGGTTGTGGGTGCAGATTCAGCAGACTTAAACATCCCTGCCTGGCAGCTCTGAAGCGAGCAGTGGATATCCCAGCACAGTGTTTGAGCTCTGATAAGGGACAGAAAACCTCCTCAAGTGGGTCCCTGACCCCTGTGTATCCTGACTGGGACACATCTCCCAGTAGAAGCCAACAGACACCTCAAACAGGAGAGCTCTGGCTGGCATCTGGTGGGTGCCCCTCTGGGATGAAGCTTCCAAAGGAAGAACAGGCAACAATCTTTGCCTCTGCCAGTGATACCCAGGCAAACAGAGTCTGGAGTGGACCTCCAGTAAACTCAAGCAGACCTGCAACAGAGCAGCCTGACTGTTAGAAGGAAAACTAACAAACAGAAAGGAATAGTATCAATATCAACAAAAAGGACGTCCACTCAGAGACCCCAGCCAAAGGTCACCAACTTCAAAGACCAAAGGTAGCTAAATCCACAAAGATAGGGAGAAACCAGCACAACAAGGCTGAAAATTCCAAAAACAAGAATGCCTCTTCTCCTCCAAAGGATCACAACTCCTCACCAGCAAGGGAACAAAACTGGACAAAGAATGAGTTTGACAAACTGACAGAAGTAGGCGTCAGGAGGTGGGTATTGACAAACTGACAGAAGTAGGCGTCAGGAGGTGGGTAATAACAAACTCCTCCAAGCTAAAGGAGCACATTCTAACCAAGTGCAAGGAGGCTAAGAACCTTGAAAAAAGGTTAGAGGATTTGCTAACTAGAATAACCAGTTTAGAGAAGAACATAAATGACCAGATGGAGCTGAAAAACACAGCACTAGAACTTCATGAAGCATACACAAGTATCAATAGCAAAATTGATCTAATGGAAGAAAGGATATCAGACATTGAAGATGAACTCAATGAAATAAACTGAGAAGACAAGATTAGAGAAAAAAGAGTGAAAAGAAATGGACAAAGCCTCTAAGAAATATAGGACCATATGAAAAGACCAAATCCACATTTGACTGGTGTACCTGAAACTGATGGGAAGAATGGAAGAAAGTTGGAAAACACTCTTCAGTATATTATCCAGGAGAACTTCCCCAACCTAGCAAGGCAGGCCATCATTCAAATTCAGGAAATACAGAACACCACAAAGATACTCCTCGAGAAGAGCAAACCGACGACACAAAATTGTCAGATTCGCCAAGGTTGAAATGAAGGAAAAAATATTAAGAGCAGCCAGAGAGAAAGGTCAGTTTGCCCACAAAGGGAACCCCATTAGATGAACAGCGGATCTCTTGGCAGAAACCCTACAAGCCAGAAGGGAGTGGGGGCCAATATTCAGCATTCTTAAAGAAAATAATTTTCAACCCAGAATTTCATATCCAGCCAAACTAAGCTTCATAAGCGAAGGAGAAATAAAATCCTTTACAGACAAGCAAATGCTGAGAGATTTTGTCACCACCAGGCCTTCCCTACAAGAGTTCCTGAAGGAAGCCCTAAACATGGAAAGGAACAACCCGTACCAGCCACTGCAAAAACAAACCAAATTGTAAAGTCCATCGATGCTATGGAGAAACTGCATCAACTAACAGGTAAAATAACCAGCTAGCATCATAATGGCAGGGTCATATTTACACATAACAATATTAACCTTAAATGTAAATGGGCTAAATGCTCCAATTAAAAGACACAGACTGGCAAATTGGATAAAGAGTCAAGACCCATCAGTGTGCTGTATTCAGGAGACCCATCTCACGTTCAAAGACACATGTAGGCTCAAAATAAAGAGATGGAGGAATATTTACCAAGCAAATGGAAAAGCAAAAAAAAAAAAAAAAAAAAAAAGAAAAGAGCAGGGGTAGCAATACTAGTCTCTGATAAAACAGACTTTAAACCAAAAAAGATCAAAAGAGACAAAGAAGGGCATTACATAATGGTAAAGGCATCAATGCAAACAGAAGAGTTAACTATCCTAAATGTATATGCACCTAATACAGGAATACCAAGATTCATAAAGCAAGTTCTTAGAGACCTGCAAAGAGACTTAGACTCCCACACAATAATAGTGGGAGACTTTAACACCCTACTGTCAATATTAGACAGATCAACAAGACAGAAAATTAACAAGGGTATCCAGGACTTGAACACAGCTCTAGACCAAGCAGAACAAATAGACATCTACAGAACTCTCTACCCCAAATCAACAGAATATACATTCTTCTCAGCACCACATCACACTTATTCTAAAATTGACCACATAATTGGAAATAAAACACTCCTCAGCTAATGCAAAGGAAATGAAATCATAACAAACAGTCTCTCAGAACACAGTGTAATCAAATTAGAACTCAGGATTAAGAAACTCACTCAAAACCACACAACTACATGGCAACTGATGAACCTGCTCCTGAATGACTACTGGGTAAGTAACGAAATGAAGGCAGAAATAAAGATGTCCTTTGAAACAAATGAGAACAAAGACACAACGTACCAGAATCTCTGGGACACATTGAAAGCAGTGTGTAGAGGGAAATTTACAGCACTAAATGCTCATAAGAGAAAGCAGGAAAGATCTAAAATTGACAACCTAACATCACAATTAAAAGAACTAGAGAAGGAAGAGCAAACAAATTCAAAAGCTAGCAGAAGGCAAGAAATAACTAAGATCAGAGCAGAACTGAAGGAGAAAGAGACATGAAAAACCCATCAAAAAATCAATGAATGTAGGAGCTGGTTTTTTGAAAAGATCAACAAAATAGATAGACTGCTAGCAAGACTAATAGAAAAGAGAGAAGAACAAAATAGATGCAATAAAAATGATAAAGGGGATATAACCAACGATCCCACAGAAATACAAACTAACATGAGAGAATACTGTAAACACCTCTATGCAAATAAACTAGAAAATCTAGAAGAAATGGATAAGTTCCTGGACACATACACCCTCCCAAGACTAAACCAGGAAGAAATTGAATCCCTGAATAGACCAATAGTAAGTTCTAAAATGAGGCAGCAATTAATAGCCTACCAACCAAAAACAGTCCAGGAGCAGAGAGATTCACAGCAAAATTCCACCAGAGATACAAAGAGGAGCTGGTACCATTACTTCTGAAACTATTCCAAACAACAGAATCCTTCCTAACTCATTTTATGAGGAAAGCATCATCCTAATACCAATACCTGGCAGAAACACAACAAAAAAAAGAAAATTTCAGGCCAATATCCCTGATGAACATGCATGTGAAAACCCTCAATAAAATGCTGGCAAACCGAATCCATCAGCACATCAAAGTTTATCCACCGCGATCAAGTGGGCTTCATCCCGGGGATGCAAGGCTGGTTCAACATACACAAATCAGTAAACAGAATCAATGACAAAAACCACAAGATTATCTCAATAGATGCAGAAAAGGCCTTCGACAATATTCAACAGCCCTTCATGCTAAAAACTCTCAATAAACTAGGTATTGACAGAACATATCTCAAAATAATAAGAGCTGTTTATGACAAACCCATAGCCAATACCATACTAAATGGGCAAAAACTGGAAGCATTCCCTTTGGAAACTGGCACAAGACAAGGATGCCCTCTATCACTACTCCTATTCAACATCGTATTGGAAGTTCTGGCCAGGGCAATCAGGCAAGAGGAAGAAATAAAGCGTATTCAACTAGGAAAAGAGGAAGTCAAATTGTCTCTTTTTGCAGATGACATGATTTTATATTCAGAAAACCCCATCATCTCAGCCCAAAATCTCCTTAAGCTGATAAGCAACTTCAGCAAAGTCTCAGGATACAAAATCAATGTGCAAGAATCACGAGCATTCCTATATACCGATAACAAATGGAGAGCCAATTGTGAGTGGACTCCCATTTACAATTGCTACAGAGAGAATAAAATATCTAGAAACACAACTTACAAGGGGTGTGAAGGACCTCTTCAAGGAGAACTATAAACTACTGCTCAAGAAAATAAGAGAGGACACAAACAAATGGAAAAACATTCCCTGCTAATGGATAGGAAGAATCAATATCATGAAAATGGCCATACTGCCCAAAGTAATTTATAGATGCAATTCTATCCCCATCAAGCTACCGTTGACTTACTTCACAGAATTGGAAAAAATTACTTTAAATTTCATATGGAACCGAAAAAGAGCCCACATAGTCAAGACAATCCTAAGCAAAAAGAACAAAGCTGGAGGTACCACACTACCTGACCTCAAATAATACTACAAGGCTACAGTAACCAAAACAGAATGGTACTGGTACCAAAACAGAGATATAGACCAATGGAACAGAAAAGAGGCTTCAGAAATAATGCCACACATCTACAACCATCTGATCTTTGACAAACCTTACAAAAATAAGCAATGGGGCAAGGATTCCCTATTTAATAAGTGGTGTTGGGAAAACAGGCTAGCCATGTGCAGAAAGCTGAAATTGGATTCCTTTCTTACACCTTATACAAAAATTAACTCAAGGTGGATTAAAGACTTAAACATAAGACCTAAAACCATAAAAACCCTAGAAGAAAACCTAGGCAATACCATTCAGGACATAAGCATGGGCAAAGACTTCATAACTAAAACAACAAGAGCAATTGCAACAAAAGCCAAAATTGAGAAACGGGATCTAATTAACCTAAAGAGCTTCTGCACAGCAAAAGAAACTACTGTCAGAGTGAACAGGCAACCTACAGAATGGGAGAAAATTTTTGCAATCTATCCATCTGACAAAGGGCTAATATCCAGAATCTACAAAGGACTTAAAAATTTTACAAGAATAAAACAAACAACCTCATCAAAAAGTGGGCAAAGGATATGAACAGACACTTCTCAAAAGAAGACATTTATTTGCAGCCAACAAACACGTGAAAAACTCATCATTACTGATCATTAGAAAACTGCAAATCAAAACCACAATGAGATAACATCTCACACCAGTTAGAAGGCGATCATTAAAAAGTCAGGAAAAAACAGATGCTGGAGAGGGTGTGGAGAAATAGGAATGCTTTTACACTGTTGGTGGGAATGTAAATTAGTTCAACCATTGTGGAAGACAGTGTGGCGATTCCTCAAGGATCTAGAATAAGAAATACCATTTGACCCAGCAATCCCATTACTAAGTACATACCCAAAAGATTATAAATCATTCTACTATAAAAACAGATGCACACGTGTGTTTGTTGTGGCACTGTTCTCAATAGCAAAGACTTGGAACCAACCCAAATGCCCATCAATGATAGACTGGATGAAGAAAATGTGGCACATATACACCATGGAATACTATGCAGCCATAAAAAGGATGAGTTCATGTCCTTTGCAGGGACATGGATGAAGCTGGAAACCATCATTCTCAGCAAACTAACACCAGAACAGAAAAACAAACCCCACATGTTCTCACTCATAAGTGGGAGTTGGACAATGTGAACACATGGACACAGGGAGGGGAACATCACACACAGGGGCCTGTCGAGGGCTGGGGGGCTTGGGGAGGGATAGCATTAGGAGAAATACCTAATGTAGATGACGGTTTGATGGGTGCAGCAAACCACCATGGCACGTGTATGCCTATGTAACAAACCTGCGTGTTCTGCACATGTACCCCAGAACTTAAAAGTATAATAAAATAAATAAATAAATGCAATGTGCTATAAAATAATAGATACATAGTCATTGTTTAATTTTTGTTGTTTTATTGAAATACAAATGATTTATTTTTATCTGTATATCATCACAGTTATAGAGTTCATAAGAGTAAAGAGGTTTATCCAAATAGTTATATAGTTATGGTAGAATGTGAATGAATGTATTGGCAAATGTCTTTATCTGTCTCCTCCAGAAGAGGACTTTGCTATTAGATTACTGATTTTCTTTTCTCCACAATTGCTTCTCAGCTTGAAGGAGTTGATCAAGTTATTATGTTTGCATTTTTATAGAATCCAGGGCTTTTTATTTCCTGGCTAGCATGAGGACCCAGTGAGCCCTGCTAGACAACCTACTAGGTGGGGAGATAAAAATCAGACAAGTAGACAATTTAGCTAATAGACTGAGTGATCCAAATGAGGCTGCATAAATGAATCTGGACAAAGTTAAATTAAGTGAATGTTTAAACTTAACAGAGACCGTTTTATCTGGAAAAGCGTGAAATACTTTCAGTTAGTAAGTTCAGTTGTATATAAGAAGGATGTGAGAATTTTTAGACTATAAGAACTACATTTTTCCATGTATCTAAGTGCATTTTCAGCCTCCTATATAGTAGTACTTTAAGGGTGGTAAGATTTAATGCCACAATTTCTATATTCCATTTTCATGCAATTTTATTTATTTGCACAACTCTTCACCTTCGTCCTCATCCCACTTTCTCAGTTCTAACAATTAAACAAAGAATTGGAAAAGTACAGTTTTTCTTTGTAAAAATATAACATGTATAAACTAGACTTGGAATCACCAATTTGTAGATGTATTTGTCAAGGTCCCAAAAGGAAACAGACGGCACCCTCAAATAGATGCTTCCGAAGAGTTTAATGAAAGTACTATTTACGTAGCTGTTGAAAGTATTCAGAGAAAACAAAAAGGGATGCTCACTTACTCAGAGACCAACAATGGCCATTACCATCGTTAGATCTGACTATGCAACGAGAAGACACAGTTCTTGAAATTACAAAAAGGGCTTTAGCATAGGCAAGGGTCGACAAGGCAGGATGGCTTTTAAAAGACTGTGACTACTGCCAAGCCATAGCCCTGACTGGGAGGAAGCCAAAGGAATGAATTCCCCTAACTCATTGTCCCTCTGTCCTCCCCATCTCCTGCTGATGCCTCCTATTGGCCAAGGTGAACCAGAATCTAAAAGTAAGGAAGCTGAGGTGAACCAGAACCTAGAAGTAAAGAAGCTGACTGATGCTTTCCCATGCGGTCAGCCTACTTAAGCACAAATCAAGATAAAGACTGGCAGAGAACAGATTTATAAATGCAAAATGGAGAATAGACAGCACAGAAGGAAATGAGAAGAAAGCTTCTTTTAAAGCTCAATCCCCTTTTCTCAGAATCAATGTGTTGTAAATTTTTAAAATATATGTTCTAGTATCAAACAGACATGGTTTTGAAACCCAATTCCTCCCTTTCATAGCTATGAGACCTTGCGAAAGTCACTTCAATGTTGATTAATCATCATTAAAGTATACAATAATACCTATATAACAGGAGGCCAAATTGGCACTCTTGCTCTGTTTTACTTAAAGCCTCAAAACCTAAAAATAAAACAATATAAAATAATGTTTTGGGAGCTTGAAGGAATGAAATTAAAAGATTTTATTTAACTAATACAACTGTTATCTGGCACTGATACTGCCTGGGTCTGGGAGATGTTCAAAGCCGACTTTTTCTTTTATGAGGCATATTTGTGAGATTCAGAGATTCCTTCTAAATACTGGTGTTCTCTTCCTTCACCCCTTCCATGCTAAATGAAACAAAATAAAACAATAAACCAAAAACCCTACAAAAACCCATTGGAACGCTCGAGCTGGATGCAACACTTTGTACCTACTCAGAATGTCTACACAGCTGCTAAAGAGCACATGTAGCACCAGAAATTGATGAAAAGTAAATGAAGAAATAAGATTTGATGAGCAAGAAGTAAAAAAAAAAAAAAGAATAAAACAAACAAAAAACAGCAAATCTAAAAACAAATTAAAAGCCATTCTACTTCGTTACCTTTCTGAGCTCATTACAACTATCTCCAACTGTTATTCCATCTCCGTTCTACTTTACTTTCTACATACTTGGTAATTCTTCAGGCTTGAAACTACTAGTATGATGACAAACCATCTCCTTAACATAAACATAAAAACATAAAAGGGTAATAAATCTTCAGTGACTGACATACTTGCACAGAAAGATTGAACTTCAGTGGTTGTTAAATGTCTCCTGAGCTAATTACTTAAACTCAAAGGGTTCAAGACTCTTGAGTGACATCTTTTAGCATTAGAGATGTGAAAGAACCCATCAGTGCTCCACTTAATTGCTCTACTTTTCTGAGGCTTCAATGAATTATATTTTTTACAAATTTAGGATATGTTCACAACCAGAATCCTTGAATAATTACTATCCCTATATTTTCACAGGTTATCTGCTTGTTAACAAACCTGGATATTTCATTACATGCAAGACAGAATTGTGTAACATGATAGTCCCAAGAATAGTAATGCAAATACCTCCATTTTACTCCCAACAATTGCATTTCATTTTATTTTTCTGATACAGATAAAAAAATTATCACTGATTATCACTTAGTATTCTCTGTCTTGTCACTAAGCTTTCTAGAAAATTGGAGTTGTTCCACTTTGCAACTCTACCTCTGCTTCAGCCTCTGGCATTCTGCATATCCCTCAGCACAGGGTAATTAAGTAGTAATGACATCTCATGGGGCACAGCAGCATAATTACTGGAGATATTTGTTAAGAAGGTATTTGACAAAAGGAAGCTTTCAACTGCTGAGATTTGTAGAATTTCAGTGATAATATAGATTAAACATCTGAGTTAAACTTTTATCACTAGATTTGAAACCCTTGTCAAAAATTCTCTTAATCAAAAGGTCAGTGAAATATGAGCTAACTTAGCAAGGAAATGAATTACTCTACTTTAATTCTTTGTTGTAATCAACTAGAAAGTAAAATTTTATAACATTGTAATCAACTAGAATGTGAAATAAAGTGAAAAGAAAATGAAGAAAAAAATTCAAATAGTCTGAACTAGAAGTACAGCCCTAGACTTAGCTCCTAATGCATTAGCAGCCCAAGTGTCTGTTATTGATGATATGGGTACACACTATGTGTCCCTAGATTAATATCAAGTGAATTTAAAAGATGAACACAACATATATAAATCATGTCACACAAAGTCTCTTCAGATTACTTGATTTCAAGAAAAAGAGTTATCCTGCAGATTCTATTTTACAAAGATGGTCAAAACAATACCTCCTATCACCCAAGCCCTTCTGGTTTCTTCTTCTTTTAGAAGATAGGGTCTCACTATGTTGCCCAGGCTACACTCAAATTTCTGGGCTCAAGTGATCCTCCTGCTTTAGCCTCCCGACTAGCTGGGACTACAGGAGCTCACTACTGCAACTTCAAGCCCTTCTGAATTGTGACCTTGCCATCCCCCAATCAGGATATAAAATCTAATTTTCTCCCCTTCAGCTTGGGCTGCCTCAGTGACTTGGATGAACAATAGATTGAAGTGGAAGTAATGTTCTGGATTTTTAAGACATCTTTCCTTATGACACTATATCAGATCTCGACTCTCTTGAGGTAAATAGCACAAGCCACATGGACTTATTAGGTATGTCAATGGACAGCTGTAGCTTAACTCCAACCTGACAGCATCATTTGCCTGCCTTGTGAATGCACCATTATGGACATCCAACCTTTGGAAACCATCACATGACTGTGGCCAAAACATTATCTCACTAAAACTACATGAGAAACCGCAAACAAGAGTCACACAGTGACCCTAGTCAACACAAAGAACCATGGGATATAATAAAGTATTGTTTCAGGCTATTAAATTTCGGGGTGGATTTTTATGTAGCAATAGTCGAGCAGTAACCAAAATATATGGTCAGGGAATTGATCATGTTTTCTCTTATTTTCTCTATTCATTAAATCCCATTTGCCCTATGGTGATGTTGCTTTTTTGTTTTGTTTTGTTTTAAGACAGAGTCTTGCTCTGTCACCCAGGCTGGAGTGCAATGGTGTGATCACTGCAAAGCCCCCACCTTCCGGATTCAAGCGATTCTCATGCCCCAGCCTCCCCAGTAGCTGGGATTACAGATGCACACCATCATGCCTGGCTAATTTTTCTATTTTTAGTAGAGATGGGGGTTCACCATGTTGGCCAGGCTAGTCTCGAACTCCTGACCTCAGGTGATCTGCCCACCTCAGCCTCTCAGAGTGCTGGAATTACAGGCATAAGCCACTGCACTGGCTGCCTTCATCTTAACAGCACCTAAATAACTTATTTTCAATATTCTAGTTGTCATTCCTATATTCTGAAGACATTAATTTTTGCTGATCTTTCTAATACAGATTCATCTCTCAGATACTATTTATTCTTTTATTTCACATCATAGTATTTTAAACAACAAATGTGAAAGAATATATTTTCAGACAGCTCTTTTGGAGTGAGATGGGATTTGGAAGGCCATCATTTATATTACTATTTTAAAAATTATGATGTTCTTTGCAATCGTCTCTATTTCATGAATTCTTTTTGAGCCTATGCTAATGGTAGAACTATTTCCTAGATATCACCTCTGGAAAATGTAGTACTACATGGGAGCTCAACTCTAAGGACATCATTTTTTGGCATTTTAAATACAAATAATAACCTAACATTTTCAAAGGCAATTATCTACCATTTGATGGATGTGTCCATTGTTTCCATTCAGATAACAGTGAAAATTTTTTTACTTCACTTATTAGAGTAACAACATTATTATTTCTGAGTGTTGATTTACACACACACATACATGCACATACAAGTTTTAATAAATATTGTACAGTTTATACTCTTTTCAGGAGTCTATGATAAAAGGAATAAGTGATTATTTTCTCATTAATTCCAACAATGGATATTGAACTTTACTTTTTTGAAAAATAAAAATAGCACTTCATTTATAGTTTCATCTATATTTTTTGTATTTCTGTGATTAATAGTAAGATTGAATAATTATTTTTAGTGTCTTTTAGCTATTTCCGTACATGTTGTGTTTGCGGAATTTCTTTTTTTTTAATTATTATTATTATACTTTAAGTTTTAGGGTACATGTGCACATTGTGCAGGTTAGTTACATATGTATACATGTGCCATGCTGGTGTGCTGCACCCATTAACTCGTCATTTAGCATTAGGTATATCTCCTAATGCTATCCCTCCCCCCTCCCCCCACCCCACAACAGTCCCCAGAGTGTGATGTTACCCTTCCTGTGTCCATGTGTTCTCATTGTTCAATTCCCATCTATGAGTGAGAACATGCAGTGTTTGGTTTTTTGTCCTTGCGATAGTTTACTGAGAATGATGATTTCCAATTTCATCCATGTCCCTACAAAGGACATGAACTCATCATTTTTTATGGCTGCATAGTATTCCATTGTGTATATGTGCCACATTTTCTTAATCCAGTCTATCATTGTTGGACATTTGGGTTGGTTCCAAGTCTTTGCTATTGTGAATAGTGCCGCAATAAACATACATGTGCATGTATCTTTATAGCAGCATGATTTATAGTCCTTTGGGTATATACCCAGTAATGGAATGGCTGGTTCAAATGGTATTTCTAGTTCTAGATCCCTGAGGAATCGCCACACTGACTTCCACAATGGTTGAACTAGTTTACAGTCCCACTAACAGTGTAAAAGTGTTCCTATTTCTCCACATCCTCTCCAGCACCTGTTGTTTCCTGACTTTTTAATGATTGCCATTCTAACTGGTGTGAGATGGTATTTCATTGTGGTTTTGATTTGCATTTCTCTGATGACAAGTGATGATGAGCATTTTTTCATGTGTCTTTTGGCTGCATAAAAGTCTTCTTTTGAGAAGTGTCTGTTCAAATCCTTTGCCCACTTTTTGATGGGGTTGTTTGTTTTTTTCCTGTAAATTTGTTTGAGTTCATTGTAGATTCTGGATATTAGCCCTTTGTCAGATGAGTAGGTTGCGAAAATTTTCTCCCATTTTGTAGGTTGCCTGTTCACTCTAATGGTAGTTTCTTCTGCTGTGCAGAAGCTCTTCAGTTTAATTAGATCCCATTTGTCAATTTTGGCTTTTGTTGCCATTGCTTTTGGTGTTTTAGACATGAAGTCCTTGCCCATGCCTATGTCCTGAATGGTAATGCCTAGGTTTTCTTCTAGGGTTTTTATGGTTTTAGGTCTAACGTTTAAGTCTTTAATCCATCTTGAATTAATTTTTGTATAAGGTGTAAGGAAGGGATCCAGTTTCAGCTTTCTACATAGGGCTAGCCAGTTTTCCCAGCACCATTTATTAAATAGGGAATCCTTTCCCCATTGCTTGTTTTTCTCAGGTTTGTCAAAAATCAGATAGTTGTAGATACGCGGCGTTATTTCAGAGGGCTCTGTTCTGTTCCATTGATCTATATCTCTGTTTTGGTATCAGTACCATGCTGTTTTGGTTACTGCAGGCTTGTAGTATAGTTTGAAGTCAGGTAGCGTGATGCCTCCGGCTTTGTTCTTTAGGGTTAGGATTGACTTGGTGATGCAGGCTCTTTTTTGGTTCCATATGAACTTTAAAGTAGTTTTTTCCAATTCTGTGAGGAATTTCTTATTAAATATTAACACTGGTTTTAAGAGTAGCTTCCAACTTTTGGCGTTTATATTTGTATACATATTTCAAAACTTGATAATTTAGATAAGCACAAAAAATTATAATATTTTTGCCCAAGAATAATATAATACTATTATAAGTGATGGCTTTTGATGTGCCAAATTTGTCAGGCTAAATGACAGTCCTCAGAATTCCCTTTGTTTTACTATGCTTCCATTTAGAGTGGGGTACAGAGGATAGTCTCTTTGAAGAGAGTTGGAAGATGAAAGAGAGCAGATGATATTTTGTAACATGCATACATCATTTCTCATGCCCAAAGGGGTCATACAGAAGAGAAAAAATCATGCATGGGCTCCACAACAGGGACTTGCTCTCACCTAGGCCAACCTGACCACAGCCACTGCTGAGTGCCAAACCTTCCAGCAGCAGAGTCCACCACTGAACCCCTGATATGGCACCATTTCTCAAGGTGATCAGCCTGGTAAGTTGATTACATTGATCGTCTTCCATGATAGAAGGAAGAGCACTTTGTTCTTAACTGAAATAAACATTTACTCCAGATATAGATTTGCTTTCCATGCCTGGAATGCTTCTTTGAAAACTACCACCTATGAATTTATAGAATGGTTTACCCACTGCCATGTTATTTTGCTTCTCTGGTTATACTCTGACTGAACCACTATATACATTTTCATTTCCTCTTTATATTCATTTGCAAAGCTACTATTTCCTATATGTTTAATTTCATGATACTTAAAGTAGAAGTCTCAATTCTTAAATTATCTAAATCTAATTAAGTTGGTATCTCCAACATTGTTCCACCAAGATTGACTGAGTCAAGTGTCAGTTTCTTGTGGTTCTTCTCCTGCATTGACTCATCCAAGGACTGAATATAAGAAGTCCAAAAAGAACATCCCCCATTCTCAGATTTCATGCAGGAAAGTTCTTTCTGTGAAATTGTGTGATTTTTTTCCTCTCTGATTACTGCTGCTACATAGTGCTGCCCTTAGACACCCTGCAATGGGTTGAATTGTGCTCCTTACCACACCCAGAACCTCAGAGTGTGACCTTATTAAATGAAAGGTTTGTTGCACATATAATTAGTTAAGATGAGGTCATACTAGAGTAGGATAGCTTCTTAATCCAATATGACTGATGTCCTTATTAAAATTTATACACAGTCAAGCAGGCAGAGAGAACACGATATATAGATGGAGGCAGAGAGCAAGGTCATGCTTCTATAAGCCAATGAACTCCAAAGATTGCTGGAAAATCACACACAGGACAGACAAATAATCCAGACTTTACCCTCACAGTCTTCGGAAGGAACCAAACCTGTTGATACTTTGATCTTGGATTTCCATCCTCCAGAATTGTGAGACAAAAAATTTCTGTTGTTTCAGCCACCTAGTTTGTGGGATTTTGTTTCAACAGCGCTAGAAAACTGATACACACCTAAATAAAGAAGACTTGACCTGTACCTTTAGGGGCTCATGAAAGAATCTACGGGCACTAACGCTATTCAATATTTGGCATTTAGAGCTATTAGAACATGACCTGCATCTCTAAATACACATTATTATGATTAACAGAGCTCAGATCTGAGCAAAACAGATCTCCATATCTCTTGCATAGATCTTTGAAAGAAAGAGTAACTGGGTCCAAATATTATGAAACCTTGTGGGTTGGGGATAAACGTTGCTTCCATAGGCAAACACTATTGAGAAGTAGAATTACTTACATAAGGAAAATAGAAACTGAAGACCTATCAAACCCTTTTTCTCAGATAGTATGAATGTAATAATTTCAAACGTGTTTATTTTTGCTTTCCTTCATGCTTTAATTTGTGGTTCTAGAGGTACTTATTTAAGAAAATGGATTAAAACAATTACAAATACAAAATTAGCTATGAAAAGTAATATTTTCTAGGCATGGGAAATTATAGAAAATTACATATCACAAGATACAAAAATAAAAATATATTTTACCACTTAGCTGCCTAACACACATCTACAATGCTTTCATTCTATTCCCTTTGGCTGTTAACTTTTTAATCAACTACATCTAACAATGTTGTAAATATTATAGAAAAAAATTAAAGTAGTATTAAAGTAATATTTTTTCTGGCAGAGTTACACTTTTTAAAAACTATTGAGATATAGAATAATTTATTTCAGCTTTACAATATGTAACTGGGATGACATTTGATGTTAAGATTGTTGTAGAATTTAGGGAAATCTGTATCACTTTCTTTCGTATATCAGATATGAGGTCCTAGGATATTTAACATTTTCTTGTGTAATAACTAGTTCTAAATACATTTTCAATAAATAATGTTTATTAACCCAATTTTAATCTCAATATCCTATTTAAGGGCCCTATTATTAAGTTTAATATTATAAAAAATCTGCCTCTTATTGAATGTTTATTAATAATAAAATTATTGCTCCTCTTAACAAGACATTATGAAAGTTTTGAGAACTAAAAGAAATCAAATAACTCATTAGAACAATGCTGCTCTCATCTGTACAAATGGTGTATTTCTTTATTATTTATTTTCCATCATTTATTTTCTCTTCCATCAATAGTCCATCAAACCAGAGCCATTTTTGTGGTCCTGGTTGGGAATGTTCACATTTTTAAAAATCTTCTTTATTTCTCCTATTGTCATTTTATTATTTATATTTACTTAGCAATTGTAACTCTTCCTTATCTTCAATACTTCTACCATCAGAATTTTTGTTTATCTTTCTCTTGTGCTATAATAAAAGAGTTTTGGATATATTGTTTTTCTGTCAATTTTCTTTCTACGACACTTCTTTTTATAAATATAGACATGTTGTTATAATAAAAAATTCTAGAACATATAAAGTTTTTTAGCTGTTTTATTGTAAACTTGGATATATTGAAAACTAAATTTCTTATAATCTCTTTCTCTGTATGGTTCAGGGTTTTACATGGCCACAAGTGAAGTTGGGCAAAATTTGGGAGGCAGAAATGAAGCATCAGCCACCATACTGAAGTTGTCACTGTTTAGTTACTGAAAGAAACAGACAGAATATAGACACGTTTTGATTTGTCTTTACTCTTCCCTGATCCAAACCCAGCTGTCCTTAAGACCACGGGTCCTGTCGACCATGTTGACCATAGAACACCTTTGCACTCCACACTACCTCTGCCCCTATATCTTTTTTTTCCATAAAGTTACATAAGTCAACATACTAGGCAATGCTCTTAATGCTTAACAATGCCCCTGAATACTATAATATACTTGTCTCTAGTTGATTTTGGCCTCATGTTTTTAATACCTAGCACTTTATTGCATTTAGTGAATCTTTTTGTTTTGTTTTGTTTTGTTTTAGAACTCCTATACCTACTGTGAGGGAGAATCAAGCTTCTTAATGATTCCTATATTTGTGGAATGAAATTTACCTAGTCCACGCTTCACCAAGTGAGCCGTCCTTTAAAGACCTAGACCTCATGTCGAGTCTCAGTTTTTAATCCTTATAATCTGTGGATGCCTGGCTTCCTTTTCTATCTCTGGGTTAATATTCCCATTTGCTAAGACTCTGATCACCAAGACCAACCACAGCTATCGCCACCTTTGTGGCAGAAGATTCTGTGTCACTTTCAAATTGGCTGCTATGTTTATGACTTCCTTCTAGTTTCTGACATCTGGTGATTTTCCTTTTTTCTAATGAGGCCAGTAGTGGACTGAAAATAATTTAAAACAGTTATTTTCTTTAGCCAATATTTCTAAGAAGCTGTACTGAGGAATTTCCAGGGTACATAGGCTGCCATATTTTCAGAACTGGAAGTCAATGAGTCCCAATTTAAACATGTCCACAATATCTGTTATTTGGCAAGATTAATATGCATTGTGCTAGATGTTATACCAGGATGGCCACAGGGAAATTAATACTTCCTAAAGTACTGTGTACAAAATAGATCTTCAATAAATGCACATTGAAAAATCTTTGCTAAAGATCAATGAGAACAGTAAATTAAATGCTAGAGGCCAGGGTTAAGTACATTTTGGTGCCTTTAAGTAAGCTCAAATTATTAACTGAGTGTATACTGGGAACAGTTGCCTTGGGAATTCCACATTTAGAAGATGAAAATCATGACAATTTTGGTGTGATGCCCAAAATCAGCCAATTGGATTTTTATACTGTAAGTTATTTATTTCAAGCAACAAAGACTGCCAAGTTTTATATCAATCAGGTTGACTACAAAGCATGATTCCCCACTATACATTAGGGAAGTTACAAGAAAGGGACTCTGAAAAATCAGTACAGAAGAGATCCACTGAACAAACACTGTCACTCAGAATCACGCCCCCACCTCCACCACCTAAAAATAGAGACTCTCCAGAACTGCTCTTCTAGCTTTTTGAAACAAAGAAGTAACTTGGTTTAAATCTCCCAAGGATATTTTGCAAAGAGGCAAACCAATTTGGTCAAATTCAGTCAATACTATACAAATATTCCTGATTGGAATTTTATAAAATTGTTATTCTTTGCATAGAGATGGGAACATATGTCTTCTTTTGAGGCAGTAAATTATAAGTGGTCTTCAAGCAGATTTTAATGTATCCAGTTTTGATTTCATTACATTGATTTTCCCCTTGTGCCTTGAAAAATATTTATAGAATGTTTTGCTTCAATTTCCTTATCCATGAATGTAATATTAAATGTATATTTTCATTACATAATAAGATGAAGAATAAATACAACAAAATCAACAAAACAATTTTATAAAATATAAAAGTGCCATATATTACTAATGTACTACATCCATGCCTCTCAAAACTCAGACCAACAATCTACTTAAAAATGGGAAAAATAGATTCACCACCAAATTTTACCAGAGGTAAAAAGAGGAGCTGGTACCATTCCTTCTGAAACTATTTCAAACAATAGAAAAAGAGGGACTCCTCACTAGCTCATTTTATGAGGCCAGCATTATCCTGATACCAAAACTTGGCAGAGACAGAACAAAAAAAGAAAATTTCAGGCCAATATCCCTGATGAACATCAATGCGAAAATCCTCAATAAAATACGGGCAAACCAAATCCAGCAGCACATCAGAAAGCTTATCTTCCACAATCAAGTCAGCTTCATACCTGGCATGCAAGGCTGGTTCAACATACAAAAATCAATAAATGTAATCCATTATAAAAACAGAACCAATGATAAAAATCACATGATTATCTCACTAGATGCAGAAAAGGCCTTGAATAAAATTAACATCCCTTCATGTTAAAAACTCTCAATAAACTAAGCATTGATGGAACATATCTCAAAATAATAAGAGCTATTTATGACAAGCTCATAACCAATATCATACTGAATGGGCAAAAGCTGGAAGCATTCCCTTTGAAAACCGGCACGAGACAAGGATGCCCTCTCTCACCACTCCTATTCAACATCGTATTGGAAGTTCTGGCCAGGGCAATCAGGCAAAAGGAAGAAATAAAGGGTATTCAAATAAGAAGAGAGGAAGTCAAATTGTCTCTGTTTGCAGACAACATAATTGTATATATAGAAAACCCCATCATCTCAGCCTCAAAGCTCCTTAAGCTGAAAAGCAACTTCAGCAAAGTCTCAGAATACAAAATCAATGTTCAAAAGTCACAAGCATTCCTATACACCAATAATGGACAAGCAGAGAGCCAAATCATGTGTGAACTCCGATTCACAATTGCTACAAAGAGAATAAAGTACCTAGGAATAAACTTACAAGGGATGTGAAGGACCTCTTCAAGAACTACAAACCACTGCTCAAGGAAATAAGAGAGGACACAAACAAATGGGAAAAACATTCCATGCTCATGGATAGGAAGAATAAATATCATAAAAATGGCTGTACTGCCCAAAGTATTTTATAGATTCATTGCTATTCCCATTAAGCTACCATTGGCTTTCTTCACAGAATTAGAAAAACCTACTTTAAATTTCCTATGGAACCAAAAAAGAGCCCATATAGGCAAGACAATCCTAAGCAAAAAGAAAAAGGCTGGAGGCATCCTGGTACCTGACTTCAAACTATACTACAAGGCTGCAGTAACCAAAGCAGCATGCTACTGGTACCAAAACAGGTATATAGACCAATGGAACAGAACAGAGGCCTCAGAAATAGCACCACACATCTACAACCAACTGATCTTCGACAAACCTGACAAAAACAAGCAATGGGAAAAGGATTCCCTATTTAATAAATGGTGTTGGGAAAACTGGCAAGCCATATGCAGAAACTGAAACTGGACCCCTTCCATACACCTTATACAAAAATTAACTCAAGATAAATCAAAGACTTAATTGTAAAACCCAAAACCATAAAAACCCTAGAATTAAGTCTAGGCAATACCATTCAGGACATAAACAAGGGCAAAGACTTCATGACTAAAACACCAAAAGCAATGGCAACAAAGCCAAAATTAACAAATGGGATCTAATTAAACTAATTAGATCTACTAAAAGATCTTCTGCACAGCAAAAGAAACTACCATCAGAGTGAACAGGCAACCTACAGAATGGGAGAAAATTTTTGCAGTCTACCCTTTTGACAAAGGTCTAATATCCAGAATCTACAAGGAATTTAAACAAATTGACAAGAAAAAAACAAAGAACCCCATCAAAAAGTGGGCAAAGGATATGAACAGACACTTCTCAAAAGAAGACATTTATGTGCAGCCAACAAACATATGAAAAAGCTCATCATTATTGATCATTAGAAAAATGCAAATCAAAACCACAATGACATACCATCTCACACCAGTTAGAATGGCGATCATTAAAAAGTCAGTAAACAACAGATGCTGACAAGGCTGTGGAGAAATAGGAACACTCTTACATTATTGGTAGGAGTGTAAATTAGTTCAAACATTGTGGAAGACACTGTGGTGATTCCTCAAGGATCTAGAATGAGAAATACCATTTGACCCAGTAATCCCATTACTGGGTATATACCCAAAGGATTATAAATCATTTTACTATAAAGACATATGCACACATATGTTTATTGCAGCACTATTTACAATGGTGAAGATTTGGATCCAACCCAAATGTCCATCAATGATAGACTGGATAAAGAAAATGTGGCACATATACACCATGGAATACAATGCAGCCATAAAAGAATGAGATCATGTCCTTTGCAGGGAGATGGATGAAGCTGGCAGCCATCATTCTCAGCAAACTAACACAGTAACAAAAAACCAAACACTGCATGTTCTCACTCATAAGTGGGAGTTGGGCAATGAGAACACATGGACACAGGGAGGGGATCATCACACATCAGGGTCTGTTGAGGGGTGGGAGGCCAGGGGAGAGAGAGCATTAGGAAAAATATCTAATGCATGTAGGGCTTAAAACCTAGATGATGGGTTGATAGGTGCAGCAAACCACCATGGCACATGTATACCTGTGTAACAAACCTGTACATTCTACACATGTATCCTAGAACTTAAAGTAAAATTTTAAAAATGGGCAAAATACATGAATAAACATTTCAAAACACACACACAGGCACACATGCACACACATACACACTCAGATATAACTATATGAAAAGTTACTAAAATTTATCAGAATCATGACAATTCAAATGAAAACATAAGTGAGATACCATTTCTTACCCATTAGACTGATTAAAACCAAAAAAATTGGTAACCCCAAATGTTGGAGAGGAGCAGTGGAAACCGTCATAAATCATTGGTGAGTGTATAAAATAGTACAATCACTTTGGAAAACTGTTTGTAGTTTCTTATGAAGTTCAGCGCAAATATATCATGTCACCAAGCAATTCTATTCCTAAATAATTTCCCAAAATAAATGAAAATGTATATCTACCAAAAGATTTTTATGGAAATGTTTTAGCAGTTTTATTCATAATAAAAGAATGGGAACAGATCTAATGTCCATCAACAGTGAACAAACAAAGAAATTTTGGTATATTCATACAAGGGAATGGTACCCAGTAAGAAAAATGGATGAATGAATTACTTGTATACCCAACAGCATGCCTGAATCTTATTTAACTGAGTGACAGAAGCTGTATATAAGACAGTACATACCTTTTATTCCATTTATATGAAATTCTAGAGCAGGTAAAATTGTCATTAGATGATAGAAGATGTAAAGGGGCTGCTCCAGGTGTGGAATATTGCATGGAAAGTGGTATGGTGTGAGTATATTTTCTGGGGTGATGGAAATACTTTGAATCTTCTTTCAGTGATAATTACATGGGTGTACATGACTGTCCAAACTGAAACACAGAAGACAGAAGAAATGTGCATATCATTGTATGTAGAGTATACTATCATTTTAAAAATGAATTGCTTGAGAAGTTCAGAGTTCCACACCACTGAAAGTCTTCAAGCAAAGACAAAGAGCCCCACACACTAAGCAAATGGACTAGATTAATTTTAAACATGCTGTCTTTGAAACCTAAACATAGGCATCCAGGTCCAGCAAGCTGTTAAAAATCAAGGACAAGAGGTTAGGAAATGCAATCCCTACTATCAATATAATGCTGTTCCTGGAAATGATTTTCTGATTTAAAAAGGAGGACAATCAACTCGATAGTAGGGAGGAGAGGTGAAGTTCAAAACAGAGAGAGGATTAGCCTAAGCTCGTACACTAGGCTAACGCATTTCACCAACTTTATAGTGGTTATGTTCTGTCCTGGGTGAATATCCACATTTAGAGGGCTAACAGGATTTTCTACAACGGTAATGATTAAGCAATGAAAATGCAGTCACATTAAAACATCAGTCTTGTTAAATAATGACCAAGAGCTTGATTCTCAACTAAATGGAAAAAAAATGAACAAACAAACAAACCAGAAGGAAAAAAATGGGAGCTAAAGGACCTAAAGGTAATTTTTTTCAAAGGTTTGATAGAAGTTATGAAGTTTAAGAGTATGCAATAGGAAAGATTCAGAGAAAGAGCAAGCAATATCTTAAAAGAGAGATAATAAGCAGTTGAGATTCAACCCCACCCCATTCCCCTTGACACAAAATAATATAATCTGTGTTCAGACAGATACTTTTAAAATCAAAAGCATTGACACAAGAATAGGTTGTAATCTACATTAGTTATGTGGGGTTAATGATTCCTGCGCTTGAAGATGTTTCCTACATCCTTCCCTTCCCCTAAATGTCTTCTTTTTTTCTTTTAAATAATCTCTTGACTTTTCCTATTTTTCCACATATTCTTTCCTATCTCTAAGTGAAAGAGGCAAAATAAAATGCTTTTATTGTTAGATTCATGTGAGAATCCCATTTGAACTAACGTTCATCAAAATAATGTGTCTAGAAACTCACATTCATGAAAAAAGTGGTCAGATCGAACAAAATGGTTTGTTGGGATACAGCTTGAATTGGAAGGAAATGCAAATTAGTGTTTCTTTTTACAGGTTAGTAAAAGCAAACTTCACACTGTAGTATTTGTTTTTTTTTTATTCTATCCAAATCTGTTCACTTATTTCCAAAGAAATTTTCAATGATAGAGCAATAGTTAGGTTGTTATGTGAAATGCACAGTCTAATATAAGCATGAGAAAAATGATAGGCAAAATTTATTGAAAAGTAATAGAACCTTTGTGATTTCATTTTACGTTAACATAATTTAACTGTAATGTTTCAGACACAGGATTTTAAAAGCAATTAAATAAACATAAGACTTACTTAAGAAAGAAAAAGAAAAAAAGAAGGTGTTCTCAAGGAATTATTTTGTGCTTTTTGCAAATCAGCCAAGAGGGGAAAATGGATGAATTATAAACACTGAAGCTGAGCAGTATGCCAAAAAAATATGCTGATTAAAGTTTTACTGCTGTGGTTCAAATAATGCTGATAGAATGCATTATTACCACAATTATTGTTACTGCATAGTCAGATATATCACTAAATAATACTGAATAATGGCATTCTAGTTACTTCAGAGTTGCATCTGAAAATAAACTGTAGAATTGTAAAATAGATAAACAGAGGTATTTAAAGCAAACTGTTTTATGCAAACTATTCAAATTAGTGTTGTATTCTCAGGAAAAAAACAAGACTGAAAACATTTCAGAGCCTCAAAATCATTGTCTTACTTGCAGGTGCATTTGGCAACAGCACTATTTGACTGAGTTTTGGATGCGTAAGTGAGGACTAAGTGCTGTGCTCATATGAAACAACAAAAACTGAGCCTTTCTGAAGGCAGAAGATGAATTCTAAGGACACAAAGTGCGCAGAAACCAAAGATGAGGCAGAGAAAATGTTCAAAATTAGTCATTGTCATGGTTAATCTACTTCCTGATTTGCAAAGTAACTGAGAGCTGCTGGAGCCTGTATTTTCTGGTGTTAAAATAGCACCACAAATACTCATTTCACCAAGGTCAGGGCAATTTGCTAGTAAGCATGGATTACAATGGACAAAATCGCCTCCCAGTTCTACATGGCTATAAATTGGTGAACTATTGCTTTGAGAATAAAACAGTCTAAAATTCCCAGCTTTCTGTAAGATAGAAAGTTGAGAATTCTGTTTTAGTTGGAGTCGTGCTAACCAGCTATTCTACAAACAAGTCCTAGTGGCTTAGTACAATGTAAGTTTATTTTTCACTCATATCACAGTCCAATGTTGCTTAGTGGCACTTCAACAAGGGTGCCATACTGGGGACCTTTGATTCGAATCACAAGAATAGGAAAGAGAGGATAGCCCATGGATTTCATAGGCCTAGAAGTGGTATACTCATTTGTTCTGTATCACCTCCCTTTGCCAGAGAATAGTCTATGGGTCCAAGCTACCTGGAAGGGAGGCTGGTAAATACAGTCTTCCTGTGTTTCCAGAACAAAAATGAAAATGGCTTGCTGAGCACACAGCATTGTTTCTGGTGCTTATTTTTTCAGTAAAGCTAAACATATCTGATATGGTTTGCCTCTGTGTCCCCACCCAAATCTCATGTTGAATTGTGATCCAGAGTGGGGCCTGGTGGGAGGTGATTGGATCATGGGGGTGGCTTCTAATGGTTTAGCACCATCCCCCTAGTGCTGCCTCATGATAGAGTTCTCACAAGACCTGTGTGTTTAAAAATGTGTACACCTCCCCCTTCACTCTCTTCCTCCTGCTCCTGTCAAGTAGGGTGTGCTGGCTTCCCCTTCTGCCATGATTGTAAGTTTCCTGAGGCCTCCCCAGCCATGCTTCCTGTACAGCCTGCAGAACCGTGAGCCAATTAAATCTCTTTTCTTTATAAATTGCCCAGTCTCAGGCAGTTATTTATAGTAATGTGAGAACAGACTAATACAATATCTTTTTCAAAGTCTTAACACTTTTAAATGCTATGTAAGATATTTGAGGAATTTATGAACTTAGATGTTGATATTAATAGCAGGCATATGTTGAGACTCTAAATTCTCATTGCATAGCCACCACCACTCCAAATCATGGTAGGCATAGAAGGCAGAAATTAGTGCTAAAACCCGAATATTTATGATGGGGTTAGAAGTGGTGGTGAAGGTGAATCAGCACTTACATTGAAATAGTTGATATCAATTCTAAAAATAATTGCTAATTTTTTTCCTTGTTATGCCATTTACTTTAGATTAATCATTGTTAGATTGATTAAAACAGTCTCTGCCAGGGGAAAAAAACCTGGAAAACTGACAACTTATTCTGAACATCTAGTGAATGTGTACATATTCCACCATTTTTTTCTCTCTTTCCCTTTAATTTTGTTGTTCTTATTTTTATTTTTGCCTCAACCTGACTATTCTTTCATAACTGTCTTATATGATGAAATATGTAACCCCCTAACACTCTCATTGGATTTATTCATATATTCTGAGCTTCTTTTCTTGATATTGTTTTCAAGCCCCAGGGGTACCCTACCAATGATGTCTAGTGAAACTGGCTTTTCAGAATCTCTTTAACATTATATGATGGGGTATGGATAATTCACTAATAACTTGGAAGAATTATTTCCCTTTGCCTCTTAAACTTGGTAAAATGGAATGTCAGCAATCATTTGATACTTCAACCAAATACCAGACTATTTGATGTTTATAAGATTTATATCAAAGACTCAAAGCATTGGAAATTAATCTTGACTCAAATCAGAAATTAAATCTCTTTTATGTGATCTTGAATAGTCCCTTTGGCAAAAGACAAAAAAGACATGGGAATAAACTCAGAGACATTACCATACATTCTGGATAAGAATCTTTCTGTGGTAAATGAAAGAGAAGTAGAAATTTCAACACAATGACTAAAGTTTATTAAACCTATAACCTGCTTTTAAAACCTAAATTAAAATTCTTAATGCTTGGGAAAGTAGTGAAACATCAACATTGCAATAAATAGAATTTCATTTTCTGGTTAGGCATGTAAAGATCTTTGAAGTAGTCACTCCAGTCGTCACAACAATAAAAAGGCTAAACAAACTGAAAATTAGCAATTCTTCTAATATTTGCCAGAGAGGTAAGGTGGCAGGGCAAACTACTACTCCCCAAAATGGGGAGATATAGAGGAATATAGAGAGAATAACAGGGTTATGGTGGCAGAGGCCCAGGAGCAGAAACCCCTGTGGAAGTTAGTACCAGGTTAGGGAAACTTTAACTATAATTGATAGTGTGCTGGAGGCACAGTGTGAGCAAGCTCAAATTTTAAGAATGCCAGGGGTGGCCAGTCTTGGTGCCACACTTTTGTTTTACCTCTGGGAGCCACATCAGGTTCTCACATCAAGGATCAGAATAAAAGTAGCACTGTGATTTTGGCAAGAAAGTGGGGGAAAACAGCCATCTGAAATACTGTTAGAAAAATTTGTTCTTAAGGCCTCCCTTTAAAAGAAACTATTTTATGAGAGCCTAACTAACTGGGGTTTTACCATATCAAAACCCATTTGGGGAAGGAAAATGCCCAATTCCAGCCTCCTCTAGTTTTCCCTGTGGGAAAGCCATCACTAGCCTTTCTGTTAATCATCTATTGAGGAGAGTTGACTGAGAAAGACTTGTGAAAGTCACAGCCTAGGGTCAATGGCTCACTAAAAGACTGATATCTAATCATAGGATTGTAGAATGCTTCCCCTCCACCCCATCTCTCACATTACCATCTGATACGGTTTGGCTTTGTGTCCCCACCCAAATCTCATCTCAAATTGTAATCCATGTGTCAAGCGAGGGGAGTAATTGGATCATGGCGGCAGTTTCTCTTATGCTGTTCTCATGATAGTGAGTGAGTTCTCATGAGCTCTAATGGTTTTATGTGTTTGACAGTTCCTCCTTCATGTGCTCTCTCTCACCTGCCACATGTAAGACATTCCTGCTTCCCCTTCTGCCATGATTGTAAGTTTCCTGAGACCTCCCCAGCCATGCAGTACTGTGAATCAATTAAACAAACCTCTTTCCTTTATAAATTACCCAGTCTCGGGTAGTATCTTTATAGCAGCATGAAAACGGACTAATACACCATCACATCGACAGAGTTCCTGTATAATAACAGAAGAATACAACTGAAAGAGCTGCACATCTCAGACCTTATTGGAGAATAGTCCTCTAGGGAAACTCAAAGACAGCAGGGAAGACAAAAACAAGAATACAAGGTAGCTCCAAAAGCCAAGGCTGGAGGATAAAACAAGCCCACTGGAGGAACTTGCAGCCTTTGGGTCTTACACCTGCAGCAAATATTAAACAGATCCCAGCTTCTAGCCAAATTAGCATAAATCCTCACCCTAAAGGCCTATATAACTCCTATACCTATTACCCTATATTACTCCTATAGCACCTATTATCCTATGAAAAGTATAATACATTATGATCAAGCAACATTTGTGCCAGGAATATAAGTTTCATTCAACATTTGAAAATTAACCAACATAATTTACTATATTAATCAACAAAATGAGAAAAGAAACACATGATCATAATAATAGATACAGAAAAAAATTATTAAAATTCAGCATTAATGTTGATAAAACCTCAGCAAACTAAGAAATGAAAGGAATTTCCTTTACTGAATAAAGTGCTTCTACAAAAAACCTTTTGCTAGCATCAAACTTATTATTGAAAAGCTGAATGCTTTCTTCCTAAAACTGGAACAAGGCAAGGATGTCAGTTCTAAACACTGCTACTCATCATTATACTCACTGTCCTAACCACTACAATATGGCAAGAAAAATAAGTAAAAGTATAGAGAGGGATAAAACCAAAATTACTATCTTTATTTAAATCTCATTTCACATATTCAGTGAAATCTATCTCTAAATTATCCTCCAGTTTCTACTTTTCTTTGATATATAGCCATTGCCATCCTACTATCATCTCCTTTTCTACAATTTTATTTCATAATGATCAATGAAATAAATTGCTACTTATGAGTCCAGGTGTGACCCAGCAGCAACCATTACATAGGGCAGGTGATAATTTTCCAAACTCTCTGGTTTTCTTTCATAGTTCAGTCTTTAATTCAGCATTTAGTGAAGTGTGGGATTGTATATAGATAATGGCAATAAGAAAGTACAGATTTTTCACAAATATATTTATATATATGTTGGACTATACAAATTCCAGGAGTGAAATATCAAGGTGAAAATGCTATTAAGATGGCAAGTCACCATAACTTTAAACCTCAGTAAATAGCTGTTTTATTACCAAAGTGTTCAAAAATGTAAGGTAAAAATATTTTTAGGATAAAGAAGTGGCAACCTTTATCATAACCAGCTTTCCCTAAAACTAAGAAAATTTTTAATTAAAACATTAAATTATAAAGCATAACAGAAAATAATATTTTAACTGTCTTAAAAGGAAAAGTAAAAAGTAATGATGATGTAATGACACATTTTCTTCCCAACAAATAAAAGATGAAGTGAACAAAATAAAACCAATGATTTTTTTAAAAATAGAAAGAAAATCTTATGATTACCAGGATACATTCCCCACTAAGAATTACCAGGATGCATTCGCCATTAAGAGTTTTAAAGGAACTCTTTATTTCAAAGGAAGAAAAAAAATTCAGCCAGCAAAATTATATTTAACTTAACAATGGAGCTTCCATCATGGCCTGGAAATCAGGAAATATTTTGATCAGAGAGAAAGAAATGTACGAAGAGATAGTTTTGAAATATTATGACTTTAAAATGTCTTCTACTAATAACATTTCCTGGTCTAGAAAAGAAAGAAACTGATATTTCAGACACAGAACACTTTTTAAATACACTGCCTGAAATCCATTTCAAATATTTATTTGAAATTACTGTAGTCATAATTAACACGTGGTGCAAAATGTTTTAATACATTTCCCATTCATTAACACAAGGATTGTCTACTTTATTTAAGTTATTGCTCTTTGGTAAAAGCAAACAGACTAAGTTTTTGAGGATAATGAAGAAAAAAAAAGCCAAGTGATTTAAAAATCCTGAAGAAAATAAATGCCAATGTAATAAAGAAATGACTAAAGCTATAAAAATAATGTTTAAGAGATTATGGGAAAATAGTTTGTGTAATGATATGCCATTAAAAAAACTCATGGAAATATTAAGCTTACAGAAATATGGAGGAAACTTAATTCTGAATCTTCTCTGATTCTTCTGGAAATCACACGTGATATGAGAATGAAAATTAAAACCTGAATTCTCAAAGAAACTAGGAGACAGTAAACCTAACTCCAAATGATGTATAAGAACTACCAAAGCCAGACAAATGGCAAATTCATAAATTTCATTGACCTCCATCAAAGTGCTGAGGATTTAAAGCAATCAACTTGTTCAAAATATAAGAGACAGGAATCTACTGGGATTAATGATTACTGGTTTGTTGGGTCAAGAAACAACCAGATTGGTAAGAAAAGTTCAGCTGGGTGATTGGTGAATTGGTGGAAATTGAGTGTACAAGGGTAAAGGTTAATAAATCCCTTGGAAAAGCAAATAGAGATGGACTTCATGCCCTCCAACAGGCTTTTTCTCCACCAACCCCACTGGATGTTCATAGGAAATTTGGCAGAATAACAGGAAAGTCTCTCACATGGTACAGAATGGAAGTAGAGGAACAGAAATGATAAGAAGTATTTTCTCTGATAATAGTGAAATAAACTGGAAATCCACCATAGAAAAATATGTGAGAAATTCCTAAATATTTGAAAATCAAGTAACACACTTCTAAATAACCCATTCATTTAAAAAGAAATGAAAGCACATTTTGAAATGCATAAGGAGGATTATAAAGTACACCAAATGTGTGGGATACAACAAAAATAGGGCTTAATGGGAAATTTTTAGGATTAAATGCTGATGGTAGCAAAAACAAAAGCTTCCCAAATCAATACTCTAAATTTCAATCTTAATAACTTAGGAAAAAAAGCAAAGTGAATGCAGAAATCAATGAAGTTGAAAACAGTAAAAACAATAAAGAAAATCAAAACTAATGAAACTAAAAACTTATTTGTCAAGGTTAACTGATAAACTTCTATCTAAATGGATGAAGAATAAAAGACATAAGACACAATTAATCAATATGAGCAATGAAAGAGCAGGTATCACTACAGCTTTCACAGATGTTAATAGGAAAATAAGGGGGCATTATGAACAACACTAAGACCATAAATTTAACTTACATAAAATAGCCCAAATTGTTGAAAGTCACAAAAAATAGAGCTCATTTAAGAAAAAATATGTAATCTGAATACCCTCATGTCCCTTAAAGAAACTCACTTATAGTTAAACACCTTCTACAGAGAAAACTCTGCACCCAGAAGTTTTCACTGGCATATTATCAAAAACTGTTAATAAAATCATGCAAACTCTGTTCATCCTTCTCCAGAATATACAAAAGAGGAAGCACCATAAAACCCATCTTACTAGGTCAGAAGTACCCTAATACCAAAAAGAGACAAAGATATTGTAAGAAAACCACAGACCAATATGATGTGTGAACTTAAACAGCAAAATTCTCAAAAATATTAGCAGTTAAAATCAAGCAATATATAGAACAACTGATATATCATGTAAAAGTGGGGTTTGTGTCAGAAGTACGAGGTTCATTCAACATTCAACACTCAGTCAATGCAATTTACTGTATCGATGGACAAAATAAGAAATTTCATATGATCATCATAATAGAGGCAGAAAAAGCCTTTATCAAAGTTTAACATTACTGCTGATAAAACTTCAGCAAACTAAGACTAGAAAGAACTTCCTTTATTGGATAAATGCATCTACAAAAAGCTATTGCTAGCATTAAAGTTTTAAAACGTTTTTGCTTGAAAATAATAATTCTATATATTTGGAGGTAAATGTGATGTTTTCATACATGTAAACATTGTGGAATGATATTGAAAGAGTAAATGTTTTCCTTCTAACATCAGGAATAAGGCAAGGATGTCAGTTCTTAACACACCTACTTACTGTTGTACTGGATGCCATCGTCACTGAAATAAGGAAAGAAAAAAGAAACAGAAGAAGTAAGAGGCATAAAGATTAGAAGAATAAAAATGAAACTGACTCTATTAGAAGAAAACATTATTATATATGTACATAATCCAAAAGAATCTAGAAGACTGTATTGGAATTAATAACCGAGTTTAACAGGGTCACATATCAATATTTAAAAAGTCAATTGCTTTCCTATATACCAGCAATGGACACTTGGAAAAATCACATACATATTATTTACCATGGCATCCAACAAAATAAAGTAATTAGGTATAAATGCAACAAAATATGTACAGGAACTTTACGTGGAAAATGATAACACACAAATAGAATTTTTTTTAAGGTGATATTTTTGTAGTCCCAAATAAAGTATTGGAGCTGAGGGATTTACTTGGTTTTACTGTGTAGTTTCAATTTAGACTCTTAGAAGTTAAGATTGACTTCAAATTACCCTGAAATCAGAAATGTTCAGTCTTTGTTCTTTGTCACCCACTATCATCTGTTCCACTATTGAACAACTCTATATTCAAGAAACCACTGTGACAACACATCTCTGCTGTTTTGTTGTTGTTGTTGTTGTTTTCGTTTCTTCTCTCTGCTTTACTTCTCTTCTTTCTCTTCTACTATAGGGCCTTGCCATGTGAATCTTAACTGTATGTTAATTCTCTGGTCTAGTAAGTCATCACCAATTCAGCAAGAGTGTTATTTGTCCCTGCCTGAACTATACAATTGGTGTTTAACTAAAGCCTTTTTTTCCTTTAGGTTTTATTTCTTTGCCATTGTGTGCCTGTTCTGAAACCATCTCTTGCTGACAAAAGTATTTTCCTGTCTATTCTGGATCCAAAATTATCCCCAGAGTACAAAAACCTGGCTTCTGCTCAATCGAAGCTTTCCCGCTTTAGGCTAGATAATCCTCTCTATTTTCTCTCTCTGAACCTTGACCAATTAATATCCTGATTTCAGCATTTTCATGTGTTTAATTTTTTTTCCAATTGCATATATAGGAGTGAATCTGGAATTCATCGTGCTCATTACTAAACACTATAAATATACTGAATGCATTGTCTGCTTCTATTACCTATAATTTAAAGAAAATTTTTATCAACAGAATAACTGGAGTCTAAAGTTGTGGGCAAGAGCAATGCCTATTGAGTTAGATGTTTAATTAGGAAAAATTGGTTGTTTGCAAGTTTGTGTTTCTTCCTATAAATATTACCAGCATAAAATGAAGAACTAGAAAGCCATTTGCCCTACCAAATATTTAAATATATTTTCAATAATTAATATGATGTGGTATTAGTGCAAAAATAAAGATTGATATAAAGCATAGCCTTATAAGAGATCATAGTATATATAAAATCTTAATATGTAATAAAGGAGGCATTATAAGTCTTTTAGAAAAGATTGATTGATTCAATACATAGTGTTATGATGGAAAAATTAATCAGCTTTTGTTGGTGGGGTGTCAATTAAAACTGTCACATATTCAACATACAAAGATATATACCAGGTGGAATTAAAGGGTAATGTGGGAAATAAAGTGTAGAAAAAAAAGAAGAAAATTTGACCTTTATTTAAGCAGCAAAAGATTTTATAATATCAATTTTGAATCAGATACAAATAAGATAGCAGCACACTTTTAAAGAGCTCACAAAATTGAAGAATCCTCACAGTACCTAGGGTTATGGCCTCATCTACTTGGATAGCCACAGAAATCCACTGGAAAGGTAGAAAGTCATGAAATATGGGTCCTTATTTGGCTAGATCAAGGGAAGAGAACAGGAAAACATGGAGGTACAGTAAATGAAGGCTGAAAGAAAAGTAATCTGTCTAAACAGAGTTCCTTTACTACAGTTGTGTTTTAACGTTCTTAAAAATTAAAAAAGCAGGCCAGGCGCGGTGGCTCACGCCTGTAATCCCAGCACTTTGGGAGGCCAAGGTGGGCAGATCAGGGGGTCAGGAGACTCTTTCATCTAAGGAGGCCAAAATGAATCCTTACTCCAGTTTTCTAAAGTACGGTGGGGATTAACTTATTTTTTTTTTTATTTTTCGGAAGAAATAGGTATGTTTATTGCAGTTGGGAGGAAATTAAGATAAATAGAAATATTTGGAATGCTGTGTGTTTCTAGGGGGAAATGGGATGTAGTGAATTGGAAATTGAAGAAAATACTTCAGGTATAAGGTGTTCATGTGAAGCCATATGAAAATAGCTTCTTTGGTGATATAATTAAGACATAAAAATCCTATTGAACTAGATCAGTCACATTTTTGGACCAATTGAAACAGAATTTTGTGACTGGCAAAATATTAGCATCTTGAGCTAAGACCAGTAGTGTATAGTTCAGTAAGTTACGTAAAACAGGGTTCCCCAACCCTCATGTTGCAGACCAGTACTGATCCATGACCTGTTAGGAGCCTGGCCACACAGCAGGATGTGAGCGGAGGGCCAGGAGTATTACTGTCTGAGCTCTGCCTCCTGTTAGATCAGATTAGATTCTCATAGGAGCGCAAGCTCATTGTGAACTGCACCTGCGAAGGATCTAAACTGTGTGCTCCTTATGAGAATCTAAAGCCTGATGATCTGAGGTGGAACAGTTGCATCCCCCAAAACCATCTCTTCACTCCTTTGATCTGAGGTGGAACAGTTGCATCCCCCAAAACCATCTCTTCACTCCTTTGATCTGTGGCAAAGTTGTCTTCCACAAATCTGGTCCCTGGTGCCAAAAAGTTTGGGGACAACCAATGTAAAGTGAACACCACCTCTGTCAAGAAATGGAGCATTTCCAACACACTGGAACCCCATCCTGTATTCTTCCATTAATTTGCCCTCTCTCCAAGGTAGCCACTATAATGGTGCCTACTGTACAGCAAGAATTAAACAATTTGATCAAAACACACAATCTCATTCTCACCAGGGGCATTCTATTTCATTCATATACAGAAAAGAAGAGACATCATGCCATAAGTACATGATCTCACTTTTCAGAAATATAAAACACAAAGCGTTGCAGGAAGTATGAGAGATGAGTTCCGTTTTGTATTTTGGAAACTTCATGTCTAGAATACTGAATAAAGGGAAGAAAACAGAAAGCCAGGGGACATCTGTAAGAGCAGCACAGTTGGGCAGAACGACCAATGAAATGGAAGGGAATGAAAATCTATGTACGTTAGCTGTGCTAAGTGCTTTAAATACATCACTTCCAGTGATATTACTTTTAAAAATCACCAAGTGTAAGCACAACTGAAATTAAAATATACAAATGGAAAAACCCTACAGACCAAGATCTTTCAGAAAGACAGCATACCTGTAACTGCTGAAATACCCCTGATCGTAAGTTTCCAAATCCACAGTGGCACTGCAGATTCAAAGCACTTTCTGATACCGCTTCATAGGGGTGTCTGCTCAATTTCCCAGTCAAACTCTTCATGGTCAACTACTTCCTCAGGAATCTCAGAAGCACCTGAATGTGCTAAATATTATTTTTTTAAGTATGGGATTTCCCAGGTACAACTAGGGGAAGAAAAAAGTATAGGAAAGAATGTCCACACAGATGTACCAAAAGACATATACAAGAATATTTATAGCTCCCCTATTCGTGATAGCAAAAAAAAAAGAAAGAAATAAAAATGTGGTATATTCATACAACTGAATATTACATAGCAATGAAAGCAAATGAATCTCAGCTACAATGTGAATAAATCTCACAAAAATAATGTTAAGTGAAAGAAGCCAGACAAAAAGAAATATACTGTATGACTTATATATGCAATGCAAAAACAGGATTAATTTATTTTTAAAGTTCTGTTAGAAGCTGCCCCAGTCCAATAAAATCCTTGCTATGATTGGCATCGGCATCTTTCATCAAAATGCTAAAATCCTCCTCACAGGCAGTCACTGTTTTACCCTCAATGCAAGACACTGATTGTGAATCAATTAGATGAGTTTTGCCTGGGTCCTGAGGTAGGTAGAGCATTAACCATGGCTGGAAGTTTACAGATAAGGTTGAAAGCAATGCTTTAGTGAACTAAAATGGTTGAACATATGGACTTGGAATTTGTTAAGAACTTCGAGCTGTGTGACCTTGGGCAGATTAGTCTCTCTGTGCCTCAATTTTCTCATTGGCAAAATGTTAATAAATAAGGATTATTGTGAAAATGAACTGAATACACACACAAACACACATATATACACACATGCACTTAGATACTTAGAAGAGAATCTGTTACAAATATTAGGCTCTCATAATGTAGTTTATCAAAATTATTACTGGATAGGAAAAAAGAGTATGAATAGGAATCAGAAATATCTACAATATCCCCCAGAGCTTTAATATTTCAGTTTTTACCTCATTTTAATATAAAGCTATCCATTTAAATTCAGTTTGATATAAATAACTGCATCCTATTATGGATATAAACACAAAAATAAATATAAATACAACTACATTAAGGAAATTGAACCCTCCAAAACTTTTGAGCTACTTATTACGATTTGGGCCACATATTCTGCCCTATTATAATAAAACTTTGGTATTGGTAATTGAGAGAGAATTTTCTCTAAGCCAGATATTGTATCAAAGGCTTTAATTCTATATTATCACTAAATCTTTATAAAATCCACCTTGTACATAATTTATTCTTATAATTTAAATGGACACTTTTCATGTAGAACTTTAAAATTTCATTTTCTTTTGTTATAATAACAACTCAAGAAGTAGCTTTCACCATCCCTATTTAGAGATGAGTTAAGTGACTAGGCCAAAATTAGAAAGTAAGTTAGCCAAACTGGGATTCAACCCCAGTCTCTTGTTTTATGACTTTCTGCATTCTACTTCTCCACATCACATCATCATCAAAGTTATTTTCCCTCACTTAGGGAATAGAGCCTTGTCTATCATGGGACAGACATGGGATCTCCTGACTTATGAAGGTTTCTGTACATGACAGAGCCTAGAGAAATAGTCTATGCTGAAAGTTTTTATTTTCATTCAGTGAAATGGAGGGTATCCTTGCAATGGGACAGAGCTGACCAAAAGGTCGATTCAGGCAGGGGAAGCAGTCTGTTTTCCAATCTGTTTTTCTAAGCTGGTGGGTGCAGTACAGACTCCAGGAAGTAAGACGAAGATGTATTGGGATAGAGAGAGTGGTCAGGATTTAGAGTAGAGAAGGGCTTCAGCATTGCCTGGCTCAGCATTGCCACTCACATAGTAGTTTATCCATCTGGATCTGTGCAATGTGTAACTTATGAGAGCATATGTGATCATCCTGAAACAGAGGTTCTTCCAGAACTACTTATGGTCTGCAGAAAAATGCTCCTGGTTGAGGCAGCGACAGAGTCTCTGGGATTGTTTCACTGACTTGTCCAGAGTCGTGTAACAAGGGATTTGAACAAAAAATACTAATAGCAAACATTTGTATTATGTTTATGACTTGCTGGGCACTGTTCTAAGAAATGTATACTTCTGAACTATTTAAACTTAATGAAAGTTTTGTGAGTAAAATATCACTTTATTATGATTTTAAAGATAGAGCAATTGAGATATATAGAGGTTTAAGCACCTGTGGAATTTGAACTCAGGCCCTCCAGCTCCAGAGTCTCTGTGCTTAACCACTCCATAATCTTGCCTTGCTAGAGTAGCACACTAGATGTAATTTCTAATATGTGTTCTCTATATTCATAAGAGACGATCCCTAATTTTTCTTTCTCATATATATATATAAAATATATATATGAGAAATACATACGACATATATGTGAGAAATACATATTACATATATATGAGAAATATATATATATATATATATATATATATTTAGAATTAACTTTGTAAGATATTTAGAAAATGTTCCCTCTCTTTCTAATTCTGCATCAGTTTGCTCAAAAGCTACCTTCAATGTTTGGATGTATTCACTAGCCAAACAATGTATATCTTTGCCATTTTCTTCTTTAAGATTTAGTTTAGATTTTTAAGTAACAGATTAAGTATCTTTAATATCTGTTAATTATTCAGGTTTTTTCTCCTTCTTTTCAAGTATCTCCTAAACTGATACTTCAAGGCATTCATCCATTTTGAAAATCATCAAATGATTTTTATGCCATTTTCTTCCCAGTCTGCCATTTTTGCCGTAAGTATATTCGACCCGCCATAAAGGGAAGAGACTTCACCTCAGTTTCAGGGTGTGAAGTAGGAGTAGAAGTGCTGCTTCTGTGAAGGATGTAGAAATAAGAGGTTTATCTCCAGATATCCCTGAAAACTACCATTATGCAACTCCTTCAACTAGGGAGAAAGGTAAGAAACTATAGAGAGAAACAGTTTCCACTACATATCAAAATGTCACATTTCAAGGTATAAGAATGGATTAAGCAATAAGCACTAACACTCCCCCAGATATATTTGGTCCAAACCCAGTGATTCTACATGCTTAATAATATTCTCAAATTGTAATTTGGTGGGACAAATATTCAAGCCTCATAAACCTTGATTGTCTCCATTTGCCAGTGAGCTTTACTGCATGCACAAGGAGGCCACTTACAGCAGCAGAGCAGGTACGCAGCTAATTACACCTATAAGTCACTAATGAGAACACTGAGTTCAGGAGCACAGACATGGTATGAAGTCCTGTTTAAAACTAAGCATTTGCTCTGATAGCTGTGACTTCACCTGGCTCAGTGGCAAAGTGATGTGCCTGGCTGAAGACAAAACTGCCTGACTATAATTTAACATAATGTCTTCTTGAGCGACTCAAAGAGTTTATTGTTTTATGTTGCTTTTTCTTTGATTTTTATGTCAACAAAGTAAAATAGTGCTTGATTTAATATAAGTACAAAAATGGGAAAAACTAATCTAACCTGTTAGAAGGCAGAATAATGATCATTCACTGGAAGCACAAGGGGGCTTCTGCAGAGCTGGTTATGTTCAGGCTCTTAATCTGATTCCTGGTTCCATGCCTATGTTCAGTTTATGAAAATTTATCAAGCGGTATACTGATGAAATATTTACATATCTGTGTATATTTCAAATATATTCTAAGAAAAAATAAAATTGCATTTCTCACTACAAAGAGGTGAATGAGTAAATTCAGGTTAAAATACACTAATGCCTTGCTAATAATGAAATTACCTGTTCAATAATTTTCTATTGGTGACAGTGGTACTACTGCAACTCAGTAAAATAAATAAGCAAGGACCCAGTCACTTGAACCACATAGTGAATGACATATTTAATATTCAAGCAAAATAATTTTTAAATGAAGTGAATTTGAATAGAAATGTAACTTTTTAAGAAATGTAAGGAAAAAGGTTCACCTCACCAGAAATTTTAAATGCAAATTAAAAGATATAAACCTATTAAATATTTTACTCATATCATATTTTACTAATATCTTTTAAAGCTTTATTAATTTTTAATAAATTTAATGATATTTTAATTTTTCATAAATCTTTAAAATACATTAGTAAAATATGTAATGATCATAAAAGCGCATTGAACCTGAAAATTCTTATGTAGGCCAGGTGGGAGTTTAAATTAGTACAATTTTTAGTTTTTGTAAAATGAAAACAAAACACAATGACACTAGGTATTAAGTTCCTTAAAAATCTCCATACCATATAACAATCCCAAATAAAATGTTAGAACCATATGCAGTTGCATATTAAAGGCAATGCATCATGGCTAGATAATACTGATGTATTCAGTCTGTGCTATGAGAATTTGCAGAAAATCTATAAAATTTCTTCAGCACTTTATTGGTAAGAGTTTTTGAAATTATCATCTTAATAGATGCTCAGAAACTACCACATAAATTTGAATATTCCAGATTATTAAAAAACTAAGAATAGAAATATATTCTTTTAATAGTATTAGAAAATATACCTTATGTGAAACCAAGAAAAAAATATTTAATGATGAAATACTACGGATGTGTTCTAGATACTGCTAAGTGTCTCCTTGTCGATTCTGCCTTTTTCTTTTAGTTATAAGATTCACACAGTTTAGTTACATAAGAAAAGAAAATAAATTAGTATTATATATACTATAATTGCAGAACTTAAAATCAACAGAATAACTGAGAACTATTACATTACTATAAGACCTATTACCATGAGAACTATTAAAACAATTTAATGAGATATGCTGTTACTAATAGGACTTTATATTGGAATAGGTATATTTCTTATAGATCAATCACTGTAATTTTAAAAAGCAATAAATAGGAAAATAAAATTAAATACCTAGGAAACTAAATACAATACCTGAATGAGGAAAGGCATAAAATCTTATTTAGGAATACAAAGTTGAATAAGATAGTGTATGCTCCTGAGTAAAATGGCTAAATAATGCAAATATGTCAATTATTTATAAACATTAAGTTGATTTTCATCCTTATTCCATTTAAATTTCATCAATTAAAATTCCAATAGATTTTTAATCCACAAAAATATTCCTAAGTTAATGTGAAAAAATAAACAGAAAAAATCCCCTAAACATTTTTGAAAAGGGAAGAAATGAAGGAGGTAATTCCCTTCCAAATATTAAATTGCAAACGTAAGCAATGCTCAGTGATACTGACACAGGAATAGACTGGCAAAGCAGAAGAATCAAATAGAAAGTCTTGAAGTAGATAAAAGTCTCACGAACCCTGGGATCATTTAATATGTATATTAAATACACTATTCCACATCTGTTAGAAGGACTCCAACATCCATAAAGGATGTTGATCTGTTCATTATTGATGTTCTTTTTTAAAGCACACCATATATTTAGAATAACAACTCCATACCAGCCACTTAAGTAGAAAATAGCTTTTTTCTAATTCATAGCTTGCCTTTTAAATTAAATGAGATATTTCTGATGTACAATTTTTGAAAATCGTTTTCCAGCCTAATCTATTGATCTTTTCTCTGGCCGAATATCATGTTCACTCTTCCTTCGAGAGTATGTCACTCATAGAAGAACTTATAATCTTTTAGAAAAATTGAGTCAACCCTTTACAACTTTGTCATTTTTTTTCTTTCACTTCCTTCCTTTCTTTCCTTTTTTCTTTCTTCTAGGAATATATTTGTGAAACTATTAGACGCTGTTTTAAAAATATTTGTATCTTTACACATTTTTTTCCACTCCAAGATAGGTAGGAATGCTATATTAATGCTGAGAAGGCTGTAATCCAGGTATAAAAACAGCTAAGAATCTCTGGACTTAATTCTGACAGTAAAACATTATATTTTCCATTCAACCTGCTACCCTCCCAGCCCTGAAAAGTGGTACATAGCTCTACTGCTTTATACTTCATCAGTGTTCTGTAGCCGTTACTATTTCATCACAGATTTTTCTGAAATCTATCCAACTCTCTTTCTTCTTTCACTTAAATCTCTCCACCTCTGATAATTCTAACACCTCAGAATATAAACATAGTCAGGTCTCTCTCATTGTAAAACAAATAAACCAATAACAGAAACCTTTCCTCCCATAGTCCAGTCATCCTCACAGTACCACTGAGGCCTCTTTCTCTGATCCTCTTCAGAGCTAGTCTTCTGAACAAAACCATTTATGTAAGTGGTTACAAATTTGAATTATCAGATTCTCCCAGAAATATTATGTGTGGACATTTTAAGGTTCACATTTCCACCTAAATAACTGAATCAGAATTTTTCATGGGTCTAGAAATCTACAGGTATATATAGTATATGGATAATATTAACTCCGTGGGAATTAGGAGGTTCTCTGGGAAATGAGAAATTAATAGAAATTTCTCAGAGAAGATGTAAGCTGACTAGGGAGGATTTAGCAGGGCAAAAGACAAAGATGAGAGAAAAATGCTATATTAACAGTGGTTCTTCAACTCGAGTGCACGAGAAACACATAAAGAGCTTGTTTAAAAAAAAAAAGAAACAGAAAAACAGATCATGAATTTAGTAGGTCTTGGATGTAAACTAGAGTTTGCATTTCTAACAAGTTCCCAGAATATGCTAATGCTGCTGGTTTGGGGACCACACTTAGAGAACTACTGTTCTAGAGTGAAGACTGGCCTATGGAAAAAAATAAAAATAAAACCTGGAAGCTATAAAGTTCATGGGTTCTTTCAGGAAAAGAGACTTGGTATTATTTAAATGGAGAAGTCAAAGTGTAAATAAATAATAACACAATGGTTGCAGAATAAAGAAAGGGTCAAGACTTGCAAGCTATTATGAGCAGGATTTAAAAATCTAGAATTTGTACTAAGATCGATGAGAAAACATTGAAGGTTTAAAGCAGTAATCTGACACCACACATTTGAAAAGATCACTTTGGTTCCAGTGTAAAAAATGAAGAAAGTAAGACAAAAATATTACTTAGGAAACTGTTATAATCCAGGTGAGAGATGGTAGAATCTGAGCTAGAACAGTGATGACAAGAAGTGAAAGATTAGTAGCCAAGAATGATATATAAGAGGAAAATCAACAGGATTTGGTAACGGATTTATTTTCAATTTAAATGCTCTAAGTCTGTCAGTATGACTAGAGATTATAGCCTCACAATAAACCAGGTTGTTTTGCTAGAATAATGAGTTAATCAAATCCCTGTGGCACTTATACCTGGATAATGAGTAACAATAGATCAAATATAATTGTTCTTATATTTTTGTATATTCCCAACATGAGTTAATGTAACATAAAATTAATTATGTATAGGAGTCTACTATCAGGATGATCTCCAAACCATGTAAGAAAACAAAACATAACAAAACAAAAACCTGTTAAATTTATGGATTGGGAGCATATTTAGATCTGAACACCCTTATGAAAATCATGATTTCTCCCTGTATCTATGGATAGCATTCTGTGCACAGTTTCCAGGAATTCTCAGCCTTCTTAGTGTCTCTCCTTGGAAATTTCCCTCCATTGAAACATTGGCTGCATATTAGTAATTATTGAACGAAGATGATAGATTTATAGATATGCTCACACATACCTAGTAAGCAGTTTAAAGAACTTAAGCCCATAAAAATTGCCAAAAAATTTAAATGCTTGATCCTTTGGCTAGGGATAATAGTATTTAATGCCTAAATTAGTTTTCTTAAGAGATTTTTGTAAGAATTAAATTATATGTTTGTGAAAGCGTTTTTAAACTTTAATTGCTCTAAAATGCAACTTAGCATTTTTGTTACCATTCATAATGGTAATATAAGAAAAACTACATGCCTAGAAGGACTGTTGAGATGCTCAATTGGGTCATTCCAAGAAGTTGGGGTAATTAATTATTAGGAGAGTTTGAGAATAGTCCATATAGATACAGGTTAGACCTACAGGCCAACATATCTTCACTGGACAATATCCCGTGTTCTGTGTGTAATCATTTAACATGATTGTTTCTTGGACACAGTTGTTGGAAGAAAACCATAAATATTTGGTATCCTTCTATGTCCAATTTGAAAAATGCTCTTATTGAATGATTTAACAATACAGGACAATACTCCAATATAAAGTCCACTGTGCTGCCTTTTCTTAATGCCTCCCTAATCTTGTTTCATTAATTACTGTTACTGCCTGGAGTGCTCATTAAATAAGCAATACATTTCACTTCATTCCGAAACTAAAATGGAATTGCAAAATGGTTTCTATATAGCTCCCAGAAAAACTTAATTGACCCTGGTAAGAATTTAAGCTTGTTTATATTGTTGGTAAATAGGCTGCTTCCTGTCCTCAAGGTTTCTAAGCTCTGATAGATATCACTTTTGTAAGTTGAATGACAAAAGTTTGACAAACAAAAAATTTATCATTTCCAATGTTGAGAAAAGGTAAATGACTTTACCAAGTTCCTTCCCATTTTCCCCTTAATAGAATTTGAAAACAAAACTAACATTTAAGAGGACTCTAAAATTAAATTAAAGCAAAGAACAAATTGGTTGAACGTGAATTAAGTTTTATAAGTCCACCAACGGTCCTTAATTCCTTAATTTTATCTGCCGTTTCCAGGCAATTCATAGTGCAGTCCAGAATAAAACTTGAAGATGCTATATAAAGATAACTTCCAGTTAAATATCTTATCAAGCAGCAATTACAAGTGTACTAAAATAATCTGTTGACAAAACAAATGATGTTTTCTGCTTTTAAATCTCCTTAACAAAGTTTGTTAATGTGAAAACTATATATAAAAAAGTAGCCATTTGAAATAGTCGTTGTTAGCAGAGGCAAGCAGCAGTGAACAGATCTAGAAAGTTTGTATAAAATTTGCCTTAAGGGAACAAGGGAGACTAAAGAAAGTATGGATAGAGATCCATCGAGTTCCCCTTGGAAAACCAAATCAAAAGACCTGTTAATATTAATTAGATTACACACAAAGCAAAAAGAAAGACTCAAAGGAACAAAAATAACTTTTTTCCAGTGCCTTCTAAAAATTGTATGTGTGTGTGTGTGTGTGTGTGCATATGATGCATGTGTTCCTGTATGTGTTTAAGTTATTAGTTATGAAGAGGATCAGTTGAATGTGAGAGTCACAGGAAGAAGAATCAAAGTTCAACCCCATGATAATTGCTACAGGTATTAAGGAGAGAAACAGTAAGAGTGGAGAAAATGAGTTTATGCGCCTTGGTCTTCCTCTCTTATATGTAATCTCACATATTTGATTTTCATTTTCAGAATCGAATTTCATGCCCATGATCCATTCCAGTTTAATTAGAAAATATGTAAAATAAATATAGAATAAGAATATATCTTATTCAAGAGTTGGATGATACTATACAAAACCTATAGACTGCACCTTAAAGCTTGAAGGTTAGTGGGTCCAAAATCCATCCAAAGAAAAGGAAGCTGCACAGTGACAGTTTAGGTGGCTCTATTTTTTAATGTGATTTGAAGTGGGAAAAATAAGCTTTGCTTGAGGTTTTCAGTTTAACTTGTCATAGACATGCTAAATTCATGGGCTATGTATGTGAACATCTGCCTGATGTAGAGAAATAAGAAATGAAAATTGAGAACTTCAGCTTTCTCTCCCACCTCCTCTCACACACACACTCACTTGCACAAAATAGAGAGAGGGAAATAATTATACTGATTTTGTTTTTAGAAAAATATATAAAATAAAAATATAAACACATTTTAAAATAAGATCTTGAGAGAAATATGATTCAGTATTATATAGTAAACATATATAAACATTTGCAAACTTTAACATAAATTATCCTTAAAAGTTTGTCTTATTTCAGAATTTTCATAAATTCAATAAAAATGAATAAAATATTTTCTTGTTTTGCATGTATAAAATTACATGACACTATGAATATTCTTTTTAAATAGCAACTATCCTAAATTCTAAGGATAAAAATGTTTATAGTACAAAGAATTTTCCCTATGATAATATAGCTCATATAACAAAATATTCAGGCTCACATTCACATAATGCATTTTAAATCTCAAATAATTCCTGTATGTTATCTTTTGATGAGAACATACTTTGCTGATCTGTTAGCTCTTAAATGAATTCAAACAAAGGCTACTTTATAACTTGAAGTTTGAGGATTGATAGTTCTTATCTTTAATGAGAAATATATCTGATAATTATATAAATAAATTGATAATAAAAACCTATTTACTTCATTAATATATCACAGCCCTGAACTTTAAAATTTGCTGTAATAAATAATTTTACTCTGTTTAAAATAGTGCAATTTCTAACAGAAAGCCATCCGCTTTCATCTGCCTAAGAAAAACATCTTCTTTCACCTATGTATTGTTTTATAGATTATATTCATTTTAGATAATCTTTACATCTATATTTTGCCACATAGTCTTCAGGTCTATAGCTTTTCAATAGGTTGAAATCTGGTAGGTTAAGCCCTTCAGCTTTATTTCTCCAACCTCATTTTAAAAATTGCTTTGGCTATTCTAGATCCTCCTAATTTCCATGCAAATTTTAAAATCATCTTGAAAATTACTACATAAAACCTTTTAGATAATTTATTGGGATCAAGTTAAATCTAAAAAACAAAATGAGGTCATTTAATAATATTGAGTCTTCCATTCCATAAATGCAGTACATGCTTATATTTATTTAGCATTGCTTCAATTTTTCTTTGCAATGTTTTATAATTTTCAGTGTGGAGGTTTTGGATGGTATTTGTTTGGCTTATTTGTAAGTAGTTTAAATTTGTTGGTGGTATTGTAAATGGAACAGTTAACTTTCATTTTCAAATTGTTTGTTTCTTATGCATGTTTACAAGCAATTTTTATATGTAAATTGTGTGTTTTACAACCTTGCTACAATTTTGGTTTAATTCTAGTAGATTTATAGATTATGATTTTCTGCATAATCATATCATCTTCAAATAGAGACTGTCTTACTTCTGTATTTTGATCTTCATTCATTTTATTTTTTTCCCTTATTGCAGTTTCAAGGATCTACAATACAATGTTTTGTTAATGTAGTAAAAGCAGACATATTTGTTTTCCTCTTGTAACAGGGAGAAAAAAGAAATCAGTCTTTTATCAAAATATATCACGTTGGCTCCAGCTTTTTTTTTTTTTTAATTAATGTACTTTTTTTTTTTTTGAGACAGAGTCACTTTCTGTTGGCCAGGCTGGAGTGCAGTGGTACGATCTCGGCTCACAGCAACCTCCGCCTCCTGGGCTCAAGCAATTCTGCCTCAGCCTCCCGAGTAGCTGGGATTATAGGCATATGCCACCATGCCCGGTTAATTTTTGTATTTTTAGTAGAGACGGGGTTTCACCATGTTGCCCAGGCTGGTCTCAAACTCCTGACCTCAGGTAATCTGCTCGCCTCAGCCTCCCAAAGTGCTGGGATTACAGGCGTGAGCCACTGCACCCAGCCGACTTCATATTTTTTAGAGCAGTTTTAGGTTTGTGACAAAATTGAGCAGAAATAGAGAGAATTCCCTTGTATTCCCTGCCTCCACACATGCATAGCCTCTCCCATTACCACACCCCCACAAAACATGATTCATTTGTTACAATCAATGAACATACATTGATGTATCATCATCACTAAAGTCCATAGTTTACATTAGGTTCACTCTTAATGTTGCACACTCTGGGTTTGAACAAATATATAATGACAAGTATTTACTATTATAGTTTTATACAGAATAGTTTTGCCATCTTAAAAGTTCTCGTTGATCAAACTACTCATCCCTCACCCTTCCCTAACTCCTGGTAACCACTGATCTTTTTACTGTCTCCATAGTTTTGCCTTTCCCAGAATGTCATGGGGTTGGAATCAGGAAGCATATATCCTTTTCAGATTTGTTTCTTTCACTTATTAATGTACATTTTAAATTCCTCCATGTTCTTTCATGGCTTGATAGCTAATGTCTTTTTAGCCAATTCTTTCCGTGAAGGTAACTCATCTACAAATGCCTTATCAAAGGCATTCTGCAATTCTGTAATAGTACTTTTTATACCTAGCATTTCTTTTTGATTGTTTCATAGAATTTTTATCTCTGCCTATATTTCCCATCTGTTCTTGCATGTTGTCTACTTTATTAAAATCCTTCGTATATTAATCAAACCCAAGTCCATCTTCTCTTGAGTTCCAAAATGTCCTCATTATATTACGTAAGTGATTTAGTACTTCCCACAAAATCCATACCTCATAAAATTCCAGATGCTATTCTCAGCCCAGCCTTAGGCAGCCAGAAGAAAATCTATTATCAGTAAGGAAAGAAGGTGTTGTACACTATTATTTAGTGGCCTGGAGAAATGGTTTCAATAGTGATAGGTGGAAATAATTTTAGAATGAATGTAATATGAGTCAAATAGTAAAGTATGTACTGACCTTCCTTCAGTACATACTCAGCTCCTAATTTGCAATTATGCTGACAAAGCCCTGCAGTCAAATTGCTTTCTGAAGAAGTAAGCTCTTTACTAAGGAACCATTCAACTTGTCTTTATTTGTTTGCAATTACAGAAAGCCAAGAATTTTTTGGCATACTGGGAAAATAGCAGTCTCAGGAAATTGACAAGCAAATCAGAAGTACAGATATATAATATATTATATAATTATTAATTATATAATATATTATTATATAAAATAATTACATATTAATATAAACTGTTGTGTATTATATAATTTTATATATATATCTATTCTCTCTCTAGAACCACAGGAATTGGAGACAAGATTATCTACTAACATACAACTCTAACTTGTACTACTATGGAATATGTTCTAACATCCTACACATTTTATTCATAGCATGATCAAAGTTGTAATTATGTATGTATATATTTATCTATCCCCTAGACTATACATTCTAAGAGAAGTAGTGCCTAGATTTATCACATTTCTTTTATTATGAACCAAACTAACCAAGTGTCTGGCATACATAAGCTACTATAAGAAGTGTTAACAGAATCCATGTCAGTAGTTCTGTTACAGTAGTAGTTAGACATGAGCTGAGCAGGAGAGGGCACACACACACACACACACACACAAACACACCCCTCAGGTGATGGCCAGGTGGTTATTAACTTTGTCTCTAAAATAATAATTAATCACAGCTGGCACCAGGGAACGGCAGTCTCCAAATAGATAGAAAAAACCTGAAACTGGTGATCCATAGCTTCTCAATAAGATCTCATGAGTTGAGCCGGTGGGCTCAAGCATGCTCACAAAGAGGAAAAATGGTGGAGTTTAAACTTTTTCTTGAAATACTAGACCGGTAAGGGAAGAACACCTAAAATGAGCATGGGTACAACTCCAGTAAACACACTGCACATGCAGCCCCTCCCAAGTGTTATCAGGCCACTGCTATGCGGACAGCATATTCCCAAGGGGAGAATCAGGGGAGAAGGGACGCAAAACCCTGGAAGTATGCCAGTGTATAAAACTCCAAGTCAGAGGTCAAAGCATACACTTGATATCTCAAGTCACCTGCTTGGCCCTCTTCCAAGTGTACTTAACTTCCTTTCATTCCTGCTCAAAAGCTTTTTAATAAACTTTCACTTCTGCTCTAAAACTTGCTGCTATCTCTCCTTCTGCCTTATGCCCCTCCAGTTGAATTCTTTCTTTTGAAGAGGCAAGAATTGAGGTTGCTGCAGACCCATACAGATTCACTGTCACTAACTGTTCCCCTATCTGGTAGTTAGCTATATGGTAGAATAACATTTCCAAAGTCAATAAGAAGACAGACTATATTTTATATATATATTATATATATACACATATATATATATAATATAGTACAGTCATAAGGAAATTAAGGAAAGGTAGCAGTCAGGAGGAACATTTGATGAGCTTTGATTTTAAAATATTAATCTTCCAGGGTTGCACATCAAAGAGTATGGGAAGTACTAACAGTGTGAGGCATTTGAGTTGTAGGTGGAGGGGAGAATATTATCAGAGCTGCCACTGTTGATATAGCGGGTTGCTACAAATGTGAGCAAATGAGCTAGCATTAAGAATAAGAGCAGAGAATAGAGACATATAGATCTGAGCCTTAGAAAGTACTAAATATTAAGGGACTTGACAAAGCCGATAAAGCAGCCAATAAATTTAAACTACCACCTGCGTTTTCACTCTACAAGGAAGATTTTTTTTTTTTGTTCTGGTTTTAACTCATTTCCTGCTTTGGCATTGTTGATGTTTTAAATAAAGAAATAAGTTCATAATCTCTGGAAATTGCCATATGATTGGAAAAGAAAATGAAATTACATGATTTTCCAAAAGCAGGTTTATGAAAAGAAAATCTTTAATGAAACCTAGAAGTCTTGCTTTTTCTTCTTCTTACCCTTCCTTCCTTTTGCATTTTATAATGAAGTTTTTGTTTTGTTCACTACATAGACCACGTTTTATCTTCAATCATGTTTGATTTGGGAATATCCTCTTGCATTTGTATAAATGAAAATGGTATAATGAGCTGACCTACTATTTTCAATGATAAAGGATGTCACACAAAATAAATGACTTTTTTCATTTGCATATTCACTTACATTGGTAGAAGAAGCAGCTTTCTAAATCCTAAAGATAGCAGTAGTCTATCATTTAAATTGGACTCCAGTATACATAACCAAATCAATTCATATCTGAAAAAGAAATATAATCTACTTTTATTAGTAATTTGTATGTACATGTGCATACATTCATACTTTTTCATTTATAATATTCATATTTCCCTGTGTTCTACAAGTTTCTTGTTTTTAAAAGTGTAATAAAATTCAAAAGCGAGAGAAATGTTTACTTAACTGAAGACATGGCTAAAATGTACACTCTTAAAAGTTTAAAGTGGATAAGAAGGAAAGGAAAAACATAAGCAAGAAATAGTCCTCTAGATAGTAGTTTAGTATTAGGTTCTAATTTTCAAATAAATAACTGAGGCAAAATTGTTACTAAAACTGGATGCCTAAAAACAAAGATACAGTTACTGCAAATAATGTGATTGTTCTGGCTTTTTCACCACTAAGACTCCATAGCTTTAGGAGTCACTGGGAAATATGCTTGTAAAAAGCTTTAAAAAATCCTACTCTGCCAAAAGTGGTGACTCATAGCTATAATCCCAGCACTCTGGGAGGCTGAGGCAAGAGGACGGTGGCTGGCTTGAGGTCAACAGTTTGAGACAAGCTCCTGCAACAAAGCAGACTCCCGTCTCCACAAAATAAAAATAATTAGTCAGGCATGCTGGCGTACACCTGTAGTCCCAACTACTTGGGAGGCTGAGGTGGGAGGATCACTGCAGCCCAGCAGTTCCAGGCTGCAGTGAGCTATGATTGTGCCCCCGTACTCCAGCCTGGGTAACAAGCAAGTTCTTTCTCCAAAAATTCCCTACTCTATTACATTGAACAAATTTCAAATGTCTAGATAACAACAAAAAAGAGTTTAATCACACTCATTCCAAAAGTTACATTCTTTAGAAACTTTCTAAAAGTCACTTTTCAAAAGTTATTTGGCATTAAAAACATTCAATTTAGTTAAAATATAAATTCTATAATAAAGTTTCTTTGGACTAGTACTCTTTTCTGATACACATGAAAATTTAAGATAATTTTAAAGCAATGATGAGTTGTTGAATAGTTGCTATCTAATCTGCACTCAAATATTTTTAAGATAAATTTATTCTGACAGTGAGAATATTAAAAATAATATTGAGAATAATTTATTTTTGCCTCATTTTCCATTATAACAATTTAGTACAAATAACATATTAATATATACTTTAACAAATAGGCATGGCCTTCTACAATTCTAAACTGATCCTTCTCTATTTGCAACCCCCCAAATCATCAGATTCTTAAGAAGAGTCACTGCAAATACTGACAAATAAGTTTAAAGAAATATAATCCAGCATTACTTTTATCAATACTTACAGAAAATACAGATAAGAGGTTGTTGAGGTCTTCAACTATATGATGGTGAATTTATCAATTTTGCTTCATGTATTTGTAGCCTTTGATAGTTGGTATGTATAATACTTAGGAGTATTAAGTCTTCTGGTAGGTTAATCTTTATATAAAATTCCTATTATTGATTTAATTTATTTTTAAGTCTACTTACATAAAACTGCCTTTTTAATTAATGATTTAAATAATCTTATCTTCTTCCATGATTTTACTTTCAACATACCTATATGTTTACATTTGAAGTGAGTTTCTTTTTAAGCAGAATACAATTGAGTCACTTTTTAAATTCAGCTCTAGAAATCTCTGTTTTAGGTCATATTTAGACCCATTACATTCAAGGTAATGATTGATATGTTAGCACTTAATTCTGCTACTTATTTGCCACATATTTTAGCATATTTTAATTATATTTATCTGCCAGTGCTTGGTATTTACAGAAGTAGTTAAATGAATGGGCAACGAGTATTCACTAGAACTCTACATTATGTGGCAAGAAGTTCAAGGAAAAAAGTTTCATAGAAATAGTTTAATACTTTCTTGTGGCTAGTAAAAACATGAGTCTTCAGATAAAATGACCTAGTAAGTTAAAAATGAAATGATTAAAAAAAGATCTATCTCAAATACACTTTCATCGTATTTTATAACCCCAAGAATAAAGAGAAGATCCTAAAAGCTTCCAGAAAACAAAAACAGCACACCCTAAAAGAATTACAATAAGAAAAGCATCATATTTATCAACAATAAACTGGATATTAGAAGACAATTGAAAGTATCCTCAAATTTTTGAGAGAAAATTATTTTCTATCTGAGATTTTATACCACGCAAAACTAGTATTCAAATGTGAGGATAAAATGTATTTCAGACATGAAAGGACTCAAAGTTTACCTCCCATTCACTGTTCCTTCAGATGTTTCTTGAGAAGCACAAGCAAAATGAAGAGGACAAAAGACAAAGGATGGGGCAAGAAATATTTTCTTATTAATAGGAGGAAATCTGACTTAATTATAGTCTTGAAATCATCTGGCTCTGAGGCAATCTCACAATAAACTGGAAAATAAAAATCACCATCACTATCAAGCAAGAGGGACTACTCAGAAAGAGGAATCAAATTTTCACTACTCTGAATGGGCGATTCCAAGAACCTAGCTAATTTTTATAAATCTGAGTACCATCACATCTAAAATTCTAAAATCATTTGTGTTTTTGCCCATTGGCAGGGAAACACTCCTCCCTTGGGCAATTCCTTATATTATCATATCTATTATTATAATATCAACGTCTACCGAGACATTGATTCTATGAAATCCTGCCTTTTCTCTCATAAATGGAAGCATTCTGTCATGCTGTGTCACAGATGAGGAACTTAGGGATTCAGGTCTTTTAAAATCCATTCTATTTTCAGAATAATGATCTTTTTAGATAACGTATGTATCAGATATTAATTTAAACACAAACATACTAATGCAACAGTTGTGTATACATAGTCCTCATAGACTGAAGAAAGTACACTTGAAACTTTCCTGCTTGTTTGTCATGTTAGCAAACAGTCTTTTTCACTGGAAATAAAGACAAGTTCATTAGAAGATTTATCCCATCAGACGAGGATTTCCATATACACTACCCATCAAACAACAGATGGACATTCTTTGAACTCCAAGCCTTGGACATGCACTTCCTTATGCCCTCAGGCATAAGGAAGTTTATTTTAAACATTCTACTTATTTTTAAATACTCTATCTAGCATGACTTAAATTAGCTAAAGAGGTTGTTTGCCATTCATTTTTTATTCTCTTATCAGGCAGTTTTGAAGATACAAGAAAGCTGTATCCACAGCAATTGTTAAATATACAGTATAATTCTTCAGAAAAATCATTTAGGCCTGGTGATTTCTGGATGGGCTACCTACTGTCAGCTGTACAACTTGCAGTTTAGTCCAATTTATTAGTTAGAGCCATTTCCCAGAATAGAGCCACAAGTCACTGTGCTAAGTGAAGAGTTAACTGGGCTGCTCTCATAAATGCTAATGTAGGGGGCACAGTTATAGGACATTATGCTGAAAATAGAGGCTCTTAAGGGTCTTTAAGTATGTAAATTAGAAAACAGGAATGATACAGTGATATAGAGGCTTGTTTGTTCTTCCATGCGAACTGCACTTCATGGAGAGTAGATATTTAGTTTAGGCATAATGTATATAAACAACCTCCCTATGGAGTCCTCAAAGAAACATACAAAAATTAGAGCTTGCAAAATAGAAGCTTTATTTTTTCCAAAGTCAAGTATATTTATGCCTCTCTGTTTTCATATGTGGGACGTTTAATACTGCACTTTTGAGAAACTTATTTATCCATTTTTTTTGAAGGGAAGATATTGGTAGGTATTACCTCTGCCTTAAATGAAGTCATTGAAACCATTTCCATTTGGTCTTAAATATAAGGTTTTAAAATGAATTCATTTATTTTAGATGTGTCACTTTTATTGTGAATCTGTGTTATCAATAACTTATAAGCAATAAAAATGAGAAGCAGAGTTTAGTAGCATTTGGCATAATTTAGTAGCAACACTTGGTAGAGCTACCTGTATGCCAAATTGGGACTCCACTTATTTCATTACAATAATGAGGTCTGTGGACACCTACAATTATTTTTCTTTTTTTGAATAAGATAATCCATGGTAGTGAGTTATCTCAATTGATTGTTCAGTCAGTTACAGATTGAACTCTTTTCTACTCTTTTTCCATGCTCACTACTTCACTGGACTAGTCTTAAACAAATAAATATCATGCTGTAACTGATATAGACAGGACTTGTCCAGATTTCCTTAAATATTTTTTTCCCATTTCTGTGCATACCTCCTTCAACTTTGGTGTGCTTTCATTTCCAATGACCTGCATCTAATGTCTTCAGAAAACTTCCCTTGGTTAGCCAATGATGGATGAATCATGGTTGTAAAGCCATTATCCTTACCTCAATTTGGGAAAATTTGTGAAAAACAATTTACTCCCCGTAGAACATTGTCACTGTCTTAGCATATATCTCCTGGTAAATTTCTAGCAACTTTACTTCTGTCCAGATTTTTAAATATTATATTCCATTCCACCAGAAGATACTATGTCTCCATCTTTACCTGTTTTCCTTCTCACTTATCAGGCATTTCCAGACTAAACCTAGACCAATGTTTCTGAATTTTGGCTGCATTTTGAAATCACCTGGGGAACATTATTTCTCCTTTTTTAAAATCAGTCTCTCTCTCTCTTTCTTTCTCTCTTTGACCTTGTACACTGCTAAGCTATATATTGAGCACATCCAGTTATATTTAAGGTGGTTCTGTTAGTCCAATTTCATACTGATATAAAGAACTGCCTGAGACTGGGTAATTTCAAAAAGAAAGAGGTTTAATTGACTCACAGTGCAGCATGACTGGGGAGGCCTCAGGAAACTTACAATCATGGTGCAAGGCAAAGGGGAAGCAAGGCACCTTCTTCAAAAGGTGGCAGAAAGGAGAAGAGCTGAGCAAAGGGGGAAGAGCACCTTATAAAACCATGAGATCTCAATCATTGTGCAAAAATCACAAGCATTCTTATACACCAATAACAGACAAACATAGAGCCAAGAGTGAACTCCCATTCACAATTGCTTCAAAGAGAATAAAATACCTAGGAATCCAACTTACAAGGGACATGAAGGACCTCTTCAAGGAGAACCACAAACCACTGCTCAATGAAATAAAAGAGGATACAAACAAATGGAAGAACATTCCATGCTCATGGGTAGGAAGAATCAATATTGTGAAAATGGCCATACTGCCCAAGGTAATTTATAGATTCAATGCCATCCCCATCAAGCTAACAATGACTTTCTTCACAGAATTGGAAAAAACTACTTTAAAGTTCATATGGAACCAAAAAAGAGCCTGCATTGCCAAGTCAATCCTAAGCCAAAAGAACAAAGCTGGAGGCATCACGCTATCTCACTTCAAACTATACTCCAAGGCTACTGTAACCAAAACAGCATGGTACTGGTACCCAAACAGAGATATAAACCAATGGAACAGAACAGAGCCCTCAGAAATAATGCCACATATCTACAACTATCTGATCTTTGACAAACCTGACAAATACAGGAAATGGGGAAAGGATTCCCTATTTAATAAATGGTGCTGGGAAAACTGGTTAACCATATGTAGAAAGCTGAAACTAGATCCCTTCCTTACACCTTATACAAAAATTAATTCAAGACGGATTAAAGAGTTAAATGTTAGACCTAAAACCATAAAAACCCTAGAAGAAAACATAGGCAATACCATTCAGGACATAGGCATGGGCAAGGACTTCATATCTAAAACACCAAAAGCAATGGCAAGAAAAGCCAAAATTGACAAATGGGACCTAATTAAACTAAAGAGCTTCTGCACAGCAAAATAAACTACCATCAGAGTGAACAGGCAACCTACAGAATGGGGGAACATTTTTGCAATCTACTCATCTGACAAAGAGCTAATATCCAGAATCTACAATGAACTCAAACAAATTTACAAGAAAAAAACAAACAACCCCATCAACAAGTGGGCAAAGGATATGAACAGACATTTCTCAAAAGAAGACATTTATGCAGCCAAAAGACACATGAAAAAATGCTCATGATCACTGGCCATCAGAGAAATGCAAATCAAAACCACAATGAGATACCATCTCACACCAGTCTGAATGGCAATCATTAAAATGTCAGGAAACAACAGGTGCTGGAGAGGATGTGGAGAAATAGCAACACTTTTACACTGTTGGTGGGAGTGTAAACTAGTTCAACCATTGCGGAAGTCAGTGTGGAGATTCCTCAGGGATCTATAACTAGAAATACCATTTGACCCAGCAATCCCATTACTGGGTATATACCCAAAGGATTATAAATCATGCTGCTATAAAGACACATGCACATGTATGTTTATTGTGGCACTATTCACAATAGCAAAGACTCAAGGACAGCAAACTATCTCGAGGACAAAAAACCAAACACCACATGTTCTCACTCATAGGTGGGAATTGAACAATGAGAACACATGGACACAGGAAGGGGAACATCACACACAGGGGCCTGTTGTGGGGTGGGGGTAGAGGGGAGGGATAGCATTAGGAGATATACCTAATGTTAAATGATGAGTTAATGGGTGCAGCACACCAACATGGCACATGTATGCATATGTAACAAACCTGCACATTGTGCACATGTACCCTAAAACTTAAAGTATAATAAAAATAAATATAAATAAATAAATAAATAAAAGAAAACCATGAGATCTCATGAGAACTCAATCCATTATCACGAGTGCAGCATGGGTAAAACCACTCCCATGATTCAATTACCTCCGCCTATTCTCTCCTTTGACACATGGGGATTAAGGGGATTACAATTCAAGATAAGATTTGAGTCGGGACACAAAGCCTAACTGATAGTGACAGGAGACAGAAAGATTCATAGGCAGATAGGGACAGGTGTCCAGTGAAACCCAACCTTCAAGCCAAAGACAACGTGAAGCCTGAAAACAAAGCTTCCAGTTTTGGATAGAGTCCACTATCAGAGTGAGAACTTCTTCAATGTATTTTAACCAATCGAATGGTACTTTTTCCAAGACCACCCATTTACCAATCAGCATACACTCCGCCATTCTATGCCCACAAAAACATGGCTAGCTGCTCTTGGGTCTTCTCTCCACTGGGAGCTTTCCTTCTGTTGCTCAATAAAATTCTTCTCTGACCTACTCAGTCTCCAGTGTCCATGTGCCTTATTCTTCTTGGTCCTGGGACAAGAACCTGGAGCTTGCTGAGCTGCGGGCAGCAGGAACAAACAAGCTGTAACCCTCCCATTCGTTGAGATGAGGGTGGTGGGAATGAATGAGCTGCAACTCTCCTTTCTGCCCACCAAGGTGCAGGTGATGGGAATAAAAGAGCTGTAGCACACTCCCACTCACTGAATTGTGGGGGAGAAAAAGCCACTGAGTGCCACACCCTTCTGTTCACCGAGCTGCAAGCAGTGGGAATAAAAGGGCTTGCAACATGCTCCAACTTGCCAAGTTACAGGAGTGAAGAGCTGCAACATTTCTTGGGAGTTCAGACCTCAAGACTCCCCAAGTAAGAGCTGCAACATCCCTTGGGACCCGGGCTGCTTGCATCTCTGAGTTTTTGGATTCTACCACGTTCTCTTTGTCTAGATGCTGGCACCCAATGCAGAAGCCACTTTTGGCATGCCCAGTCCAGCCACAGGCTGGACACAGAGCCACAACAAATGTGGGATTCAGGCCAGTAGCATGAGCCAAGCACAGACTGCTTGGCTGAGTGGGCAGAGTGAACCTGGCAAGCCCTAGCGAAGCCCCAGGCATAGGTCATGTCAGTCACAGAAATTTACAGCTGATGTAGTGGCACCAAAGGAATCCTGTAACACTGTAACCCTCCCTCCCACCTGCCAAGCAACAGAGGAGAAAAAGCCGCTGGGTGCCATTCCTTCCTGCCCGCTGAACTACAAAAGCTGCAACGTTTCTGGGGACTCGTCAGGATAGTCAGAAGGGTTGGTAAGAGCGTACCGCTTTCATTTTCATTTTTGAGGTTTCTCGTCCTCAGATTTTTTTCTGAAAACAGATGAAGCACTGGGCTTCTGTCAGCCGGTTAAGAGCAAATAGCGCATCTGCCAGTTCTACAAGATTCAGAGGACAGGCTTGCTGGGGAGGACTTTGTCAATCCCCATTGCCCTCAGATGCTGGGAATGCTGGTTTTGTTCCAAAGCAGTTTCCCTTCACAGAGGTCTAACCATCGTGTGGGACTGGAAGGAGTTCCTGCAGCAATTTAGGGTGTATGGCGGAGGCTACACCCCAGTGTTACCCAAAGGCCGCTAGACTGACTCCAGTCTCTGATAGCCCGTTAGCGTGTCAGCCCTAGGACCTCCAGACTTTCCTAACACATTTTCTTTCTTTCCTTTGCAGCCGTCGTGGCTCCTATCTCTTCTTTATATACACTGTTAAGGGTGTTGTTTCAAACCGCAGAGATGATATAACTGGTTAGAATGAGCTCTTGGCTCAGTCATCAAGAATATAATTTAGAATAATCTGGTTTCTGTCTAAGAACCAAGGAGGATGTAACTATTGAGAGTTTTCTTTCTCCTATTGAAGAAATCCATTAGCATAGAGCAAGAGGCTACTTTCTCTGGGCACCTTCCCCTCCATGCATTTAAGTCTGTTGTTTTGTTTTTCCACCATGTCAAGAGTTAACATAGTCCTGTGAATACAGGGAGTTTTCCATGCAAGGGATTTTTTCCTCTTGGGAGGCATCTTATTAGCACAGGTCCCCAATTTCTAGGACTCCCTTCATTTTCCTTGTTTGAGGAGAATCTGGCTCCACAGCTTCACTTTAGTATTACTCCAGTGTGTTTTCCAAGCTTTGGATTGGAGCCCTAAAAAAAAAAAAGCTAGATCTGAGTGACCTAGAGACAGTCAACAGCAGAAGGCTAGGGTGCAGCACAGGTAAGCAGGACTACCCCTGCCAACTAGGCCTTCCTGCTTCATGGGTGGAGAATTTGCTCTCATCCATGGCATAGATGAAGCTTAGGAACACACAGATTAAGGACAGTGGAAGGCTAGGGCATGGCATAGGTTAAGTGCAACTATCCCTACTGACAAGTCCTTCCCATTTCATGGGTAGACATCACACTCACATCCATGGGTGGTGCCTTTAGTAGCCACCAGGACTCAGGGAAGGAAAGGAGGGAAGAAAGAAAAAGACGACTTTTTTTTTTCTTTCCCTCACATACCCCAGGTTTTTGCTGGAAGCCAGGAACTAAGGGATGCCTTTTCCCCTCTCTTTCAGATGAATAACAAACTACCTTCAGCCTGCACTCCTCTTGAGAGCATCCTGAATCACTGGGACTCCTTTGACCCTCAGACTCTGGAAAAACAGAAACCACCTCATATTCCTTTGCACAAGGGTTTGGATGGATTATGTACTACAGGAAGGAAGGCGTCCAGAAGGAAACGTTAGTTTTAATACTATCCTGCAGCTGGACCTTTTCTGTAAATGTGAGGGCAAAGATCCAAGGTCTCACATGTGCAGGCTTTCTTTTCCTTGAAAGATAAACTGGACCTTTACCAACATTGTAGGATTGTTTCAGTCCTCCTGGTGGCCATGTCAGGAGTGGCTGCAAAGGATAATCCCAAGGGATAAGGGAGGCAAATCCCAGATGTGTCTCTAGTGGGGGAGTTGGCTCCCTCCAGTCCTGCTTCTCCTGGTCCATCCAGTCTTCCATATCCAGGTTTTTTCTCAAGCTTGCGCCATCCTAGAAATCCTCATTTTAGGCAGGTCCCAGTCTCACTTCTTCCCCTACAAGAGATGACTTTGAATATTGCCCCATTAAGATCCAGGTTCCATTTTCTCTATGGGACTTAAGGCAAATTAAGGAAAGCCTTGGTAAGTTTTCAGACGACCCTTACAGGTATATAGAGGCTTTCCGGAATTTAACCCACGTATTTGAAGTTTCGTGGAAGGATTCTATGTTACTATGGAATCAAACCCTGACTACCACTGAAAAGCAGGCATCCCTAAAAGTGACAGAGAATTTTGGGGATGAGCTTTGTATGTCATATAGTGCCAAGGAATGAGATGAGCCTTATCCAATTGGAAGAATAGCAGTACCATTGGAGGACCCTAAATGGGACCCCGATGATGAAATAGGAGAATGGAAGAGGAAATTCTTTTAGGTGTGCATATTGGAGGGCTTACAAGGGACTGGAACTAAGCCTCTCAATTACTCCAGACTATCCATGATAGGCCATGGATCAGATGAGAATCCCAATGCCTTCCTGGAAAGGCTAAGAGAGGCCTTGATAAAGCACACCTCTGTATCTGCTGATTCAGTCGAGGGACAACTAATCCTAAATAATAAGTGTATTACTCAGGTGGCCACTAATAGCAGGAGGAAGCTACATAAACTGGCCGTGGAACCAGATAGTACTTTAGAGAACATCCTGAAAGTGACCACCTTGGTCCTTTACAATAGGGATGGGGAGGAAGCCCAAGAGACAGAGGAGACACAAGAAAAAGGCAGAGGCTCTAATAGCTGCCTTGTAGGCTCATGAACCCCAGAATCCCTGAGAGGTACTTGTTAACTGCTATAAATGTGGCAAGCCAGGTCACTTTAGGACAGCCCAGGCAGCCTGTGGAAGCCACCTTGATCCTGTCCAGTCTGTGATGGGGACCACTAGAGGGTAGACAGTCCCCAGAGATGCAGGTCACCAGGTCCAGAGCCAGTCTCCCAAATGATCCAGCAGGATGGACGGGTCCTGCAGCTCCTCTCCCTGGCTCTGATGGTTCAGAATGCCATTACCATCCAGGAGCCTGGCTGATTCTGGAGGTTGCAGGGAGGAAAGTGGACATCTGCCTCAATACCAGAGTGTCCATTTCTGTTCTCCTCTCCAGTCTGGGCCTCCCCTCCTCCCTTATCATGACTGTGAGGGGTGTCTCAGGAAAGCTTCTAACCCAATATTTTTCCCCCTTACTTGTAGTTGGGGAGACCTCTTGTTTACCCATGACTTTTTAATCATGCCTGAAAGCCCAGCACCTCTGCTGGGCACGGATATCTTAGCTCGTATGGGAACCACCATCTTTATGGCTCCAGGACACATTCTGTCTCCCCAGATGGAGACCAATCTGAATCCAGAAGTTTGGGTAACTAACTCTAGGGAAAACCGGCCAAGCCACAACTGTCATACTGGTCTGGATCCACCTTAAAGATCACACTTCCTTCCCTAACCAGAAACAATATCACCTAAAACCAGAAGTTATAAAAGGGCTAGAAGCCCACCATTGAGAACTTGAGGATGCAGGGCCTCCTCAAACCCTGAAACAGCCCTTGTTATACCCTAATATCGGGGGTGCAAAAACCCAATGGGCAATTGAAACTGGTCCAGGACCTCTGCATCATTAATGGGGCTGTGGTTCCAATTCACCTAGTGGTTCCCAATCCATATACGCTGCTGTTACTTGAATACCTGAGGTATCTAAATGGTTCACAGTCCTGGACCTAAAGGATGCCTTTTTCTACATGCCACTATTGCCTGACTCCCAATATTTGTTTGCATTCAAGGATCCCTCTAACCAGACCACCCAGATAACCTGGATGGTGTTACCTCAGGGATTCCAAGACAGCCCCCACCTGTTTGGGCAAGCATTCTCAAAATATCTCTCTGAGTTCCTTTATCCTCATGTTAAAGTTTTACAATATGTAGATGACATTCTCCTTTGTGCCCTAATTGAGGAAATCTCTCAGGAGGGCAGTAAGGCTTTTCTTAATTTTCTGACTAACAGAGGATGTAAGGTCTCAAAATCTAAGGCTCAGCTCTGTCAGGCTTCAGTAAAGTACCTAGGTCTGCTCTTATCAGAAGGGACCAGGGCATTGGGCAAAGAAAGGATTAAGCCCATCTCCTCCTTCCCTCTACCCAAAATGCTCAAGCAACTGAGGGGATTCTTAGGCATTACAGGATTCTGTAGATTATGGATACCTGGGTACGATGAGATAGCGCATCCCTTATATCACCTAATAAAGGAGATTCAGGCAGCTAAGACTCACTCCCTAATTTGGGAACCAGAGGCTAAAAGAGCTTTTGGCCAGTTGAAACAAGCCTTGCTTGAGGCATCAGCCCTTCCCATAGGGAAGACTTCCAATCTTTATGTATCAGAAAAGAAGGAAATGGCCCTGGGAGTTCTAAACAAGGACCGGGGTCCCACCCAGCAACCTGTAGGGTACCTAAGCAAGGAACTTGATTTGGTAGCTAAAGGATGGCCACCCTGCCTCTGAGCAGTTGCAGCAGTAGTCTTGCTGGTACCAGAGGCTACTAAGTTAACCATGGGGAATAACTTGACTGTTTATACCCCTACGTAATGTGGCAGGACAACTGCCTTCTAAGGGGAGTCTCTGGCTAATGGAAAGCCACCTCTTCAAATATCAAGCTCTGCTATTAGAGGGATCTGCAGTCCAATTGAGAATCTGTCCCTCCCTACACGCAGCTACCTTCTTCCCAGAGGAAGCTGTGGAGCTTGAAAATGGCTGAAAACAGATAGTAGTGCAAACCTATGAGGCCCGAGTGGACCTCAAAGAAACCCCCTTAGACAACCCAGATTGTATTCTGTTTATGAATGAAAGTTCTTTTGCAGAACAAGAGATCCGTAAAGCAGGGTATGCAATATGCACCCTGAATGACACTATTGAGAGCATGCCTTTCTCCTCGGGTAGAAGTGCTCAACTAGCTGAGCTAATTGCCCTCACAAGAGTGCTTAAATTAAGCCAGGGGAAAGCAGTTAATATTTATACTGATTCTAACTATTCTTTCCTAGTCCTCCATGCTCATGTCATTATCTATAAAGAGAAAGACTCTCTTCCATGGGAAGTGGCAGTAATACACTGTAAAGGCCACCAAAAGGAGATGAATGAAATAGCTGCAGGAAGTAAGTTAGCAGACCAAGCAGCTAAATCAGAAGGGAGAGGGCCTCAGATTTCTGATACACTTGAGGGCTTTCTGATCTGGGATGGCTCCATAAGAGAAATAAAACCTCAATATTTTCCTGCAGAAGTAGAACGGGCCACCTTTCAGGGATATACCTGTCAGTCCTCAGGATAGCTACAATTGGAGGACAGAAAACTTCTTCTACCAGCTTTCAGCCAATGGAAAGTTCTTAAAACCCTTCACCAAGCCTTTTACCAAGGCAAGGATAAAAGCTATCAAATCTGCTAAAAATGGTCCAACATGTCATTAATGCTTGTGAGACTTGCCTTAAAAATAATCCCCTTAATAGATGGCTTCTCCCCTCTGGAACCCAAAGAATGGGAGTCTGTCTGGGGAAGTCTGGCATTCAGACTGGATTTAACCCATATGTCAAAGATAAGGGGCATCCAGTACCTCCTAGTATGGGTAGATATCTTCACTAACTGGCCCGAGTTTCCATATCAAACAGAGAAGGCTTCTCAGGTGATAAAAGTACTAATTAATGAGATAACTCCTTGCTTTGGACTCCCTCAGTACCTCTAGAGAGATAACAGTTCTGAGTTCAGTGTGGCTGTCATCAGGGGTTCTCAAAGGCACTAGGCATTCAATGTCATCTTCATTGTGCTTGGAGACCATGATCCTCAGGAAAGGTAGAAAAGGCAAATGATATTATCAAAAGGCATCTCAGAAAACTGTCTCAAGAGACTTGTCTCCCCTGGATTACTCTTCTTCACATAGCCCTACTACGTGTTAGAAACACTCCTCCTAAGCTGGGTTTAAGACCCTTTGAAATGATGTGTGGATGGCTTTTTCACCCCAATTATTTCTTGCTAGACAAAGAAATCTCTGATTTGATTAAACATGTAATTTCTTTGGCCCATTTTCAACAGGAACTGAAACAACTGTTGGAGGCTCAGCCCAATGAACTAGGGTAAACTCTATTCAACCCAGGGGGCTTATTACTGGTAAAGGCACACCCTTCCCCTTCTCCTGTTCTAGGCCTGGATTGGGAAGGACCTTACACTGTACTTCTTTGTACTCCAGTAAAGATCACTGGAATAGATTATTGGATTCATTACACTCGAGTAAAGGCCTGGGAAACTGACAGAATTACCTCTGTCGATCCAGAAGAGCACCCAAAGCACCAGTGTGAAGAAATCGGAGACCGTAAGCTAAAAATCACAAAATGTAAGTATCAATTAGCCTTCCATGGATATCCTCTTTATAATCTCACCTATGCTTGCTGTTATCACCTTCATTCTGTTCTTCACCATAAGACACCTTTGCCAAGGACCCCTTAATCCTGAATGCCCATGGGATTATCTACTCCCCTAAACAGCTATCTATTTTCTAAAGTTTAACTGCCCTCCCCCATACAAGACTTAATTCCTTCCACCAGGGTGAAACAGCTCTGGCCACAACATTGTTTTCAGAATTATTAGTCTATTTTACTTACTATTTTTGTTATCTCTGGTACTAGATTTTTCTCTTTTAGCTCCTTTTTGTATAATACTCATATTTGGCCCATGCATATTTAACCACCTTGTGAAACTTGTTTCTTCTCATCTAGAGGCCATCAAATTCCAAATGTTCATGCAAATGGATCCTAGGACAATGGCTCCCTTTTACTGTGGACCCTTAGATTGGCCTCTGAGAGAGATCTGACTGCCATTTTCCCAAAACAATGCCCCCTGTCAGCATGAAGCAGTTAAGAGCAGTCATAGCCCCTATCCAAACAGCAGTTAGATATACCTCTTCAGAGCAGGGATAGAAAGTGACAGGAGACAGACGAATTCCTAGGAAGACAAGGACAAGTGCCTGATGAAACCCAGCCTTCAAGCCAAAGACAGCTAGAAGCCTGAATTGTGAGCTGTTGGTTCTGGATAGAGTCCACATCAGAGTAAGAACTTCCTTGATGCTTTTTAACCAATCAAGTTATGGTTTTTCCAAGACCACCCATGGACCAATAAGCACACACTCCTCCATTCTGGGCCCACAAAAACCCCAGACTCAGACACAGAGACAACTACCTCTCTTAGGTCCCACTCCACCGACAGCTTTCCTTCTGTCACTCAATAGAATTGTTCTTTGCCCTACTCACTCTTTGGTGTCTGTGTACCTCAATCCTCTTGATCATGGGACAAGAACTCAGGTGAGCTGGGGGTGGGGGGAACGAACAAACTGTAACTCTCCCTTCTGTCCACCCAGCTGTGGGCAATGGGAATAAAAGAGCCATAGCATGCTCCTGCTCACCGAATGGTGGGGGTAAAAAAGCTGCTGAGTGCCACACACTTCTGCTCACTGAGCTGTAAGTAGTGGGAATAAAAGGGCTTGTAACTTGCTCCTGCTCATCAAGCCACAGGATTAAAGAGCTGCCACATTTATTGGGAGCTCAGACTTAGGGACTCCTCAAGCAAGAGCTGCAGCTTCCCTTGGGGCTTCACAGTTGCTCGCATTTCTGAGTTTTCAGGCGCCACCGCGTTCCCCTCATCTAGATGCTGGTGCCCAATGCGGAAGCCACTTTCAGCATGCTGGGTCCAGCTGCAGGCTGAACACGAAGCCACGGCGGTATGGGATCCAGGCCAGTAGCCCAAGCCAAGCGCAACCTGCTGGACTGAGTGGGCAGAGCAAGCCCAGCAAGCCTGAATTAAGCCCCAGGCAGAGGGCACAGAGGCCACGGAGACTTCAGGCTGGCAAAGCAGCATCAAAGGAATACTGGAACATGGTTACCCTCCCTCCTGTTCACCGACCAATGGGAGAAAAAACGTCGCTGGGCACTATTCCCTCCCACTCACTGAACAACAAAAGCTGCAACATAACCATATCAGTGGTGATATCTTTTTGCATTGGCCCTTTTGTCGCTATGAATTTTCCGTCTTTAATTCTATAAATGCTTTATCTGCTAAAGTCTACTTTATCTTATATTACTGTAGTTTTACCAGAATTCTTTTGAATAAGGTTTGCATGGCGTCTCTTTGTCCTTGCTTTTATTTTCAACCTTTAGGTAGCTTTATATTTAAAGCATATTCCATGGAAAAAGCATTTGCTAGACTGTTTTTATTTTTAATCTAGAGGGAAAACGTTAGTATTTTATTTGTAGTATTTATTTTATGTATACCTTATATAATTATTAATATAGATGATTTACACTTATTATCTTACTATTTGATTTTATTTGGACCTTGTGATTTATGCCACCTTTCCCTTTCTTTTTTGCCTTCATTTTAATTAATCATAACCATTGTTGTACATTTTTTCATTAACTTCTTTTAACTTTTATTTTAATATAATTTTAGATTAACATGCAATTGTAAGAAATAACAGATAGAGAACCCATCATATTTTTCACTCAATTAGCCCAAATGATAACATTCTGTATTACCATAGTACTGTATCACAACCATAAAATTAATGTTGATACAGCCCTTAAACTTTATTCAGATTTCACCACTTACATGGACTCCTTTGTGTATTTGTCAATACAGTTTTATCTTGTGTGTATATCATGTGACCATCACTACAGTCAAGATACACAAACAGAATCATAGAATATGTAATATTTTGGAAACAGTTTTTTTTCCATTCAGTATAATTCCCTAGGTATTCATCCAAGTTACTGTGTGTATCAATAGTTTATTTATTTTCATTGCTGAATAATAGTCTATGGTATGTATATACCAGTTTGGTTCATTGTTCACTTATTAAAGGATATCTGGGCTGATTTTAGTTTTCATTTATTGCAAATAAAACTGCCATGAACATTAATGTACACATATGCTTTCATTTCTTTAGGATAAATGCCTGGGAGTACAATTGCTTTATTGTAGGTAGTTGCATATGTCCTGCAATGATACCTCTGTACAATGAGGTAGTACTACTCAGCAATAAAAAGACACAAACCAGACTGGAAAGGAGCCCAGTCTCCTACATTTATACATTGTATGACTCCATTTATATTCTCAAAAAGACAGAACAAAAGTGATGAAGAATGAATAAGTGGTTTTCAGGGACTGGAGTTGGTGAGAAGCTGGGGTAAGATGCAACATCTTGAAGTGACGGAAGTGTTTTATATATTGATTGTAGTGGCAGTTACATGTCTGTATATGCCTGGCACAGCTTGCAGAATCATACACTATAAAGGGTAAATTCTGTTGTATGTAAGTAATTCTCAATTAAAAAATACAAGTAAAAATCACATGTCTGATACTCTATCTGGAAATTTTAAGCTGCAGTTGGAACAAGGGCTTTATTTTTAATTTTTTCTTTTGAAATAATTATATATTCATAGTAAGATGCAAAAAAATTACAGGGAGGTCCTATGCACTTTTCATGCAGTTTTCCCCAATGGTAACATCTTACATCACTATAGTGTTTTATCAAAACCCGGGAATTGACATTGGTGCAATCCACAAAGCTTATATAAATTTCATCTGTTTAACATGCATTCATTTGTATGTGCCTGTCTGTGTTTAGTTCTATGCAATTTTATGAACTATTTATATTCATGTAGACACCACCACAATCAAGATACAGAACTGTTCCCTTACCACAATGATCCATTGTGCTACTCCATGTAGCCACACCCATTCCTTCCCCTTACTCCTAACAACTGGCAGTCAATCTGCTGTCCATCTTTATAATTTTGTTATTTCAGGAATCTTATATAAATGGAATAATACAGTATGTAGTTATGACTTTTAAAAAATACTCTCCAGTTAATTCTAATGCACTATCAAAGTTTGAGAACCAGCACATAATCTAAACCTTTTCATTTTATTTAATTAGTTACTTTATCTTAAAAAATTTATCTTCCTTTTGGGTCTGGGTTAAGGACACTAATGGCTTAATTAGTTATATTATATTTTGCTGCTAGGTTTTTTTTCCTTCCCACTATTCAAAGTCCGTAGTATCAGAGAAGCTTTTATCTCAAGCAAAAGACATCTGCTAAACAACAAGGATTTGATATTCAATTTACTGAATGAATAAACACATGTCTTTCCTCATAGTTTGGATTATTTCCTTTGAATATGCTCCCATAAATAGCAAGTGAGTCAAAGAATATGTATACATAATTTTTAAAATTGTGGTAAGAACACCTAACTTGAGACCTACCCTCTTCATTAAATTTTAAGTACACAATACAGTACTGTTAAGGATGGGCACAATGTTGCATAGCAGACCTCTAGAACTTATTCATCTGACAAAACTGAAACTTTACACCCACTGAACAGCAACTCCTCCCATTTCCCCTTTGTCTCCAGCAAACAGGACTTTCTAAAGATTGAATTACAGCTGTCATCAAGAGTGAATTGGTAATGCCCATCTCCAACAGCCCAACTTCTCCACCTACCTTACAAAAACTATATTTTAAATCACTTTTAATTCATTATTAATTTGATGACCAGGATTGACATCTTATTTTCATTTTATTTTGTCATTAATTTAATGTGTATTTCTAGTTTTTGAATCATGAGTTTATGCTTTCAACTATTTATCTATTTGGATTCTTAATTTTTAGTAAATATACAAGTATAGTTTATTTATTAAGAATGTTAATAACTTCCCTGCAATGTATCTAGTAAATATCCTCTCTTTCCACCTCTAGTTAAGATTCTATTACCTTGTAATTAAATTATCTTGTTAGTTAAAGCACAGGCAAAATATAATTTTAATAAAATTAAAACAAATTTCTTGACGACTCTAAGATACTATACTCACATTGGCTATACATACACAATAAAGAACAGAGAGACACAAATATGATATTAACTAGATGTGTTTTTAGTGAACACACACACATATGTTTTTAATAGTGTAATATAATTAATCAAAATCCAGTTTGTTCCCCAGAGGTGGGAAAGTTTCCATCATATATGCAATATTGTCTGTTTACATTTGTCTTCCAGGGGATAAAGAGTAAAGGGAGGTAATTTCTTACTGCCCTCAATTAACCAATACTGAGTGAGTACTAATATCAGTATCAATGAAGGCTTTAAAAAGATTGCTAGCATCGTGGTAACCTGCCTTTTACTGTAATAAACTGTTTTACTTCAAAGGCAGTGACACACATTTAAAGTATCAGGAGGAATGAGATCTAATTTTTTTAATGTTGGAAAACAAAAGTGTTTTCCCCTCCACTTTTACACCAATACTGAAACCATAAAACTTTCCAATATTTTCTACATATATATATTAATTTTAAAGTTCCAGGGTACATGTGCAGGATGTGCAGGTTTGTTACATAGGTAAACATGTGCCATGGTGGTTTGCTGCACCTATAAACCCATCACATAGGTATTAAGCCCAGCATGCATTAACTATTTTTCTTAATGCTCTCCTTCCCCCCACCCCACCCCCATCAGATCCCAATATGATATATTTTAACAAAGAAATTTAAATCTCTTATTTTTTCTCCTCCAGTAGTTAAATATTTTTATCAAGTTCATTTCTTATCAGGGTAGATTATAAGACCATTCAAGAGCTTTTGATATCTTCTGGAGACATTCACATTCCACAAGTCAGTTGATCTCTGTAGCCATTGGTTCCTGTGATGGTTAATATTAGGTGACAACCTGACTGGATTCAAGGATGTCCAGATGTCTGGTAGAACATTGTTTCTGGGTGTGTTTGTGAGGGTGTTGCCAGAGTAGACTGACATTTGAGTCTGTGGACTGGGAGAGGAAAATCCACCCTCAATTTGGGTGGGCACCATCCAATTGGCCACCAGCGAGGTTAGAACCAAGCAGGTGGAAGAAGGGGGATATGCTGTTTGCTTGTTGAGTCTTCTTGCTCGCTCTGTCTTCCTGTGCCAGATGCTTGCTTCCTCTCCTCCTGCTCTTGGACATCAGACTCCAGGATCTTTGGCTTTTGAACTCTGGAACTTGTACCAGAGGCCTCGTGAGGCCTTTAGGCTTAGACTGAGGGCTGAACTGTTGGCTTTCTTTGTTTTGAGGTTTCCAAACTTAGACTGAGCCACTAATGGCTTCTTTCTTCCCCAGCTTGCAGACAGACTGTTGTGGGACTTTGCCTTGTAATTGTGTGAACCAATTCTACCTAATAAACTGCCTTTTATATGTACATATATACTATTGGTTGTGTTCTGCTGGAGGACTCTGGCTAATACAGTTCTCACATCTGCATATGAAGGTCTTGTTCTAGATTTTGAAAAGTTCACTTCCACTACTTCTGGTCTCTAAGGTTCTATAAGATAAACCAAAATCATTGAGTTTTAAATTATACTTTTATGTAAAACAAATTATTTTCTTCTAATTCTTCATAATTTGTTGAACTCCTGGTGCTGAAGATATACAGGTAAACAAGGCAGAGCTGGGTACTGCCTTTAGGAGCTCATATTCTTGTTTTACTAAGACAATAAACAAGTGATTACCAGGGTCTGCTGTGGTGTTATGTAAGTAATATACTAGAGGCCATGGAAACAGACACTATGGTTAATTTAAGCCACATTCTAGGAGCAGTCTGTGTCTTAATCAAGAATTCACGCTCTCTAATTAAATAAAGAGATGGGAGAATGTAAAGAAAATAGATCTGGGATTATTTCCATTTTTTTTGTAAAATAATTTTGAATTTATTGTTGATTATTCTGTTTAGTGTCTCTTTTAGAAGAATTCAGTTAACAAATCTCTCTTAGAGATTGGTATTCGAGAAAATGTAATTTTCTCTACATGCTTGAATGATTCTTATTAATAATCTTATAGAATTTCTATTTTTGCCTTAGCTCCAAAGCTATTCAAAGCTAAATTTGCTGTTTCATGAAAGTAATTAGCTTACTCTTTCCTCATATAATCTACTGAGCTTTCTCTACTACCCAGTCATATTCAACTGTCATTAAAACCATTCATGCCTCTTGCAATTTGCCATTTGTAATATTAATCTAGTGGTTCAAGTTGCTTAGATCATGGTACTTGACCAGATATTTTATAAACTACATAGGGAGGCTGGCTTTATAAGTCAAGCCTGACTATGTAATGAAGAGAATTGCTCTCCTTTTGGAAGTTTTGAATAAATAGTGTAGGTAGGAGTATAGGTATATGTGAAAGGACCTACTGTATATGTAATCTCAGTTTACTTGTAAATGACTGTGTATTTTTTTTTTGTATACGGAGTCTCGCTCTGTCATCCAGGCTGGAGTGCAGTGGCACAATCTCCGCTCACTGCAAGTGCCGCCTCCCGGGTTCACGCCATTCTCCCGCCTCAGCCTCCGGAGTAGCTGGGACTACAGGCGCCCGCCACCATGTCTGGCTAATTTTTTCTGTTTTTAGTAGAGACGGGGTTTCACCGTGTTAGCCAGGATGGTCTCAATCTCCTGATCTCGTGATCTTCCTGCCTCGGCCTCCCAAAGTGCTGGGATAACATGCGTGAGCCACCACGCCCGGCCCTGACTGTGTGTCTTTATTGAGCAGAACTTGAATCCAGGAGGAAGAGCACTCCTACCCAGTCCTTCCACCCGGGCCTTCTTATCTAGACCTAGTAGCATCCATAATTTAGCCCTTAATGTTACTATTCTGTATTCAGTCATTTGAGAGTCAGTATTTTATAGTAGCTGAGGGTACAGAGGTAGGACTAACTTCCTGTGTTCTAACCCCACACTACAGGTTCCTTACCTTAGTAAGTAATCTTACTTACTGGAGCCTCAATTTCCTTTTTTAGAAATGAAATAATCGAGTGTTGCTTTGGAGTTATTTGAGACAACTCACGTGAACTATTTAGAATCATCTCAGCACACAAGAAGCATTCTGTGTGTGTTAGCTAATTGTATTTATCTGCACTCATGTAATATATATGATACCTGAAATTATTTGAAATACTTAATTGTAGATAATGTGTTATTAACTATGTAGGTGGAAGCCACAGTTGGAGCATTCAGTTGCCCTTATCAGGAATTCAGCAGAAGATGAGCTAGACACATTCCCAAGGCAGCTCTATATATAGATTCTTCAGTTATCACTTTTACTGGAGACTATCAGAGTAGTTCACTCATCAGCATAATATGTTAGAAATAGGATTTTGTTGGAAAAACTAGCATCTGTAAAGTGTTCACTAGTGATGGATTCTCACTAGTGGTTTTCAAGATGTATAGATTGGCTAAAATATTTTAGAGATAATTCCAGTTGTTCCCTAAACAGTAGTAAGAATATAGCAAACACTGTATCTTTCACTTACACCTTTGAGCATGACTCATTAAGGCTGATTTGTGTGCATTTCTTTTCCAACATTGATTCAGAATTTTCCTAATGACTTGACTTAGTAGGTTTAGCCAGATCTAATAATGGAATATTGTTACATTTGGCTCAACTAAATCTTTCATTCTTTTTTTCCTTTTTTTTTTTGGTAAACTGTGATTTTATCAAATTTTTTAAATAGGTGATATGGTTGATAGATAATATGTGTTGGTATCTGTGGCCAAATTTGTCCTGAGGCATAATTTTATTTTAACTTTTACTTATTTTAAACTGTTGACAGCTATCAATAGCTGCCCATGAGGACCCTCTGGTCATGCATAGGCATAGTGGTTTCAGCTAATTTACAGCAGTATGCCTCCCTAATTCAGCTGGATTATAAATTCTGTGAGTACAGAAACAAAAAATTATTGAGCATTTATGTTTTACAATAAATATTTAGTTATTAAAAACCTAATGCCTGCAAGGTATCATTATGGTAAGTGGGGATCCTCAGATGACTAAATAACGTGTTTTATTCTCAATAAGCTTTTGATTTGGTGATCAACTATTTTTTGTTGATAATCAAATATCAACTATTTTTTCTTGATAATTCTTCTTGCAATCTAAGTTGTATAGAACACATTGTTGGCAGTAGTTAATGAATAGTTGTTTAAAAGATAATTTCCTCCAGGAAAAATATTTCCCCAAAACTTATAGTCTCTTTTTTCTCTAATTGAAGGGGAGTTCCTTGCAAATTTTACTAGTAGAAAACCAGACATTTGTCATGAAGTAAAACTCACTGAAATGAAATTGCTCTTTGTGAAAAACTGCTCTGCAATAAGGTAATTAGTTCCATTGGCTTTGTTTTGATGAAAGATTCATGCATTGAAATCTGCTTAGTTGTATGTGAAACAGTTTCCACCCATAAAAAATCACAGAGTTCACAGCATTTTCTCTCTCTAAATTGGGATTTTAAATTTACTTTCCACCTTGGTCCTTTCCGTCAAAAAAAGTAACTTTTCTTGCAAGAGCAAATTGTTTTATGCTTATCCCATAATTCATGAGTTCTTTAAAGAGGAAATGGAGGTAAATGCCAAAGTTTAATTTTAAAAAATGCCACAGTGAAATTTGCTCATTCTGTCTGCACATACGGATGTAAAAAGCTATGTGGTTTGAGCTCATGGAAATGGAAGGTACCTCAAATGTTAGACCTAAGACCATAAAAACCCTAGAAGAAAACATAGGCAATATTATTCAGGACATAGGCATGGGCAAAGACATCATGTCTAAAACACCAAAAGCAATGGCAACAAAAGACAAAATTGACAAATAGGATCTAATTAAACTAAAGAGCTTCTGCACAGCAAAAGAAACTACCATCAGAGTGAACAGGCAACCTACAGAATGGGAGAAAATTTTTGCAACCTACTCATCTGACAAAGGGCTAATATCCAGAATCTACAATCAACTCAAACAAATTTACAAGAAAAAAACAAACAACCCCATCAAAAAGTGGGTGAAGGATATGAACAGACACTTCTCAAAAGAAGACATTTATGCAGCCAAAAAACACATGAAAAAATGCTCATCATCACTGGCCATCAGAGAAATGCAAATCAAAACCACAATGAGATACCATCTCACACCAGTTAGAATGGCGATCATTAAAAAGTCAGGAAACAACAGGTGCTGGAGAGGAAGGGGAGAAATAGGAATACTTTTACACTGTTGTTGGGACTGTAAACTAGTTCAACCATTGTGGAAGTCAGTGTGGCGATTCCTCAGGGATCTAGAACTAGAAATACCATTTGACCCAGCCATCCCATTGCTGGGTATATACCCAAAGGACTACAAATCATGCTGCTATAGAGACACATGCACACGTATGTTTATTGAGGCACTATTCACAATAGCGAAGACTTGGAACCAACCCAAATGTCCAACAATGATAGACTGGATTAAGAAAATGTGGCCCATATACACCATGGAATACTATGCAGCCATAAAAAATGATGAGTTCATGTCCTTTGTAGGGACATGGATGAAACTGGAAACCATCATTCTCAGCAAACTATCGCAAGGACAAAAAACCAAACACTGCATGTTCTCACTCATAGGTGGGAATTGAATAATGAGAACTCATGGACACAAGAAGGGGAACATCACACACTAGGGACTGTTGTGGGGTGGGGGGAGGGGGGAGGGATAGCATTAGGAGATATACCTAATGCTAAATGACGAGTTAATGGGTGCAGCACACCAGCATGGCACATGTATACATATGTAACAAACCTGCACATTGTGCACATGTACCCTAAAACTTAAAGTATAATAATAATAAAATTAAAAAAAAAGACATTTAACACATGGGAAAATAGTCTAATTGAATTAAAATTAAGCTGCCTTTAGAAGCAGTGGTAGAGTCAGACCAGTGGACTAAAAATAGATTGTAATGTTGACATCTAGAGATAAAACTAGTAAAAAAGTATCTGTGATAGTTAATTTTATGTGTCAACTTGGCTGGGCCACTATACCAAAATATTTAGCCTATCATTTTTCAAGATGTTTCTGTTTGGTTGTTTTATGGATGAGAGTAACATATAAATTGGTAGGCTCTGAGTAAAGCCAATTGCCCATCTTAATGCAGATGGGCCTCATCTAATCAGTTGGTCTTAATAGAACAAAGACTGACCTTCCCTGAGCAAGAAGGGATTGTTCCAAAAGATGGCCTTTGGATTTTAACTGCAGCTCTTCCCTGGGTGTCTAGCCTGCTAGCTTACCTCATCAGATTTTAAACTTACGAAGCTGTCACAATCCATTGAGCCGATTCCTTAAAAATAAATTTCTCTTTATATATATATATATATATATAGAGAGAGAGAGAGAGAGAGAGAGAGAATAAAATGGAATACTGTCATGTTTGCCTCAAGTAAATCTTTTGTTCAAGTTTTTTTCATTATTTGGTAAACTGGGATTTTATCAAATATTTAAAATAGGTCATGGCCGATACATAATATGCGTTGGTATAGATAATATGTGTTGGTAATTTATATATATATAAATTATTCATGTATATAATCTATGATTATATATGTGTGTGTGTGTGCATGTGTGTGTGTGTGTATATATATATATATATATATATGCATTTTCTTTCTTTGGAGAGTACTGACTAATAGAGTTGCCAGCAGAACTTATATGATGGGTATAGTCAATATATAGTCACAAGTGGAATAATATAACAAAATTAAAGGGCCTGTGTCTTTGTAAAGCTATAGTCAGATGAAATCACAGTGGCGTACATAGCATTCTGTGCACTGACTTTTGGCTGAAGTAGAAGACCCTTGTTAATTTGGTCTTTTATACCTGATTTTGCCTGATATACCATGTGATTTCAAGTTAGGTATCTCAGCTTGGATCCTCCTCAAAAGCAAATGCTAAGACAAAAAATTAAGTGCAATTATTTAATTTAGGAGTTGCAGAGAAAGGAGACAACCTATAAAAGATCAGATATTAAATTGGCTAATACAGTGGGAAAGCCTGGGAACTGTGTAAAATACATGCTTCAAAACGTTCTGCCAAAGGAACCAGAAAGTTGATGTACTTATACAGCAATGTCTGAGAGTCACTGGTAGGGAGATACTCTCAGGGAGTATCAATTTCTTGCCACTTATAAGAGTTAGACGGAAGCTTTGTAAAATTCCAAGAAAAGCCCTCAAGCACACAGATATCCTAATACTGCACACGGGAGGTTGGTGGAATATACTGGAATGTAAGTCTGAGAGATATGGCAGGGCATTGAAAGCATCTACTCCATTACAAAAGTTCAGACTGCCTTTACTTTTGATCTATCACCATCATAGAGTAGGCAGTTCTATTTTATTAATTACAAATTATTTTTCCAGCAAGTGACAAGGAACCTCACTAACAATGGCAGTCCAGAGCTTCGTTAGCAGCCTACTAACATTAACATCATCAACGATCCAGGCTTTTTTCATCCTTCTCTACTATCCCTAACATAGTAAAGCACACCAACACTGCTGGAACCACAGCAAACTGAGGTCTTTGGTTCTTATTCATCCAGTCATCTCATGGTTGCAGGATGGCTGTTATAACTCTAAAACTTCTAACAAAGATCAAAGGGAGGAAAGAAGAGGAGAAGGAAGGAGCAGGGCAGTTTAAGCTACTATTTTTCATACCTCCATATTCTTAATAAGAAAACAATTTGTGTGAAGGGAGGAGCCAAGATGGCCGAATAGGAAGAGCTCTAGTCTACAGCTCCCAGCATGAGCAACGCAGAAGACGGTGATTTCTGCATTTCCATCTGAGGTACCGGGTTCATCTCACTAGGGAGTGCCAGACAGTGGGCGCAGGTCAGTGGGTGTGCGCACCGTACGCAAGCAGAAGCAGGGCGAGGCATTGCCTTACTCGGGAACTGCAAGGGGTCAGGGAGTTCCCTTTCCTAGTCAAAGAAAGGAGCGACAGACAGCACCTGGAAAATCGGGTCACTCCCACCCAAATACTGCGCTTTTCCGACGGCCTTAAAAATGGCACACCAGGAGATTATATCCCGCACATGACTTCGAGGATCCTACACCCACGGAGTCTCACTGATTGCTAGCACAGCAGTCTGAGATCAAACTGCAAGGCCGCAGTGAGGCTCGGGGAGGGGCGCCTGCCATTACCCAGGCTTGCTTAGGTAAACAAAGCAGCTGGGAAGCTCGAACTGGGTGGAGCCCACCACATCTCAAGGAGGCCTGCCTGCCTCTGTAGGCTCCACCTCTGGGGGCAGGGCACAGACAAGCAAAAAGACAGCAGTAACCTCTGCAGACTTAAATGTCCCTGTCTGACAGCTTTGAAGAGAGCAGTGGTTCTCCCAGCAGGCAGCTGGAGATCTGAGAATGGGCAGACTGCCTCCTCAAGTGGGTCCCTGACCCCTGACCCCTGAGCAGCCTAACTGGGAGGCACCCCCCAGCAGGGGCAGACTGACACTTCACACAGCCAGGTACTCCTCTGAGACAAAACTTCCAAAGGAAAGATCAGACAGCAGCATTCACGGTTCATGAAAAACCACTGTTCTACAGCCACTGCTACTGATACCCAGGCAAACAGGGTCTGGAGTGGACCTCTAGCAAACTCCAACAGACCTGCAGCTGAGGGTCCTCTCTGTTAGAAGGAAAACTAACAAGCAGAAAGGACATCCACACCAAAAACCCATCTGTACATCACCATCATCAAAGACCAAAAGTACATAAAACCACAAAGATGGGGAAAAAACAGAGCAGGAAAACTGGAAACTCTAAAAGCAGAGCACCTCTCCTCCTCCAAAGGAATGCAGTTTCTCACCAGCAACAGAACAAAGCTGGACGGAGAATGATTTTGACGAGCTGAGAGAAGAAGGCTTCAGATGATCAAACTACTCCGAGCTACAGGAGGAAATTCAAACCAAAGGCAAAGAAGTTGAAACTTTGAAAAAAATTTAGAAGAATGTATAACCAGAATAACCAATACAGAAAAGTGCTTAAAGGAGCTGATGGAGCTGAAAGCCAAGGCTCAAGAACTACGTGAACAATGCAGAAGCCTCAGGAGCCGATGCGATCAACTGGAAGAAAGGGTATCAGCGATGGAAGATGAAATGAAGTGAGAAGGGAAGTTTAGAGAAAAAAGAATAAAAAGAAACAAACAACGTCTCCAAGAAATATGGGACTATGTGAAAAGACCAAATCTACGTCTGATTGGTATACCTGAAAGTGACAGGGAGAATGGAACCAAGTTGGAAAACACTCTGCAGGATATTATCTAGGAGAACTTCCCCAATCTTGCAAGGCAGGCCAAAATTCAGATTCAGGAAATACAGGGAATGCCACAAAGATACTCCTCGAGAAGAGCAACTCCAAGACACATAATTGTCAGATTCACCAAAGTTGAAATGAAGGAAAAAATGTTAAGGGCAGCCAGAGAGAAAGGTCGGGTTACTCTCAAAGGGAAGCCCAACAGAGTAACAGCAGATCTCTCGGCAGAGACTCTACAAGCCAGAAGAGACTGGGGGCCGATATTCAACATTCTTAAAGAAAAGAATTTTCAACCCAGAATTTCATATCCAGCCAAACTAAGCTTAATAAGCGAAGGAGAAATAAAATACTTTACAGTCAAGCAAATGCTGAGAGATTTTGTCACCACCAGGCCTGCCCTGAAAGAGCTCCTGAAGGAAGCGTTAAACATGGAAAGGAACAACCGGTACCAGCCACTGCAAAATCATGCCAAAATGAAAAGACCATCGAGACTAGGAAGAAACTGCATCAACTAACGCGCAAAATAAACAGCTAACATCATAATGACAGGATCAAATTCACACATAACAATATTAACCTTAAATGTAAATGCACTAAATGCTCCAATTAAAAGACACGGACTGGCAAATTGGATAAAGAGTCAAGACCCATCAGTGTGCTGTATTCAGGAAACCCATCTCACGTGCAGAGACGCACATAGGCTCAAAATAAAAGGATGGAGGAAGATCTACCAAGCAAATGGAAAACAAAAAAAGGCAGGGGTTGCAATCCTAGTCTCTGATAAAACAGACTTCAAGCCAACAAACATCAAAAGAGACAAGGACATTACATAATGGTAAAGGGATCAATTCAACAAGAAGAGCTAACTATCCTAAATATATATGCACCCAATACAGGATCACCCAGATTCATAAAGTGAGTCCTGAGTGACCTACAAAGAGACTTAGATTCCCACACAATAATAATGGGAGACTTTAACACCCCACTGTCAACATTAGACAAATCAACGACACAGAAAGTCAACAAGGACACCCAGGAACTGAACTCAGCTATGCACCAAGCGGACCTACTAGACATCTACAGAACTCTCCACCCCAAATCAACAGAATATACATTCTTTTCAGCACCACACCACACCTATTCCAAAATTGACCACATAGTTGGAAGTAAAACTCTCCTCAGCAAATGTAAAAGAACAGAAATTATAACAAACTATCTCTCAGACCACAGTGCAATCAAACTAGAACTCAGGATTAAGTATCTCACTCAAAACTGCTCAACTACATGGAAACTGAACAACCTGCTCCTGAATGACTACTGGGTACATAACAAAATGAAGGCAGAAATAAAGATGTTCTTTGAAACCAACAAGAACAAATACACAACACACCAGAATCTCTGGGACATATTCAAAGCAGTGTGTAGAGGGAAATTTATAGCACTAAGTGCCCACAAGAGAAAGCAGGAAAGATCCAAAATTGACACCTTAACATCACAATTAAAAGAACTAGAAACGCAAGAGCAAACACCTTCAAAAGCTAGCAGAAGGCAAGAAATAACTAAAATCAGAGCAGAACTGAAGGAAATAGAGACACAAAAAACCCTTCAAAAAATTAATGAATCCAGGAGCTGGTTTTTTGAAAGGATCAACAAAATTGATAGACCGCTAGCAAGACTAATAAAGAAAAAAAGAGAGAAGAATCAAATAGACGCAATAAAAAATGATAAAGGGGGTATCACCACCAATCCCACAGAAATACAAACTACCATCAGAGAATACTACAAACACCTCTACACAAATAAACTAGAAAATCTAGAAGAAATGGATAAATTCCTCGACACACACACTCTCCCAAGACTAAACCAGGAAGAAGTTGAATCTCTGAATAGACCAATAACAGGCTCTGAAATTGTGGCAATAATCAATAGCTTACCAACCAAAAAGAGTCCAGGACCATGTGGATTCACAGCTGAATTCTACCAGAGGTACAAGGAGGAACTGGTACCATTCCTTCTGAAACTATTCCAATCAATAGAAAAAGAGGGAATCCGCCCTAACTCATTTTATGAGGCCAGCATCATCCTGATACCAAAGCCAGGCAGAGACACAACCAAAAAAGAGAATTTTAGACCAATATCCTTGATGAACATTGATGCAAAAATCCTCAATAAAATACTGGCAAACCGAATCCAGCAGCACATCAAAAAGCTTATCCACCATGATCAAGTGGGCTTCACCCCTGGAATACAAGGCTGGTTCAATATATGCAAATCAATAAATGTAATCCAGCATATAAACAGAACCAAAGACAAAAACCACATGATTATCTCAATAGATGCAGAAAAGGCCTTTGACAAAATTCAACAACCCTTCATGCTAAAAACTCTCAATAAATTAGGTATTAATGGGACATACTTCAAAATAATAAGAGCTACCTATGACAAACCCACAGCCAATATCATACTGAATGGGCAATAACTGGAAGCATTCCCTTGGAAAACTGGCACAAGACAGGGATGCCCTCTCTCACCACTCCTATTCAACATAGTGTTGGAAGTTCTGGCCAGGGCAATTAGGCAGGAGAAGGAAATAAAGTGTATTCAATTAGGAAAAGAGGAAGTCAAATTGTCCCTGTTTGCAGATGACATGATCGTATATCTAGAAAACCCCATTGTCTCAGCCCAAAATCTCCGTAAGCTGATAAGCAACTTCAGCAAAGTCTCAGGATACAAAATCAATGTACAAAAATCACAGGCATTCTTATACACCAATAACAGACAAACAGAGAGCCAAATCATGAGTGAACTCCCATTCACAATTGCTTCAAAGAGAATAAAATACCTAGGAATCCAACTTACAAGGGATGTGAAGGACCTCTTCAAGGAGAACTACAAACCACTGCTGAATGAAATAAAAGAGGATACAAACAAATGGAAGAACATTCCATGCTCATGGGTAGGAAGAATCAATATCGTGAAAATGGCCATACTGCCCAAGGTAATTTACAGATTCAATGCCATCCCCATCAAGCTACCAATGACTTTCTTCACAGAATTTGAAAAAACTACTTTAAAGTTCATATGGAACCAAAAAAGAGCCACATCGCCAAGTCAATCCTAAGCCAAAAGAACAAGGCTGGAGGCATCACACTACCTGACTTCAAACTATATTACAAGGCTACAGTAACCAAAACAGCACGGTACTGGTACCAAAACAGAGATATAGATCAATGGAAAAGAACAGAGACCTCAGAAATAATGTCGTATATCTACAACTATCTGATCTTTGACAAACCTGAGAAAAACAAGAAATGGGGAAAGGATTCCGTATTTAATAAATGGTGATGGGAAAACTGGCTAGCCATATGTAGAAAGCTGAAACTGGATCCCTTCCTTGCACCTTATACAAAAATCAATTCTAGATGGATTAAAGACTTAAACATTAGACCTAAAACCATAAAAACCCTAGAAGAAAACATAGGCATTACCATTCAGGACATAGGCATGGGCAAGGACTTCATGTCTAAAACACCAAAAGCAATGGCAACAAAGCCAGAGTTGACAAATGGGATCTAATTAAACTCAAGAGCTTCTGCACAGCAAAAGAAACTACCATCAGAGTGAACAGGCAACCTACAAAATAGAAAATTTTCACAACCTACTCATCTGATAAAAGGCTAATATCCAGAATCTACAATGAACTCAAACAAATTTACAAGAAAAAAACAAACAACCCCATCAAAAAGTGAGCAAAGGACATGAACAGACACTTCTCAAAGGAAGACATTTATGCAGCCAAAAAAACACATGAAAAAATGCTCACCATCACTGGCCATCAGAGAAATGCAAATCAAAACCACAATGAGATACCATCTCACACCAGTGTGAATGGCTATCATTAAAAAGTCAGGAAACAACAGGTGCTGGAGAGGATGTGGAGAAATAGGAACACTTTTACACTGTTGGTGGGACTGTAAACTAGTTCAACCATTGTGGAAGTCAGTGTGGCGATTCCTCAGGGATCTAGAACTAGAAATACCACTTGACCCAGCCATCCCATTACTGGGTATATACCCAAAGGACTACAAATCATGCTGGTATAAAGACACATGCACACGTATGTTTATTGTGGAATTATTCACAATAGCAAAGACTTGGAACCAACCCAAATGTCCAACAGTGATAGACTGGATTAAGAAAATGTGGCCCATATACACCATGGAATACTATGCAGCCATAAAAAATGATGAGTTCACGTCCTTTGTAGGGACATGGATGAAATTGGAAATCATCATTCTCAGTAAACTATCGCAAGAACAAAAAACCAAACACTGCATATTCTCACTCATAGGTGGGAATTGAACAATGAGAACACATGGACACAGGAAGGGGAACATCACAGGAAGGGGACTGTTGTGGGGTGTGGGGTGGGGGGAGGGATAGCATTGGGAGATATACCTAATGCTAGATGACGAGTTAGTGGGGCAGCGCACCAGCATGGCACATGTATACATATGTAACTAAGCTGCACATTGTGCACATGTACCCTAAAACTTAAAGTATAATAATAATAATAAAAACAATTTGTACAAACTTCCAATAACCTTGGCAACTCCTGTGTCACATAGCCAAGCCTACCTTCAAACACAAGTATGTAGCTGTGTCCAAGTTCAGTGTAAGAAACAGAAGCCTCTCTAGTTACTTTAAGCAGAAATATTTAATACAGGAATTAGATGCTTACAAAGTCCTGGAAACAACTGCTGGAGTGAATTCCAACCTAGACCCTCAATGATTTCTAGAAGTACTTAGCTGAATGTATGTACCCAGGGCATGATGTGGCCAGAATCAGGAAACTTGGGCTACATGAGAATACTACACTAACTACTGAGTTTAGGAAGTCACACCTGAGGTGTGACCCAGTGATTAGGAAGCCAGGATCAGAGAACCAAGACTGCTTTGACCACTACAATACAGGCTGCAGCACTGCAGTGGGAAAAACAAAAAAAAAAAGCAAATGCATCCATGTGAGTAACTGACATTTAGAGCACTTACTGCAAAGGAGACCGCAGAATGTAGAAATTAAAATGAGATTATCAGGCCAAGCACAGTGGCTCACGCCTGTAATCCCAGCACTTTGGGAGACCGAGACGGGTGGATCAAGAGGACAAGAGTTCAAGACCTCTCTGGCCAAGATGGTGAAACCCCGTCTCTACTAAAACTACAAAAAGTAGCCAGGCATGGTGGCGGGCACCTGTAATCCCAGCTACTAGGGAGGCTGAGGCAGAGAACTGCTTAAACCCGGGAGGCAGAGGTTGCAGTGAGCTTAGATTGCGCCACTGCTCTCCAGCCTGGGCAACAGAGCAAGATTCCGTCTAAAATAAATAAATAAATAAAAAAAATGAGATTATCTGGAAAACTCAATAGATCAAATTATGACTCTTCTTCTATGGTTAAACACATTGCATTTCTCTAAAAATCAAGGGTCTGTAGGCAAGGTAAACATTGGGGAAATGGCTAGTAGAAAGCTGATTAATGATGCTCGCCTCAGCATCCACTTAAGGTGGTGGAGATAGTACTCCAACTCTACAGTTTCCTTTTTATCAAAATCTTCTCCTGTAAGAGTTCCACACCTTCTTTGACTCAGGTTCAAGGCTGACAATCATGGGACTCTTGCTAAGCCTTGACAATTAATATAGGCAAGAGCAGTAAAAAGAAAAGGTTATAAAGAAATGCCGTTAACTCAATAAAAGTATGTTTTTATTGTATATAAAATAAAAATTGGTTATATTTTTCCTAAGACTTCGGAATTTGTAAATATAAACTAAGTTGTGGCATCGACTATCATTTCTGTTTTCATTTAATAAAGCTCAATCACATTGTAGCTAATTTTACACTGGAACAAAAATCCACAATCATTTTAATTAAATTTGTGCACTGTCTAAAATACTATATGATAAATATTGAAATATATATGGTATTGAAGCAATTTTGGAAGCATCAGATAATGCTTAGTACTTGTGATATATGTTAGGGAGATAGCAGCAGATACCAAAATGTAGTTGCTCATTGTAGAGGAAAAGAGGCACACAAAGCTTACTCTACTTCTGTTGTAATTTCCAGTCAGCAGTTTGATATAGCTATAGCTTATTATAAGGCACTAAAATGGTACCTATTGACTCAGATAAAATAACATAATATATTTGAGGGTGAACAACACTGAAAGCCTATGGAAACCCCACTAGCATTCTGTTTCCAAGATGAACAAGAAACAGTTTGCTCACACACACAAAGAAAAGCTTTTACAAAATACAGCTTTCAGGCATACAGCATATTCAGTGGTTTGTTTCACTCTTTAACAAGAAGACCATCAAGGCCAAAACAGCATATGCAATGTAATAAAAAAAAGTATAGATTTAGAATAAATAATCTTATATTACATAAATGTAATTACTATGCATTCTAGAAGATTGTCTTGAGCCAATAGTAAGTTTACTCACGGCTCAACAGCAAATGTTTTGAGAGTATGAAAAACACATCACAAAATAATAATTTTGAATTTAAAAGAAAATAACAAAACATACTAGGAGTTTTCTATAAATGAGATTGTTAACACCACTAAAGCACTGAAGAGAACAAAGAGGTTCAACCATAAGGTTTTAACACAGCAAAGCAACAGCAAGTGGTCAATCATAGCCACAGATTGTTCCTTAGAATTTGAAAGAATATTTTTACTCAAAGATGGGGAAAAAAAGCCATAATGTGTCTGTGTGCATATGTGTGTGTGTCTGTTGGTTGGTAGGTTGAGTGATGGGAGGAGGTTAAAAAAAGGATAATACAGGATTCTTACTGAGAGAATTTGTGAAGTTTATTGCCAAGGTTTTGACTAGGGAAAGGGTTTTGGTATTCATTAGTTAATATTACCATGCATCAAAGCTCTATAGTACTAACATAACTAGATAGCACTATTTATGATAAGGAAGACATCTTAGTTTAAAATAATTTGACCAATAGGGTTCCAAAGGCAAAAGCTACCTTGAAGACTACAATGAGCTTCTGAGAAAAAGAAAAAAAATATTTCAAACTGAGGAGACATGTCATACCTGATAGTCTTGGAACTTAACTGTCTTATACTTCTTTGTTCTAGAGAATCTGAAAGAAATATTTGAGAACATATTGATATATTTTTCTAATAAGTTTTCTTTAAAGATTGCCTCTTTTTTACACTAATATATTAGAGCAATTTTAATTTGGGTAGTTGACATTTTCCAAAAGGAATTATGTTTTTTCCAAAATGCATGCTTTTCTTTTAGTATTTGCTAATCCAATATACCACCATTCTAATCTCTCTAAAATATGTTCTATGTATTAATAACTGAATATAAATGAACTAAACAATCTCTTTAAGAAACTGAGATTGTGATATGGATTAAAACAAAACAAAACAAAAACCAAAAAAAAAACTACATGACATACAAAAGAGGTTTAATAATTGCACACACAGGAAATAAAAAGAGGTTCCACTAGACAATCAAAGATAATGAATAATTTTATGACAAAATTTGAAAAATTTGATGAAATGGACAAATCCCTGCAAATACATACACAATTTACCAAGAGATACAAAAGAATAAATTTTTAAAATGGAATGAAATTAAAATTATTATTATTCTAAATTAAAATGCTGACTATGTAATCAAAGACTCTTCACATAATAGACGAGTGGCTTGGAAGGCTTCCAGTGAAAACTTTCAAATATTGAAGAAAGAAATCAGTTCAAACAAACTCTTTCAGGGAATAAAGTGGAAACAATTAACAACTCATTTTATGGAGACAGAATAAGCTTCATGTTAATAATTTACAAGGCTATTAAAGAAAGAAAAATCATAGATCACTTGCTTTCATAAATATAAACGCAAAAATCCTAAACAAAATATCACTGAAGCAGTTGTTGGAAGGGGAAAAAAACACAGGAATACAAGAGTAAAAAAATAGATGAGGATTTTGAAAAGTGTTCTGGAACAAGGAGTGAGAGAAGAGAGACTTCTGGGGAGTCATAAGGACTTTGACATGTGAATAGGTAAAGGGATTTTAGTAGGTATTTATGTATAATTATAGCTACAATTTTTCTCTTCAGTAAATTTTCAAAAGACTTATGCTGAGTTGTCAAATTTGGAATGGATACAGTGAATGTGAATTCTTTTTTTTTTTTTTTTTTTTTTTTTTTTTGTTTGTTTGAGACGGAGTCTCGCTCTGTCGCCCAGGCCGGACTGCGGACTGCAGTGGCGCAATCTCGGCTCACTGCAAGCTCCGCTTCCCGGGTTCACGCCATTCTCCTGCCTCAGCCTCCCCAGTAGCTGGGACTACAGGCGCCCGCCACCGCGCCCGGCTAATTTTTTGTATTTTTAGTAGAGACGGGGTTTCACCTTGTTAGCCAGGATGGTCTCGATCTCCTGACCTCATGATCCACCCGCCTCGGCCTCCCAAAGTGCTGGGATTACAGGCGTGAGCCACCGCGCCCGGCGAATGTGAATTCTTAATGAGGTATCTCATGTTTTACTCTTTATGATAAAATAATAGTCATGTAAAATTGTTAATATGATAAATGATATTATGAACTTTCCTGTATTAATGTCAGGAAGAGCTTAATGATGTATAAGGGTATGTCACATTGAAAAAATGTTCACACGTATTGACCAAAAAGATGTCATTTTATAGTTTATCACCACACTGAAACTTTTAAAGTAGGTAATATGTTTAGACTCATTTGTCAAATCAGAAATTAGAAATATGGAGATTATTAACTTGGGTAAGGCCATACAACTAATAAGTCCTAGATGTCTGACTCCAGAGCCTACAGGCTCTGTCTGCAACTGTCTCCCATGCACATAGATGTGCATTTCGAGCTCTGTTCAAGTCACATACACAGATGAAGCCATTCCTGATGTATAGGTGTCTTGAAAGTAATAAGAAAGGGTAATTTTAACTGTGTTTTGGTAACATCGGTATTGGACACAGTTTTAAGAATAAAAATAGTAGAAATCAATAATATAGAGATAATAAGAAGCATCAGAAGCAGTAATTTTTGTGTGTCAACACTCATTTGGCCACCATATCTACACTCAATTCTGAGAACCCTCTGATGGTGTATTACATTTAGAAAATAATGGCCTGATTTCATATGTGCTTTAGAGCAATCAAATTCCTGACATTAAATAGGCAATGATTCTACTCTTAAAAGTATTTTATAGTACTGCTGCCAATTGCTCAGTTGAGAGAAATTACTGAAATAATTTGTCCCGTAAGTCACACATTTGAGAAATATCCCTAAAAATTTACAAGCTGTTCTTTGATAATGATGGAATAATATGTTCACATTCTGAAAGATAACACACAGCATGTTTATGTTGTTTATTAATGAAAGAATGTTTTAGAGAGAAGAGCTAACACCACTCCTGCCATTTTAATTCTCACATTTTGCCACTATAGGCTGTTAAATACTGCTATCTGAGTCACACTTACATTCTTGGCATGTTATGGCTGCTTTGGGGGCACACTGCAATACACTTCCTTTAGAACTACCACAAATAACTAAAAGATAAATTAATAGGGGCTACTTTCTGGCACTCAAACTGATAGAGATTCATGTCCTTATTCTATTACAATTTAGGTAAAGAAAGTATTCTGTTATTACAAATTCATAAGAACTAGGCTTTCGGCTCATACGTTTAGAGAAAAGTGCTCATGCTATTCATCAGGAGGCTGGCAAGGCAGGCACTGTCTTGCTCTGTCACCCAGGCTGGAGTGCAGTGGTGCAATCTCGGCTCATTGCAACCTCCACCTCCCGGGTTCAAGCGATTCTCCTGTCTCAGCCTCCTGAGTCGCTGGGACTACAGGCACACACCACCATGCCTGGCTAATTTTTGTATTTTTAGTAAACACGGGGTTTCACCACGTTGGCCAGGCTGGTCTCTAACTCCCGACCTCGTGATCCTCCCGCCTCAGCCTCCCGAAGTACTGAGATTACAGGCGTGAGCTACCACGCCCAGCCAGCCACGCCCAGCCAAGCAGGCACTTACTCAAGCTCTCTGAAATTTGCACTATGCAATCAAAAGGTCATGAGGAGCCGAGATCGTGCCACTGCACTCCAGCCTAGGCGACAGAGGAAGACTCTGTCTCAAAAAAAAAAAAAAAAAAAAAAAAAAAGGTCATGAGGAATAGGTAGCAAACAGTGGAATTATAGAGAAACAATAGTCCTCAATTTTTTTTATTGTTAATTTTACTGATGTTTGGAATCATGACACACTTGGAACCAGAGGAATTTCAGAGGTTACCTAGACTAACTTTCCCTTTTATATATATATGAAGTTGGGTTATCTAGTCCAACTTACCGTTTCCAAACTCAAAGTTGAAATGCTTCTTTGAAGCTATATAATTGGCCAGTGGCACAAAGGATATAGCATTCCCCATGAAATGTTATTTCTATAATACAACAGTTTACCTATCTCTCTCCTTTTGCATACATAATTTTACTTCTCATATGCGAATAGCAGCTTGCCACACACACTGAGGGATGCAAAGGCAGCTTCAACTTGATGCATATGGAGGTGATCAAGGGCCCAGGTTTCTCCATCACTCCAAGGCATCCCAGACACCAGGCAGAGGCATCATTCTACTTTTGGATCTCAGTATATTTCCAAGCCTATAGACCATGGCTGAAGTACCAGGTGGGGGTGGGCCAACTAGGAACTAATAGCTATCTATTAGTATTCAAGAAAGAGTGAAGAAGGAAGACAGCACAGTGTATAGAAGCTGGTACCTTTTACTTATATCTCCCCAGCTGCCGGCTGTTCCTTACACCAATCTGGATGGACCTTATATAAATCCTGATTATGATATCTTTTAAAATACCCACAATTTACCACTGTCAGTGTCCTCTTACCCAAACCTCTCTTTACCTACCCACTCCCAACTTGATCAGGATGGTTCCCAAGCTCCTCAAATGAGCTTTTCAATTCAGACTAGGAGTTAGGTTGGGAAGAGAAATCTACTGCTATATTTTGTGCCCTTCAAAATTCATGTTGAAACTTAATCCCCAACAAAGCAGTATGGAGAGGTGGGGCCTTTCAGAGGTGATTGGATCATGAAGGCTCTGCCCTTATAAATAGATTAATTCATTTGTGGATTAATGGATTAAAAGACTACTGGATTTAGGGATTATCATGGGAATGGGACTGGTAGCTTTATAAGAAGAGGGAGAGAGTCCAAGCTAGTGCACTAAGGCCTCACCATGTGATGCCCTTCACTGCCTCACAACTCTCAGAGAGTTCCCACCAGCAAGAAGGCTCTCACCAGATGCTGCCTCTCAACCTTGGACTTAACAGGTTTTATAACTATAAGAAATAATTTCCTTTTATTTATAAATTATTCATCTTCAGATATTCTACCTTCCCTTATCGGGTTTCCACTCCCAGACTCTTTTCATGTTCGAAGAGCCTGACCTCTTAAAACGCATACCATTCTTAAAGACTTTGCTATACTTTTCTAGTATCAAAGCCCAGTACACTAGTACTTGCCTGACAAGACTGATGAGGAACCAGCTATAGTCCTGCCAGACACTAAGGTGAGAAGTAGATTCTGTCTAGGCATTCTGCCAAAGTGGGAAGTTAAAAAATTAAAACAAAGCTGAAGACCAAATACCAGAGGGTGTTGTGGGGAGAAGGAAAGCAAACTGTAGCACTCAGATTGGAGAAGATCTTGAACAAATGGGGTAATTAAAAAGGAAAACCATGAATTTAGCACAGGGGAGGTATCATGGGGAATAATTCTCAGAAACTCTAAGAATTGACATTGAAAACTCTTATCTAAGTTCCTAATGTGACTTATGCTTCCTATAAGACATAAATAATTACCTTATTAACCATCCCTTCCCTATTTTCTTATAGTGTAGCTCTACCGTTTTAATGTAAGCCTCGTTGCTACTTGGCATTGTAATATTCATTGATTTACTACATTTTTACAGCCTGTTTATTTATTTTATCCAGCCTTCCTTTTTGTATTTGATGTTTTACTTTTTGTTCATTTTGACACATTTTAAATTTTATTAGTTTTTATATTTGTTATGAGCAATAGCAACTCAAACATTCAATTACTTTTTGCTTGAATGAGCCACCCAAATTTTCCATTTCATTGATCTTTTAAATACATTTATTTTAAGAACCTAAACTTTAACAGGAAAAAGAAAATAATTACTCAGAAAACAAACATGAAAAGAATACTCATCTTTAAAAGGATTTTCAAAAATTACTATAAGAATAACAGTGAAATGAAATAACCTTGTAATTTTGATAATGGAGTTGAAGAGGACTTTACCTTGTTCTATAAATTAAAGAGTGTAATGATATGATGATATAGTTGGAATCTAACTCAGTAATTAAGTTGACCATTGCTTTTAACCATTTTTCCCTACAAGTTAACTTGATGAATTTATGCAAAACCATGAATAAGGGAAAAATAAAGATTCAACTCATGATAAATTTAATGTAGGGATAAAAATAAATAAATAATAAATAAATAAAGTGACAACATGTTGTTGACAAAAAATGTTGGACTTCCATTGGGTGAGCTGTGTGGCATTATGCATTCCCTTTGGAAGTTTTTAAGTGTTGTATCCAATTCTTCCTGTACTTAGGGGCTGAACTAATCTACTTCTGAAATAAGTTATATGCAATATAATTTCAATAAAAGGGTTAAGGTGTTAATGAGTTAAAACATTATTTTCAAGTAAAATTCCATGATAATGTTCAAGATTTTCAGCAAAGCTATTCATTAAAAGATGGATAAATTCCTCTGAGTATTTCATCATATTTATTTCTACCTTTTATTCTAAGAATTCTCTTTAAATACCTAAAGCTTAAATGCTAGAAACCAGTTGTTAAAATCATAAAGAAATAAAGAAAAAGGAGTTACTGATAGAAATCATCCACAAAGAGACACTTTTTAATCCAGCAGTTGGAAGCTAAGAAAAAAGAATCTTGAAAGCAGCAAGAGAGGAGTGATTTATCATATACAATGATTCTTCAGTAAAATAGCAGCTGATTTCTCAGCACAAACTATGAATGCCAGAAGGCAGTGGGATGACATATTTAAAGTGCTGAAAGAAGATAACTTTCAACCAAGAATTCTGTATCTGGCCAAAGTATCCTTAGAGAAATGAAAGAGAAACTAAGACATTCTTAGGTAAACAGAAGCTGAGATAGTTCTTTGCTAGTAGGCCTGCTCTACAAGAAATGCTTACTGTATTACCTTCCTTCAGGCAGAAATAAAAGGACACTGGAAAGTAACTCAAAGCCATATGAATAAAAAGAACACTAGTAAAATGCAATATAATTACATTTTTGGTTTGTCATTTTATATATTGTCTTTATATTATTTAAAAGACAAATAAATAAAATGATAATTATAAATATATTAATGGGTACACAGTATATAAAGGAATAAGAAAATGATATTATATTTTTTAAAGTATATTCAAAGAAGGAAAACAGAAGTATTAGGGACTAAAGATATGGTAGAAAATTAAAAACTCAAGCTAAATATTGAAGGATAATGTTGAGGAAAATCCCTCAAAGCAAAATATATTCTCCAAGATTGTGGCTTGTCTTTTTATTCTTCTGACAATGTTATTTTGTTTTCTTTTGTTTTGTTTTTGAAGAGTAGACAATCTAGAATCTGATAAGATCCAATTCAGCATTTATTTTTCTTTTATTGATTGTGCTTTCATTATTATATCTAAGAAATCCTTTTTACTAACTCAGATCAAACAGGTTTTCTTCATGTTTTACACTAGAAGTTATAATCTTAGGTTTTATATTTAAATCAATGATTAATTTTGACTTAACTTTTGTTTATTGTCTGAGGTGTGAGTTAATGTTCATTTTTTGCTGCTCTATATTCATTTATTTCAAAACCATCTGTTTTAAGAAAGATTCTTTACCACTAAATTGTCTTTTCACTATACTTATTATTTTTATCACATCTATATAGTACCTTACAGCATTCAAACCTGCTAAACTGATTTATCACTTTTAATATTTATAGATTCATTTGGATTTTCTATGCAATCTTTATTCATTTGTGAATAAAGCTACTTATAATTCTTCCTTTAAATATGGATGCTATTCCTTTCCTTTTATTGTCTTATTGCACTGGCTGGAAGCTCAGTATAATATGAATGAATGTGTGAGAGTCAACACACATAATCTATTTCTGGTATTAAGAAGAAAATATTCAGTTTTTTATCATCAAACATTATATTAGCTGCATGTATTTTCTAGATATTTTTAATGGGGTTTAGCAAGCTTTTTTTCTTTCCTGGTTTACTGAGAATCAAGAGGTTTGTTTTTTAATGAATAGTTGTGCATTTTATCACAATTTTTTCTGTATTTGATTATGTACAGTTTTATAGATATGTAGTTTTCTCTTTTCATTCTGTTAATATGGTGGTAACTGTTTTTTTTTCAATATTAAACAATTTGCTTTACTATAAATAGCACTTACTTTATTATAAATAGGGTTTATAGTAAAGCAAATTGTTTAATATTCAAAAAACAATATACTATAAATCCTATTTTGTCATTATATTATTTTTATGTACTGTTGGATTTGAAATGTCAAAATTTTGTTAACAATTTCTGGACCTATGTTGATAAGGAATATTTGACTGCAGTTTTGTTTTCTTATAATGCCTTTGCCTGGGCTTGGGATCAGTGTAATTCTTGTCTCATACAATGAACAAGAAAGCATTCTCTTTTTTTAAAATTTACTAGAAGAGTTTTTATAGAATTAGCATTATTTCTTACTTGGAAGTTTGATAGAAATCCTATGATGGTTGATATTAGGTGTCAACTTGACTAGGTTGAGGGATACCTAGATGACTGGTAAAGTATTGCTTCTAGGTGTATCTGTGAGGGTGTTGCCAGAGGAGATTGACATTTGAGTCAGTGGACTGGGAGAGGAAGATCCACCCTCAGTGTTAGTAGGCATCATCCGATTGGCCTCCAGAGTTGCTAGGGCAAAGCAGGTGAAAGAAGGGAGATAGGTAGTTTTCCAAGTCCTTTTGCTCTCTCCGTTTCTTTCTGTGCTGGATGCTTGCTCCATCTCCTCCTGCCCTTGAATATCAGACCCCAGGTTCTTTGGCCTTTGGACTCTGGGACTTGCATCACTGGCCTCCTGGGGGCTCTCAGGCCTTTATCCTCAGACTGAGGGTTGCACTATCAGCTTCCCTGGTTTTTGAGGCTTTTGTACTTGGCCTGAACCATGCTACCAGCTTCTCTCTTTCCTTAGTTTGCAAATGGTCTGTTGTGGGACTTCATCTTGTAATCATGTGAATCAATTCTCCCTAATAAACTTCCTTTTATATATACATATATGCTATTGGTTCTCTCTGGAGAACCCAGAGTAATACAAATCCCCAGTAAAACCATCTGTGTTTGGAGTTCACTTTGTGGAAAGGATTTAAATATGAAATCAATTTATTTAATAAATATAGAATAAGTCTAATTGCTCAATTCTTCTTAAGTATGTTTTGGAGTTTGTATCTTTCAAGAAACCATCTATTTTATTTAAGTTTTTCTTTTATGGGCATAGAATTGTTTGTGTAATATTCATTTACCTATTTAACATCAGTGGGATTTCTAGTGATATATCTTCATTCCTGATGTTGTCTGATATTAGTCATCCATTGTTCTCTCTCTGACTCTCTGTCCATCTCTCTGTCCATCTCTCCCTCCTGCCCTCCCTCCCTCTCCCCCTCCCCCTCCCTCTTCTTTGTTAGATTGCTGGAGGTTTATCAATTTTTGATATTCTTAAAAGACAGATACTGGTTTGGTTGATTTTATCTCTTTTTCTGTTTTGAGTGAAATTGATTTCAGCTCTTATTACTTCTCTAAATTTTCATTTATTTTGTTCTTTTTCTAGTTTTGTGAGATGGGAGCTTAAATTATTGATGTGATGTTTTTTTTTCTCTTTTCCGACATAGGTATTGAGTATAATGCATTTCTCTCTACGTATTGTTCTAGCTGTGTTCCACAGACTTTGAAATTTTTCATTTTTATTGTAACATATAATTTATTTTATTTTATTATTATTATACTTTAAGTTTTAGGGTACATGTACACAATGTGCAGGTTTGTTACATATGTATACATGTGCCATGCTGGTGTGCTGCACCCATTAACTCATCATTAAGCATTAGGTATATCTCCTAATGCTATCCCTCCACCCTTCCCCCACCCCACAACTGTCCCCAGAGTGTGATGTTCCCCTTCCTGTGTCCCTGTGTTCTCATTGTTCAATTCCCACCTATGAGTGAGAATATGTGGTGTTTGGTTTTTTTGTTCTTCCAATAGTTTACTGAGAATGATGATTTCCAATTTCACCCATGTCCCTACAAAGGACATGAACTCATCATTTTTCATGGCTGCATAGTATTTCATGGTGTATATGTGCCACATTTTCTTAATCCAGTCTATCATTGTTGGACATTTGGGTTGGTTCCAAGTCTTTGCTATTGTGAATAGTGCTGCAATTAACATCTGTGTGCATGTGTCTTTGTAGCAGCATGATTTATAGTCCTTTGGGTATATACCCAGTAATGGGATGAGTGGGTCAAATGGTATTTCTAGTTCTAGATCCCTGAGGAATTGCCACACTGACTTCCACAATGGTTGAACTAGTTTACAGTCCCAACAACAGTGTAAAAGTGTTCCTATTTCTCCACATCCTCTCCAGCACCTGTTGTTTCCTGACTTTTTAATGATTGCCATTCTAACTGGTGTGAGATGGTATCTCAATGTGGTTTTGATTTGCATTTCTCTGATAGCCAGTGATGGTGAGCATTTTTTCATGTGTTTTTTGGCTGCATAAATGTCTTCTTTTGAGAAGTGTCTGTTCATGTCCTTCACCCACTTTTTGATGGGGTTATTGGTTTCTTTCTTGTAAATTTGTTTGAGTTCATTGTAGATTCTGGATATTAGCCCTTTGTCAGATGAGTAGGTTGCGAAAATTTTCTCCCACTCTGTAGGTTGCCTGTTCACTCTGATGGTAGTTTCTTTTGCTGTGCAGAAGCTCTTGAGTTTAATTAGATCCCATTTGTCAATTTTGGCTTTTGTTGCCATTGCTTTTAGTGTTTTAGACATGAAGTCCTTCCCATGCCTATGTCCTGAATGGTAATGCCTAGGTTTTCTTCTAGGGTATTTATGGTTTTAGGTCTAACATTTAAGTCTTTAATCCATCTTGAATTTATTTTTGTATAAGATGTAAGGAAGGGATCCAGTTTCAGCTTTCTACATATGGCCAGCCAGTTTTCCCAGCACCATTTATTAAATAGGGAATCCTTTCCCCATTGCTTGTTTTTCTCAGGTTTGTCAAAGATCAGATAGTTGTAGATATGCGGTGTTATTTCTGAGGGCTCTGTTCTTTTCCATTGATCTATATCTCTGTTTTGGTACCAGTACCATGCTCTTTTGGTTACTACAGCCTTGTAGTATAGTTTGAAGTCAGGTGGTGTGATGCCTCCAGCTTTGTTCTTTTGGCTTAGGATTGACTTGGTGATGTGGGTTCTTTTTTGGTTCCATATGAACTTTAAAGTAGTTATTTTCCAATTCTGTGAAGAAAGTCATTGGTAGCTTGATGGGGATGGCATTGAATCTATAAATTACCTTGGGCAGTATGGCCATTTTCACAATATTGATTCTTCCTACCCATGAGCATGGAATGTTCTTCCATTCTTTGTATCCTCTTTTATTTCATTGAGCAGTGGTTTGTAGTTCTCCTTAAAGAGGTCCTTCACGTCGCTTGTAAGTTGGATTTCTAGGTATTTTATTCTCTTTGAAGCAATTGTGAATGGGAGTTCACTCATGATTTGGCTCTCTGTTTGTCTGTTATTGGTGTATAAGAATGCTTGCGATTTTTGTACATTGATTTTGTATCCTGAGACTTTGCTGAAGTTGCTTATCAGCTTAAGGAGATTTTGGGCTGAGACAATGGGGTTTTCTAGATATACAATCATGTCATCTGCAAACAGGGACAATTTGACTTCCTCTTTTCCTAATTGAATACCCTTTATTTCCTTCTCCTGCCTAATTGCCCTTGCCAGGACTTCCAACACTATGTTGAATAGGAGTGGTGAGAGAGGGCATCCCTGTCTTGTGCCAGTTTTCCAAGGGAATGCTTCCAGTTTTTGCCCATTCAGTATGATATTGGCGGTGGGTTTGTCATAGATAGCTCTTATTATTTTGAGATGTGTCCCATCAATACCTAATTTATTGAGAGTTTTTAGAATGAATTTTTATCTCCTTTGAGACATCCTCTTTGACCCATTAGTCATTTTGAAGTATATTGTTTAGTTTGGATATCTTTTGATTTATATTTGTGATATGGTTTGTCTGTGTCCCCACCCAAATCTTATCGTGAATTGTAGCTCCCATAATTCCCACATGCTGTAGGAAGGACCCAGTGGGAGATAATTGAATTATGGAGGCAGTTTCTCCCATATTGTTCTTGTGGTAGTGAATTAGTATTATAAGATCTGATGGTTTTCTAAGGGAAACCCCTTTCATTCTCTTGTCTTTCTCTTGTCTGCCTCCACGTAAGACATGTTTTTCACCTTCCACCATGATTGTGAGGCCTCCCCAGCTATGTGGAACTATGAGTCCATTAAACCTCTTTTTCTCATAAATTACTCAGTCTCGGGTATGTCCTTATCAGCAGCATGAAAACGGACTAATACAATTTGTATGATCAAATTTTTTCCACCTGGTCACCTTTAGCAAATCTATATTATTAAACTTGAAGTCAGTTTCTTGTAGAAAGAAATGAGTCATGGTTTTTTTTTATTACACGAGTTGCTTTCAACAAATATTTTATACCTTCTGCATCTAATATAATTATTGATCTATTTCAATGAAACCTGCCATTTTATTATGATTTTTATTATTTTAGTTTTTTTTGGTCTTTCATTAGGTTTGGAAAATTTCAGTCATTATTTCTTTAAATACGTTTTCACTGTAATTTTTTTTTCTCTCTAGTATTTCAATCACCATAATTTACACATTTTGTCATTGTCTCACAGGTCCTTGAAGTTTAGTTCTTTTATTCCCTTCTTTTTTAAAAACAATTCATTTTCTTTCTGTGGTTCAGATTGAATAATTTTTATTACTGTACGTTCAATTTCACTAATTTTTTCTCTCTTATTTCCATTCTGCTGTTGACTCATCCAGTAATTTTTGGAGGGTCATTTTTATTTTTTTTTAGTTCTAAAATTTCCATTTGTTTCCTTATGTGCTGTCTTTCTTTGTGAGAATTTTATTGTTATTTGTTTCAAGAGTATTTTTAATTTCTCAGAGCATTTTTATGATAGCTAATTGAAAATCCTTGTTCAATAGCCTAAGATCTGAGTCATCTAGATGTCAGCACTTGTTGATTTTCTTTTTCTACTGAGTTAAAATGTTTTTAGTTCTTGATATGATTAATTTTAGACAACATGCTGAACATTTTGAGAATTATAAGATTATGGTTCCTATTTCAATCTATTTTAGCAGATTGTCAGCTTGTTCAATTTCAGAATGTATGTCCTAGCTCAATTTTGTGGCTATGGGTCATATGTGGGTAAAATGTCAATTTAGTTTATAAAGCATCAACAGTGCTATTACTGTCTGCCCCACTTGTGTTACCCAGATGACAAGATTCTTCCCTACAGTCTCTGCAGTGCTATCTTGAGATGTGGAGGGATGCCACCTCATTATTCAGAGAAGGAAAGGATGACAGAGTTTTGCTCACAGGCTTTACTGAGGGAGATTTACTGTGGGTAGGAGTAGGAGGTTGACATCACAGCTCCACCCACAAACTCCAGGAGAGTAGGACACTGCCTTGTCACTGTAGGGAGAGTTAAGGCTGAATTTTGCACACTATCTCTGCTGTTAGAACATTCATTGAAGGTAGAGTGTATAGCTATAATTTTTCTGCTCCCATTGGTATTTTTTTTTTATTTTATTTTAGGTTCAGGGTACATGATCAGGTTTGCTAAACAGGTAAATTGTGCGTTGTGGTTGTGGGGCTTTGATGTACAGATTATTTTGTCACCCAGATAATAGGCATAGTACCCAATAGACAGTTTTTCAATCCTCACTCTCTTACCAGCCTCCACTCTCAAGTAGGTCCCGGTGTCTCTTGTTCCTTTCTTTGTGATCATAATGTACTGAATGTTTACCTCCCACTTATAAGCGAGAACATGTGGTATTTGGTTTTGTGTTCCTGTTTAGTTTCCTTAGGATAATGGCCTCCACCTCCATTCCTGTTGCTGCAAAAGACATAATCTCATTCTTTCATGGTGTATATGTACCACATTTTCTTTATCCAGTCTACCACTGATGGGCATTTAGGTTAATTCCATGTCTTTTTTATTGTGAATAGTGCTGTGAAAAACATATGTGTGCATGTGTCTTTATGGTAGAACAATTATATTCCTTTGGGTATATATCCAGTAATGGTATATAGCCTTATCTCTGTCCTATCTCTTTCTCCATTTCCTCTTTAAGGCCAATAACTTTTAGATTTGCTTTTCTGAGGCTATTTTCTAGTTCCTATAGGCGTGCTTCATTGGCAGGTCACGTCCCCTCCCCAGTCCACTGTCACTGGGCCTAGTTCAGCACTAGGACCTTGCCTAAGAGTTGCAGTCCTTATGGCCTAGATTGCCTTTCCAGTTTACTTGGAGACACAGAGCACTGTAGCCCTCTGTGGGGAGGTCTGCAGGAACTCAAATTCTGATCCTCTGGGATTTGCAATTCCCCTCTGGCTAGGGCTGGTTTAAATGCTCCCTCTATGGGCAACATCAGCTGAGCTTGGTCCCATTTTTCTTTCTGCTCTAACAGGGCAGCACTGAGTTCAATTCCTCCCAATTGCTCTGTTCTCCCTCCCCCAGTACTCAGAGATGCTCTCCACACCCTGAAGCTGCTGCTGGGCTGGGGGTGAGCTGGCGGGGGAGGAGTGTTGTCAGCAATTCAGGACTTTTTTTTTCTATGTCTTCAGTGCCTCTTTCAGGGATATAAAGTTAAAACCAAGTACTATGAGTGCTCACCTGACTTTTGTTCTTATGAAGGTGTTTTTGTTTGTTTTTCGGTATAGATTGTTGTTAACTTGGTGTCCTTGCAGGGGGGACTATCAGTGGAGCTTTGAATTCTGCCTCCAGATCCAGCTTTACATCTGGTGTCATTTCCCTTCTGCTTGTAAAACTTCTTTAAAATTTTTTGTAGTGCATGTCTATGACAAATTCTTTCAGGTATTGAATACTGAATTCCTTGAGTTCTCATATATCTGAAAAACTACTTTGCCTTTATTTGTTACAGACATTTCCATAGATAAAAGTGTTCTAGAATTACAGGGTTTTTTTTTTTTCTTTCTTTCAGTACTTTAATGATGTGGCTCTATGTTTCTCTTTGCCACTAGTTAAGCAATTTGCTAATGTTCTGATGTATTTTTTTATATAAGTTTATTTTGCTTGTGGTTCATTGAGCTTTTTGAATCTCTGGCTTTACACATTTCATCAAATGTAGAAAATTTTTGGCTATTTTTATATCAGTTCTTAATTTTTTTAGTTTTAAAAATTTTAATTATTATAGATACATATTAGTTCTACATACTAGTTCTACATACTTATGGGGTACGTGTAATATTTTGATACAAGCATACAATGTGTAACAATCAAATCAGGGTTTGGTGTATCTATCACCTCAAGCATTTATTATTTGTGTTATAAATATTCCAATTCCACTCCTGTAGTTATTTTGATACATACAATAAATTATGGTTAACTATAGCCACGTTATTGTGCTACCAAACACTAGACCTTATTCCTTCTATCTAAATGTACTTTTGTACCCATTAACCATCCCCTCTTTATTCCTTGCCTTCCCATCACCCTTCCCAGCTTCTGATAACAACCATTCTACTGTCTATCTCCATGAGTTCAATTATTTTTATCTCCCACCTATTTGTGAGAACATGTAATATTTATCTTTTGGTGCCTGGCTTATTTCACTTAGCATAATATCCTCCAGTCACATCCATGGGAGCACATATTTACAAACTATCCATTTGACAAGGAATTAACAACCAGAATATATATGGAGCTAAAACAACTAATAGGAAGAAAAACAAATAATCTGATTTAAAAGTGGGTGAAAGATCTGAATAGACATTTCTCAAAAGAAGACAGACAAATGGCCAATATGGTATATGAAAAATGATCAACATCATTACTAGTGAGGGAAATGCAAATTAAAACGACAGTGAGATATTATTTCACCCCAGTAAAAATGCCATCTATCCAAAAGGCAAGCAATAACAAATGCTGGTGAGGGTGTGGCAAAAGGGGAGCCTTTGGATGTTTTTGGTGGAAATGTTAGTTAGTACAGCCACTATGGAGAACAGTATGGAGGTGCCTCAAAAAACTAAAAATAGAACTACCATATGATCCAGCAGTCTCACTGCTGGCTATATATGCAGAAGAAAAGAAATCAGTACATTGGAGAGATATCTGCACTCTGGTGTTTATTATAGCACTATGCACAATAGCCAAAATGTGGAATCAACCTAAGTGTTCACTAATGGATGAATGAATAAAGAAAATGTGGTACATGTACACAATGAAATATTATTCAGCCATTAAAAAGAATGAAATCATGTCAGTTGCATGGAACTTAATTTTTTTCTATTCTCTCCTCCCTTGGAAATTTTTATTGCATTAATTATTAGGCCATTATATATTTTCTTAAGGTTCATGTAAACTTTGCTAACATTTTAGTTCTCTTTTTTCCTCTCCAGATTTCATTTTGAATAGTTTCCATTGTTATGTCTTTAGGTCTGCCAATATTTTCTGCTGCAGTGTCTAATTTGCTTTTAATCTCAACCTAGACACTAGTTTTCATCTCTAGAATTTCAATTTGAGTCTTTTCTTATATCTTAAATGTGTCTACAAAATTTATTCAATTATTTTCAATGACTTACCTACAAATTTTATTATCTATATCATTTCTGTAACAGTTTTAATTGATTTTTTTTGACATTTCAGGTGGTGTTTTTTTTTTTCTGCTACTTTGCATTCCAGCTAATTTTTTCATTTGCTACAGAGGTTGTTAATTTTAGTAAGTTGGGTCCTGGATATTTTCTGTTTGTATAAATATTCCTGAGCTTCAATCTGGAATATAGTTATCTGGAAACAGTTTCATCCTTTCAGGTCTTGCTTTTAAAATATTTTAAGCAAAATGAGAGCAATATTTATCCTCAGGCTATTTTTGCTCTATTTTAGGGGGCAAAACCCTTCTCAGTATTTTACTTTATGTTCTTTGTGTTGTGAGGGTTTCTGCTCTTGCTGGTGGACATAACACTATTCTTAGGCTTAAGCGATTTTTTTTCTTCAATTCTTTTGGGTGTTCTTCCTCAGCCTTAGGTAGTTTCTTCACATGCATATGTTGATCAGAACTCTGCAGAATACCTGCGAGGGACCCTCTGAGACCTACGATCTCTACAATTCTCTCTCTATGAAACTTTTTCTTCACTGTTACATTGCCCTGTAAATTTGATCTGCCTTGGCCTTCGCGAATCTCCACCCGATTAATTCAGGGAGACCTCTGAGTTCTCTGTGGGTTGCCCTTCTCTGTTGTATGACTGGAATTTTCTTCAGGTAGTAAATTGATGCAATATTAGTTTGGTTTTTTTTTAATACAAGATTATTTTTTAGGTCGAAGGGTAAATTCAGCTTACGTCATCTTCCAAAGGTTTGTGAAACTTGATTCATATCAAAATAAGTCAAAAATGAGGAATGCCTGTCTCTCCCTTAAGAGTCTCAATAGAGAAGAAAATTACATTGACATATGTAGTCTTCACTAAGCAATCTCTAAATAATATTCTCCTAAGGATAATTTGTTATGTTTTTACTAAGACTAGACATTATAAACACACACACACACACACACACACACACACACACACACACACGACATTGAAACACTGAGGCAAAACTTTATGGACATCTATTATGAAAAAATAGTTCTATTTATTCTTTTGGAGTAAGAGGCTCCTATGAAGTGGTGGAGAGGGTAGTCTTTGAATGGAACAGAAGTCAAATAAATTCTGCATGTATCACTCTCTAATCAGGTGATTCAGAGCATGTTACTTGAGCTATGTTTTTATTTTCTCATCTATAATATTTAGATACTAATTCATAGTTCATAGAAATTTCCTAAGAGTTAATTAATAGAAGTCTAAAAAGTTTCTAACCCTGTGTGAGGCAAAGAGTATCTATTCAGTAAAATATAATAGCTGTTGTGATTATTATCTCTTTATCCTTAATGAATGGAAGTCAATATAGGTTATCATCTTTTCTTCCCAAAGCTGAGATTCTTCACTATGCATCCTCAGATTCAATTAATTCCATTCTATTCTTATATTTAACTTTATCATGCATGTGAACATTTCTTAAATGTTGTCAAATAAGATGTTCCCTTAGCTTTCTTTAAGGCGGAAATTATGCTGAGAAATTCTATATTTCTGGCATTTGCCTTCTCTTTGCTTCAGCAACAAAAGTGTCTGTTTACTTTCTAGGAGATACCATTTTTTTCAGATTAAATATTTTCCAAATAATTTTGGAGACGTAATTATCCAAGATTGAGAGAACCATGGTAAATTTATAAGATTATTTACATTACTTAAGGCTTTCTTTATGTCCTGTGGAGTTATCTTTAATGGTGAACAAAACTTGACTGTAGCCTGTGGTGAGATTGTAGATATCTGAAAGTTTTTTCCTTCTTTGCATACCTATTGTCTATCAAGGTCAGATCAACTCAGGAGCAAGTCTTGTGAAAGCTGGTATTTCTAATTACAAATTCAGGAGAGTAAAGGGCAGGTGTGGGAAATACCTCAGGTACTATGGAGAACAGCAGTCATTCTGACTTTTTGTATTTAATATTTTCCTCACCTCAATAGGCCGTACAGAAAACATATGGATATGATTTTAAAAAACAAGGAAAAGAGTTGGGCTTTTTAGAGGTCATAGGTTATATTCATGATATTAATAAATAGTGATGAAATAAAAGTTCTCAGAGAAATACAGACATTCAAAAAGGTAATAAAAAATGAATTCCAATTTAAGCATATCACACATTTCAAAACCTGCTAACTCTTAATGTGAATTATTGAAAATAGCACATTAGAGAAAGATTGTACATTAAATCTAGTTATGATCCTTGAATTTTATTCTTCTTCTGTGAAAACTATAGAAACTTTTTAAAATTCCAATTAAAATAGTTCACCTCATTTTATAAAGCCCTTCACAGATTCTTTTTTCGTTCCAATCATCATTTCACTTCCAATTTCCCTTTTGTTATCAAGGGCATTTTAATCGACAGTTCATCTGGCATAATTTATTGTCATCATTATATATGAGTTTCTCTTCAGACATAACCGAACATAATGATACCCATGTGATTAATAATCTCACTATAGCTATCAAGTATAGTTTCTTTCAGCTCTTTAGTTGTCTGGAACATAATATTCTTCCTAGTATTTTAGGTCTTGTCTTATGCTTTGTTACTTTTTGTTTCTAATAACAATGCAGGCTAATCTTGTTTTGGTTTTTTTATTTTTCATTTTAATTTCTATTAATATTTGTTTAAAGTTTTTGTTAAAAATGTTTCTGTTCAATTTTGTTTTCATATATGTTTGCATTTCCTTCTAATTTTTGCTTATAAAAAGTCTTGGGCACTAGACCTGTACTTTAGCTTTAATTTTGAAGACATTTTATATAGCTCTTCTAAATATTTAATTTTTAAACATTAAATAATATTTTTAGTTTAAAATCTAATTTTGAAAATATGGCTTTCCATATGAAGTCTTAGAAAAATTTTGAATGTAAATGTTTTCTAAATACCTAATTTTTTTTCTAATTTTGCACATACATAAAAGTATAAAAGGACATGGTTAACAGCTAGTTCTATAGTTCTATGACTTTTATCTAAATCCAAGGGATGCTAAAAATTTGAATCTTAGTTGAATACTCTTACATTATCTTAGTTGAATTCTCTTACATTTAATGTTTTCTCATGAAAACATTTATGCGAGAACTAAGATAAATGAGAATTTGAATAAGGACTATCAACTGGACCAAACACCTATCCCTTGATGAGATTATTTATAAAGTAATGAATAACTGATATTGATGGGATATAGCAGTACCAGAGATAGGAGCTAGTCACAGATCTCTAGGAGGGCTGCATGACCAGCTGATCATCATGTACATCTAAGAGGGCTATGTGTTATTCTAGGTTTAAAAGTCAAGGGATCCTAGAGTTGAAGACTTACTTGAGCTGAGAGCTGTGCCCTCACTCAGCTTTATCTCTTGTGATCACATATCTCCCAAGTGACTGAGTAATCAGAAACATTGCACTGGTATATACAAGCATGGTAACTTGCTGTCTGTCCTGTATCCTTTCTGAAAACTAAGTAATGTGTGTGATAAATCCTATTGTCTCTCATGAGCTCAATATGCAATAGAAATTTAAACCGTTAATGTAAAACACAAGCATTTCAAAATGTTATCTTGGGATATGTTTAATATTTATAAAAATGTTTATATCTCTGCAGAAATATTGATAATATTCTTAATTTTGACTTATTTGTCATAGTTATAAAAAGAATGAAGCTTTTATTATCAATCATTTTTTCACATCATTACATTTATTTAACACATCATTTCAGCAAATATTTGTTGATCACTTAATATAAGTCAGTCAATATCTAGGCAATGAAACCTTAGCAATAAAAAAATTCAAAGTCTGTTCTCTAGGAAGTCATATTCTGGTAGAAACAGATAATTAAAAAACAAAAAAATTCTAAGAATAGTAAGTGCTATGAAAAAATAAAACACAATAAGGAAATAAAAAATGAGAATGATGGAAGACGTAATTTCAGTGAATGTCTCCATACATTGCTAGATTTAAAAAAAAAAGTGTGCTTATTAATGATGTTAAGGTGAACTTTGATGTTTGCTTTTCCTAAACATTTGCCCTAAAAGCAATATCCATTGCATTACTTTTATCAAATGAATAAATATTCATCTGAATGGATAAAGTTGAAAAGATTCGTTTTTCACTGTCAAGTCACTCTCTATCAAAATGCATATTGGGCTGTTGGTCTTGGAGACAATGACTATGGCCAACACGTAAAATGTGTAAAGTGTTTCTCAGTGTTACAGTTTTGTCATCTTTAATATCAAAATAGCCAGTAAATAAATCAAATGTGTATGACTGAAATGCTAGCAGGTGCTGGGGGAGGTTTGGTTACTTATTTCTATATCTTATCTTAGGACTGTAGAGTGTAAGTAAGCAAAGTAAATACTTAAGATTTTCTTTTGTACTTTTATCTGAAGAGGATGTTAAGCAGAAGTGGTATCACTGGATTCATCATAGTCATTTTAAATTATATGAAATATAGGGATTTAATAAGTATTTATTGAAGGAATAAATGACTTACTGGTTCACTTAAGTACAGAGAAGGTTCTCCAACTTGAAAATGTTAAAACAAGATAAAATTCAACAACAACAATAAAACAAATACAACAATCTTTCTCTGATAGATGATTACTCAGTAAACATTCTGCATACTGTTGATAGAGTTAACACCATGATAGATGTGGCTAAAGGAAATAACAATACTTGATCTCCATGAGCTTAAACTATTTGAGAAGACAAAAACAACTTGGAGGAAACTATAGGGAATTGTATGAGACAGTAATTGAATGATGCTCTGATTTTCTGACACTTTTATGAAGTGTCGATGTTAATTAAGGTTTGACTTTGCAAGAGATACGGTAGTTGAAGAGTTATTTTAAATGACCAATAAAGAAGTCACAGATTTTCAAACTTCAGTGTAATTTAGAAAATATAAATTCAGATATTTAACGCAATACAATAAGCTTCTTGCCAGAAAATTTCTTTTGAAATATAAACACACATATCTCAACTCTAAGAGATAGTACATTCACTCATAATTTTCAGGTAGATTAGAAGGTTTGGCTGATTTTGAAAATCTTAGCACTTTTCAAGTCATAGCACTAACATCCAGTTGTATGTGATGTTCATTTAGTGCCAAATATCAGATTGCAAATGGAAAAATAAAGACTGTTAACCAGGTGTTTTAAACCTGGAAATTCTACAGCATCATAAAACTAAAATGAATAAAATTCTTCAATAGCAAAGATTTTATTTAATCTGATATTATCTTCTTTTTAACCCTTATTATAACATGGGTTGCAATATTATTCTCTTTGTTTCTCAAAGAATTATATTGGGAAGAAGATTTTAATTATGAAAAGATTTTCTGGTAGTCAAAGTATTTTCCTTGTCCTATTCTTTACAAAATAATTTCTGGTTTTATTTTTGTGTGATAACAGATATTTGAGCATATTTTCTATGCTTACAATAAACTTTTCACACTACCACAGATCCTCAGTTTTCTGAAACTTTGTTTAGAACTTACATTTTAATCTCAGAGGTCTGCAAATAGCCAGAAAAATTCAAGAACATGTTATCCAGAACACTTGAATTCCAATTTTCTTTTAAATTCCATTATTTTACAATTTTTTGCATGCTTTATACAACTTTGAAGGATCGAAACAACTTCAGCCATATTGGAGTGAAGTTTTATTTTGATGAGTTTTGACTTGCAAAGCATTAGTCACAGGCAATTGAATGTTATGGAGTGAAACTAGATTTCTCAATGAAATTATCATTAACTGCGTAACGTTTATAATACATGTCACTTCCGGTCATTGGATTTCTGGATTTTAAAATTACATAAACCACTAGTATTGTTTGTATCCTTATGTAGAATATAAGAGGTTTATAGGGGTATCATTCTATTCTAATTATTTTTTTACTAAGAATTTCAGCTTAAATCACTGCACTAAGGAAAGGAATAGCACAGATTGATAATTCCTTCATAATATTCAGCGAGAATGTCACTAAGTGATTGGGACCTTTGTAGATCAGAGTTAGTGTGAAAATTAAGGAAAAAAATAAAATGAAAATATTTTCAAAAGAGCAATGTAACTATAAGATATTATGTACATTTCTGTAAGAGGAATCATGTTTTAAAATTTTATTTGTAGTAATACTATTTTAGATCTTGCCAACTAATTCCAGCTTATAATTTACATTAAGCATGCAGAAAAGTAGTTAACCCTAAAGTCAGGTAGAATTTTTAGTATTTCTTTTAGCATAGAAAATGTCATATTATTCATGTTTCTGCCTACTGAGAGTTTGTTTTTGGCTTGAACTTTAATAAGCAAGTGATTCTGACAGCCAAAGATAGTTTTGTCCTCACCAAAATGAAAGAGATACTACTTTTCAAAAACATGTAGGCTGAAAAGGCTCAAAGAGAAATAATGGGTTGTCATAACTTTGTAGTTTGATAAATAGGTCTATTGTTAAGGTAATTACACTTCTTATTTAATAGGGTAAGTTCATTCATTCTTAAAAATATCTTTACAACCATAATAAAGTCTCAATAATTAATCTTTTTAACAATTATTGAATAGCTAACCCTGAGAAATACTATGAGAATCAAGACTCTTTCTTGTTCCTGATTTTGGTTTGGTTTGGACTGATCATTGTGCTTTTTATTGAGATATATTTTACATACAGTAAAATGCACAAATCTTAATTGAATAGCTTGATGTCTTTTTCATAAACACCCATGTACCCATCGTTCAGATCAAAATAGAGAACTTTTCCATCACCCCAGAAAGATCCCTGATGCTTTCCTGGGTTTAAGTGATAACCTCTTTTCTGATTTCCATCTTTGTAGAATAGTTTTGCCTGGTCTTAAACTCCATATGAATAGAGTCATCTTTTGTGACTGGCTATTTTCCCTCAAAATAATGTTCATGAAGCTGTTTAAACAAAGTAGGCTATAACTTGGATATTCCCATACAAAATTTGCTGTGTATTTCTGAGAAATAAATTAGCTGATAAGGCTTGTCAAAGACAGTGTCTTCTAATCTATTGTTTTATACCACAATATACCGCATCCCAAATCATGTGTATCCGATTGCCCGTCACATGATACTCAATCAATATTTGCAGGGTGAATAAACAATTACCAGTTACTAGCATGCCAGGGAATCTTTGTCTTGTCTGTGCCAAGAAGTTGTATTTCTATTCCTCTGTTCCCTAGAATAGAGTGTGTCTGACAGCAGTCATTCAAGGATGATTTGTCAGATGACTAAATCATTAGCAAACTCAAAGGACTTTTTACTATTCTTCTTTCATCATCTTGGTATGATGAAATCAGAGTTTGTACTCATGACATGTATTTGCTTGAGAAAAAGATATTGATCCACTAAGGCTTTTAAATAAGAACTATGTTCAATAAAATAGACCAGGTCAGAGCACAATGAGTAGTGTCCCCTTGGTCAATGTGATTGACTTTACACACTGAATGAACTGCATGAAGAGGGGATTCAAAAGGAAGCAACTTAAATACCTGGTATTAGCTATCAGAGAGAATGGAAGTTTCTCTTAGTGAAAATAATTTTGGGCCCAAGGTTGGGCCATTGGTTCTTGCCAAGAGGGCATGATGGCCTGGCTCTCTGACCTTGACTCAATTGGCTTAACTGTTTAGTCCTTAGTTGCTCTCCTTGAAAAGCCACTGTCTCATAGGCATGTGGTAAGGATCAATGAAAATCTCTTAGTAAAAGAAAAACATTACATTTGAATTCAATTATCATTTTTAACATGCTTTTCCAATGTTATCTCGTAAACTGGGTCACAACTACTTTGCTAAGTGGTTTGATATTGAAAATCCGGTTATGATGCTTAAAGGGTTTTAAGGGTTAAGATGTTTTTGTCTTTGTTTTGTTTTATGAAAATCAAGGGGCATCTTAAAGCATTTATGAATTACCCAAACTATTTCTTCATTCACCACTTTGAGTTTTAGCTCCTGGGGAGTGTTCTTTAGAAAAACTATATATGCTGCAACATAATGACTGATTGGACACATTTTTTTATTTTATTTTATTATTATTACACTTTAAGTTTTAGGGTGCATGTGCACAATGTGCAGGTTAGTTACATATGTATACATGTGCCATGCTGGTGTGCTGCACCCATTAACTCATCCTTTAGCATTAGGTATATCTCCTAATGCTATCCCTCCACCCTCCCCCCACCCCACAACAGGCCCCAGAGTGTGATGTTCCCCTTCCTGTGTCCATGTGTTCTCATTGTTCAGTTCCCACCTATGAGTGAGAACATGCGGTGTTTCGTTTTTTGTTCTTGTGATAGGTTACTGAGAATGATGATTTCCAATTTCATCCATGTCCCTACAAAGGACATGAACTCATCATTTTTTATGGCTGCATAGTATTCCATGGTGTATATGTGCCACATTTTCTTAATCCAGTCTATCATTGTTGGACATTTGGGTTGGTTCCAAGTCTTTGCTATTGTGAATAGTGCCACTATAAACATACGTGTGCATGTGTCTTTATAGCAGCATGATTTATAGTCCTTTGGGTATATACCCAGTAATGGGATGGCTGGGTCAAATGGTATTTCTAGTTCTAGATCCCTGAGGAATCGTCACACGGACTTCCATAATGGTTGAACTAGTTTACAGTCCCACCAACAGTGTAAAAGTGATCCTATTAATCCACATCCTCTCCAGCATCTGTTGTTTCCTGACTTTTTAATGATTGCCATTCTAACTGGTGTGAGATGGTATCTCATTGTGGTTTTGATTTGCATTTCTCTGATGGCCAGTGATGGTGAGCATTTTTTCATGTGTTTTTTGGCTGCATAAATGTCTTCTTTTGAGAAGTGTCTGTTCATGTCCTTCGCCCACTTTTTGATGGGGTTGTTTGTTTTTTCTTGTAAATTTGTTTGAGTTCATTGTAGATTCTGGATATTAGCCCTTTGTCAGATGAGTAGGTTGCAAAAATTTTCTCCCATTTTGTAGGTTGCCTGTTCACTCTGATGGTAGTTTCTTTTGCTGTGCAGAAGCTCTTTGGTTTAATTAGATCCCATTTGTCAATTTTGGATTTTGTTGCCATTGCTTTTGATGTTTTAGACATGAAGTCCTTGCCCATGCCTATGTCCTGAATGGTATTGCCTAGGTTTTCTTCTAGGGTTTTTATGGTTTCATGCATAGGAAGAATCAATATCGTGGAAATGGCCATACTGCCCAAGGTAATTTACAGATTCAATGCCATCCCCATCAAGCTACCAATGACTTTCTTCACAGAATTGGAAAAAACTACTTTAAAGTTCATATGGGGCTGGGCGCGGTGGCTCACGCCTGTAATCCCAGCACTTTGGGAGACCGAGGCGGGCGGATCACGAGGTCAGGAGATCGAGACCATCCCGGCTAAAATGGTGAAACCCCGTCTCTACTAAAAATACAAAAAAATTAGCCGGGCGTAGTGGCGGGCGCCTGTAGTCCCAGCTACTTGGGAGGCTGAGGCAGGAGAATGGCGTGAACCCGGGAGGTGGAGCTTGCAGTGAGCCGAGATCCCACCACTGCACTCCAGCCTGGGCGACAGAGTGAGACTCCGTCTCAAAAAAATAAAAAAAATAAAAAAAATAAAGTTCATATGGAACCAAAAAAGAGCCTGCATCGCCAAGTCAATCCTAAGCCAAAAGAACAAAGCTGGAGGCATCACACTACCTGACTTCAAACTATACTACAAGGCTACAGTAACCAAAACAGCATGGTACTGGTACCAAAACAGAGATATAGATCAATGGAACAGAACAGAGCCCTCAGAAATAACACCGCATATCTACAACTATCTGATCTTTGACAAACCTGAGAAAAACAAGCAATGGGGAAAGGATTCCCTATTTAATACGTGGTGCTGGGAAAACTGGCTAGCCATATGTAGAAAGCTGAAACTGGATCCCTTCCTTATACCTTATACAAAAATTAATTCAAGATGGATTAAAGACTTAAACATTAGACCTGATTGGACACATTTTAAACTCATTAAAAAAACAGCAGCCTCTGAATGATACCCTCTGAGTCTTCTCAGGTTGAGACCATTGTGTTGATGATGCTCCCTAAGAAATCTGGTTGGATTTAACAGACAAATATGAATTCAAAACATTACAATGGAAAGCAGCACCAAATCTAGAGTGGCTGCATCAGAATTGATTTGCTGTAAATTACATTGGGAGGTGAGTATAAATGCCCATACACTGCCTTTGACTTATCAAAAATTTATTATATATTATTTTTATTATTATTATTATTTATTATGTCTTACTCCCCCACTCACCTCTAACCACACTTCTCCATACAAGCACACCCAGAGCCTTGCTCACAGCACAGTTTGGCTCTAGAATGTTTAGATCAAGAACCTGCATATTCTGCATTCCATTTTTGTACTTATAGATGTGCAGAATGCATAATATGCCCTATTTTGTCAGTGTTGACTTCAGGGCTAACCCCAAAAAACCAGGAATTTCTCTTGTTTTTCTCACTCAAATATCACTCCATATTCATACCTTTCAGTGAGTTTGTACCCAGCTGAATCCAGACATAATTCATATTTTGTTATGAATTATTAACATTTTACATTTCCCTGACTTGCATACCAATTATCCCACATTGCCAAAGCAAATGGAATAGTTGGTATGCAAGTCAGGGAAATGTAAAATGTTATGTATCGTTTTTCTTTCTTTTTAAATCCCAAGACTGTACGTGGTGATTGCTCTACATAAGAGGGATCTCCTAATTGGTGGGAAACAGGTGATGTACCTGGTTTGAGGACAGTAGTAAATGCTTTTGCAGAATTCTCAGTGGGCTTTTCTGCTTGTTTCCTCCATTCTTCCCACCATGCCCACTGGTAAATGCACATTACTTTCTTCTTCAGTGGAATGTTAGGATTATTTATAATTTGTTATACCCTTTTCTCACATACAGCCCTTCGTTAGTTGAAAGCACTAAAGAATTACTTCTCAGCATCTTTGTTGCGTACAGTATCTAAGTTGAGTCCTGCAGCACATCGCTCTGCATGCCAATGAGGAAGCATCTGGTCCATCCGGGCTTCCACTGGAGGCCACCCAGCATGATTCTTCCTTTTCAGCAAGAATGAATAGCAATGACACTTCATTTCCTCCTCTTGAATTAGGAGGAAAAGCAGAAGTGTACAATATGATGGTAGACTGGATACCATAGAATATCGTGGTAGACTGGATAAGTAATAATGACATATCATTGCATAACAGCTTTCTTTTTGTTTAATTTTTGAGAATATAAGACCTATTTTGCATAGTATATTACAAAGAGTGAAGTCAGGTTAGGTAAAAGAGAAACTTCATGTTAAATATGTTGAGATAACCATTACAACAGTTGACAAGCAGTTAGTTCTCTCTTATCTTTCAGCCAGATGACAGTATTATAATTGTCCAAGTAAATTAAAATAGAGATGAAACCTATAGAATTCCTGAACAGACAAAGCCAGTTAGACTTCATAAGTGACCTTAACGTTGCTTGATTTGCAAACACAAGCCAAACTTAACTTGAGCTATTTCTTATAAATCTCTATATTAAAAATAGAACTCAAGCTCAAACAATCACAAACACTCAACAAACTTATCATTATATAACTGGCGACTTTCCAGTAGGATACACCAAGTAAGGCAACTTTGTAACTGTAACCAACCAAATAATTTCTTCTTTATTATGTTTGCATTCACTCTAAAAGTCTGTTCATAATGCTTCCTCAATGGAGCCCTCAGAACATTTCTGGTTTGGAGCTGCTGAATTCATGAATTGCTGTTTATTTACATAAATTCTTTAAAATTTGATTGCACCTTAGTTTACCTTTTTAACATAATTAGCCACCTCTCTGAAATCAGCTGTGGCCATGTGATTTTCTTTGGCCAGTGAAATGCAAGTGAAGTGACATGTGTTACTTCTGGACAAAAGCTTTAAGAGTCAGTACATGCTCACTATTTTCTCTTTTACTTCCACAACAACAACATGCAATAATGTCCCAGAGACTGGCTGCTCTGTCAGCTAAGGTCCCAAAGTGAGGATGGTCTAGAATGTACCTCTCAGAAACCCACAATAAACATGTACTGTGAGTGAAAAATTAGCCTTGTTAGGTTAAGCCTCTGAGATTTAGTTTCCTTGCTTTTATCGCTTCATTGCAATCATTGTACACTGTCTAATTTCTTCACATATTTTCTCTAAATCCTGAGGAAAAAAATGTTGTGTGCCCAGATTTTCACATAGCTTCTCCTATTAAGGCCTATGTATATTTCCATTGACTTCATTAACTGTATTCACTGTAAAATAAAAGGATATTTTACAGATGTTTTCTTAAAATTAGGTCTTCCCTTCCCTCTCATGCAAGGTGTCCTTACTTTCATTGAAATACCTCTTAGGATTTCTTATAATAATACATATTCTCTCTATAAAAACAGAGAGAGAGAGAACTTTTATCAAACTTCATCATTACAAATACACAGCATCCTTTATTTTAATAATCTGTATAATTAAATTTATACATTTCATTATCTGTTCAGAGTGAAACTGAATTTGTCCTTCATAGGAGAACAGCTGTCAAAAAGACTCGTAAGATCGTTTCAATTTACCTTCACATATGGACTTAAAAGTTCCCTATTAAATCTCCCATCATTTTATGTGGTGACAATCTGTTCATCATCTCTCCAAACTAATGTGAGTCTATTTCCCAGTATTTACTACAGTATCTCTTCCCCAGTTGATGCTCACTGACATTTCTCAAATAAAATAATGTCATTCCTTTATTTGAAACTACAAGTGAACAAGAAAGACCAACCAAATGAATATTCAAATGCATCTTTATGTAGAATCATCATATTCATTTGCCCTGTATAAGTACATACAGCACATGCAGAGCTGGGTAGAGGCACATCTTCCCTTTTCTGTATAAAGCAGGAATATAAGTTGCCTCTTCTCCAATTCTTGTAATAACATATATTTTTTTAAAAAAATTCTGTCTCTTGGGTACTTTGCAAGTTTGTACCTGACCTTGGGTCTTTACTTGTGGCTTGGTTATATTTTACGCATTTTTTTTTTTTTTTTTGACAGAGTTTCACTCTTGTTGCCCAGGCTGGAGAAATGGCACGATCTTGGCTCACTGCAACCTCCATCTCCCAGGTTCAAGCCATTCTCCTGCCTCAGCCTCCCAAGTAGCTGGGATTACAGGTGCGCACCACCATGCCCTGCTAATTTTTTGTATTTTTAGTAGAGACAGGGTTTCGCCATGTTGGTCAGGCTGGTCTCGAACTCCTGACCTCAGGCAATCCACCTGCTTCGGCCTCCCAAAGTGCTGGGATTACAGTCGTGAGCCACCACGCCTGGTCCATACTACTGTGTTTTAATGGATCATTAGAATGGTGTCAGAGCCATTTCAAGACCTGTGTTTGTGGCCCAATAATGGGAGGCTTAGCTAATGTCACATAGAATATGTTCAAAAAGATCAGCCATGACTTCTTCCAGGATTACTACTCATAACACTTGGCAAAAATTTGAAGAGAGCCAGAAAATAATGAGGGAGAGACTTGACCTGCTTCCTGCCATGTATATTTTATTGTTACTGCTTTATGTACTTATTGGTTAATGTAATAAACTCAATATACTCTGAAAAAGTTGGTGGAGATGTTTTTGTTTTCAGCCACAAAGGATTAGCTGATACACGTGTTCGCTAAATATTAGCTCTAAAATAGACGCCTCTGTAACCCATCTTAACAGATTAAGAGCAGGAGAATAAAGCCAGAGACAACATTGAAAACTTTTGTGGTGAGGACTGTGAGTAGCAGTGAAGAGCCTGGACTCCAGAGCCATCAGACCCAGTTTCAATTCATCGCTCTTACTAGCTGGATGATGTGAGATAGGTAACGAACCTCAATGTCCTTATTTGTAAAATGAGAATTAAAGTTGTGCCTAATTTATAGAGCTGTTTTGAAGATTACGTAATAGAATGCTTATAGGATGCTTAAGGGCCTGGCATCTATGAAGTGTTCAATAAAAGTTTACCATAATTTTTGTGTTAAGGTTGTTTTTTTAATATTATTATTATAAATGAAAGCTTGATATCAGAGCTGAAACTACTTTTAAGCATCTAAACAAAGGAGGGGACTTCTGATTTTTTTTTTTAATCTAAAAAGCCAAGAACTAGGGCAGAATCATGAAAACGGCGAGTCCCTTACCTCAAATATTGCACAGATTTTTGTAATAAAGTAAATAATCCATCACCCAGAGAAATTATCAAATGATACAAATGAATAACAGTATGATCAAGCACAAGCATGATCATTGTGAGATGAAATTTGGTGTGTATGGGTGAGAGGAATTTTAGAGGTGACAAATTCTTAGGCTAAGAAAATATTATAAGCTTAAGTAAAAATTAATAGAGGGTAAGAGCAATCTGTTTAACCTGTAAATACTGAAGAGCTGCAGAGCACAGAGCTTTGTGTGTATGGGTGTGTGTGTGTGTGTGTGTGTGTGTGTGTGTGTGTGTGTGTATGTGCATATGTGAGTTTAAATATTTTGACAAGGAATTGTGATGTTAAAGTTATTTTAAAGTTTTCAGTTTTCTCAAGTAACTGAGACAACTGGCTATCTGTAATCTAAAATATTTAATTATGAGGAATATATAAACAACTGTGTTCCTGACTTATGTGATGCGCATTTGTGTTTGTTGAGTGGGATAGTTTCATGAAGAGTCCATGGTTCTAAATTCTTTTCTTGCTGCATTTTGCTTGTGTCATTTAGACTATGATAAATATCTTATTTCATGTGGCACTGCACTAGACTACCCAAAGTGGCATTTGTTTGTATAGGTCAGTGGAAACATGGTATGGATACAGAGGTTAGATGAAACAAACCTTCAGAAGACACGTGAACACTAGGGCAATGCCATGAAGTAGAAGCACTAATGAGTAGTCTCATCACTGGTTCTCTTTCATGTAAGGGCCACTTTTGCATTTGCATCTTTTTCTCCCTCAGATAGTAAAATAGGCTTAAAATTGTTATCACATGTTATGACACTCAGGTGGTTTTCCATGAGTGAATGTCAACAAGGGTAAGATAGCATTTTTTAAAATATGTTTAACACTTTGGTATATTACGTTTCCAAAAATGGTTGCAACAATAGCACCCAACCTACATGATTATAACAATGTAATCTTTCCATTCAACTATTGAGAGAGGAAATATCTTTTCCTCCCCATGAATTTAGGCTGGCTCTTGACTTGTTTTGACCAATAGAATGCAAACTATTAACTTCTGACTTGAGCCTTCAGGGAATGGCAAATCCTGCCTTTAAATCTTGAAACCTCCTTGTTGGAATTCATCCACTTGTTGAGGAAGCCGAAGCATCCATGTCAAGAGATCTGCATGGGGAAGAAGTTCCTTACTGACACCCCAGCTGAGCTCCTTCCTGGCATTTTCCAGGTATGTAAGTGAAACCATTTTGGATTTTGTAGTCACAACCACCATCAACTCATGAGAAACTAACTGATACTGCATGAAATAGAGCTACCCAACTAAGTGCAGGCTAAATTCCTAACACTTAGAATCATGAGGGTATAAAATGGTTATTATTTTAAGCCACTGGTATATTTTATTTTTTTAAATTTTATCATGGTAGGCCGGGTGCGGTGGCTCATGCCTGTAATCCCAGCACTTTGGGAGGCCGAGGAGGGCGGATCACGAGGTCAGGAGTTCAAGATCAGCCTGACCAACATGGTGAAACCCTGTCTCTACTAAAAATACAAAAAAAAAATTAGCCGGGCCTGGTCGTGCATGCCTGTAATCCCAGCTACTCGGGAGGCTGAGGCAGAAGAATCACTTGAACCAAGCAGATGGAGGTTGCAGTGAGCTGAGATCAGGCCACTGCACTCCAGCCTGGGCAACAGTGCAACACTCTGTCTCAAAAAAAATAAAAAGTATCGTGGTAAAATATATGTAACAAAGTTCACCATTTAACTGTTTTAAAATATACAATTCAGTGGTATTAATTATATTTGCAATGTTGTCCAACCATTACCAGTATTCATTTCAAAACACTTTTCATCATTGAAAACAGGAACTCTGTACCCATTAAGCAATAATTCTATATCTCTCCCCAGCCTACTGGTAGCCTCTAAAATTGGTTTCCAGCTCTATACATTTGCCTATTCTAGATATTTCTTATAAGTGAAATCATACAACATTTGTTTTTTGTGTCTGGCATATTTAGCATGTTTTCAAGCTTCCTTCATGTTGTAGCATGGTATCAAAATTTTATTCTTTTTTATGGCCGAATAATATTCCATAATATGGACATGCAGCACATTTTGTTTATCTGTTCATCTGATGATGGATACTTGAGCTGTTTCCACCTATTGGCTACTGTGAATAATGTTGCAGTGAATAACGATGTACAAGTATCAGTTTGAATCATTGTTTTTCAATCTTTGGGGTAAATACCCAGAAGTGGAACTGTTGGGTCATATGGAAATCCTGTGTTTAACTTCTTGAGGAACTGCCAAACAGTTTTCCACAGCAGGTGCACCATTTTTTATTCCCATAAGGCCATTAAGTTTTAGAGTAGTTTGCCCTATAGCAACAAATCAAACAAGTACCATATTTATTAACAGTTATTACTTTAGAAGATCTTGAGGATACCATTAAAAATCTCAGATTTAGAGAAAGAAAAAAGATTTAAAACGTTTTCCAACTATATTAGTGGTTTTTATAGGAAAGTTCTCCAGCTGTCTGCACGTTCTAAACCTAATAAGGACATCTACAGAGTTTTATTAAATAACTCTAAGCATGCATGAAGCAATTCATTTGTATACTATATCCATCCACATGTCTATAATCCAGTTCATCTAAGTACAAAACACTGAATGTATTAAATTATTATCTGGTACTAAATTTGTCCTTATGATATTTGACATACTGCATAAATCCTCTTTTTCTACTTGCACATCCAGTACTCAATCATTCTTATAGTTCCTTGATAAAGGAATATCTTATATTTTGATTTTTAAAAGTTTACCAGCTGTAAGTAGAACAAAGAGAAGGGGAAGAAGGATACGAAAATGAAAAATAATTAGTGCTCTAAAAATTATTTCCCTAATATAAAAATAGCTCAAGTTTGAGAACACAGAATAACATAATACTTTTGAAGAGCCACAATACGTGTTAGCATATTAAGTATTAAACAAGTTCAATAGGGAAAAATTGTCTAACTTTAGTTTTACCAAGTATTTGCCAAAATTTATATGAACAGGAAATTCTATTTTCGTAGACATTTGTTTTCATGCCAGAAAATAAAAATTTGTTTCTCTAGGGTATGTCATTAAAAGGAATTTTCATTCTTTCTTGAATTTTCTCCTCAAAATATTACTAAAAAATATTCAAATTGGGTTATCACATAATCATAATCTGTACTTCATGGATGTTAATAACTATGTGCTTCTATGGTATACACGATGTTTCTAGTAATAACAAAAGCTAAACAGTATTCAAGTAAGTTATGTGAATTAATATAATATCTCCTAGGTTAGAGAACCTGCTTGGAGCATGTATGTCTCTCAATAGTTCTGGACTGGGGTAAGAGAGGAAGAGGCATGTGCATAGGAGTGGGAAGGGAAGAGGGAGAGTGTGAGTTGGGAATGGAGGTTAGTTAGAATAACAGAATTCTAGCGCTGGTTTTAAACTTTTGCTGTATATAGAATCACTTGGAGAGCTTTTCCAAATCCCTATGCTCAGGCCACATCCCAAACCAATTAAACCAGAAGCTCTGGCCGAGGAAAGTATATATTTTAAAGCTCCCCAAGTAACCTTAATGTGCAGTCGAGGCTGAGAACCGCCTTTTCTTAAGTGATGAGGATAATAGAGGGAATGCAGGGAAAGTCATCTGCAAACATTCTGACTTAAGACGATACTATCAGATCCCAGTGTTGTACACCAAGGACACTTTAGAAAGTTCTTCTACCTGTCTGAATAATTCCTGACAGTTTTTTAAAATATCTTTTTCTTTATGAATTGCCCTTCTCTAGTAGGCTTGATTTAGCTCAGTATTTTTAAAGCCAAAGGTTGAGTCAGAAGTTCTTTAACTTGTACGTGTCAGTTTCACCTGGGGAGTTGTGTCAGTAACTTGTGACAAATAGAGGTAACTTTCTGATTTTTATTCTTGGTGATACTCTTGATACTTTCAAAATAAGTAAGAGGGCAGAAATGTCATGATGACAAATGCCTCCAGAACAGTCAAAGGATTCTTCTGCTGTCACTTAATTCTTTACTCCAACTATTACTACATTATATCTGTATATTAACACATGGATTTCAGCCCTCAGTCTGTGAGATTTCATCTTTGACTGTGAAAGTATCAGCTTCAATTAATTCTTTGGGAAGTTTTTATCATCAACTGGGTGTTCTGTTTTTTAGGAAAAAAGTGCTATGGATTTTCTAGATTTCAGAAGGAATAATCAAATTCTTTCAAAAGCCTATTCTACAACAGACTGAGATACAACCAATAATATTATGTCCTTTTAAGAATTATTTTTGGTTCAATATAGTACATGTCAAATGTTACACAGAAGCTACAAGATTAATTAAAAGAAAAAAAGTAATTGAATATTTAGAAACAGAGTATTTTTATGGAAACATCACTCCTACCTCCCACCTGTCAATGTCAACATTTACAAATCAAACATGGAATAGGAAATAGTAGTTAAGAAGGAATCTCTGGAGTCCAACTGCACAGGGTCGTTTTCTGGCTTTGTAAGTACTGGCTTTGTAACCCTCAGTAAGATGCTGACTTCTCACGCCTTTGTTTTCTCACCTGTTAAATAGGGTAATAATAGGACCTATCTCATGGGGTCGTTTTAAACATAAAAAAGTATGTATATGAAAGAAGTATACATACACACACACACACACACACACACACACAAAGTGCTTAGTAGAGCATTTGTTAAAAAATAAGTATTCAACAATGACAGCTATTATTAGAATTATCACTAGATGCTTGTGTGTTCATTGGCTGTAACAATCATTTTGAAAACCAAGCTTAGTTGTATTTTGGTAAAATATACGATATATTTCATAGGGTAGAGGGTAGGCCACAGAGACCTTAGGGTCATCTCAACTTGCCACCCCAGTTCTACTTCCCCAAATATTCAAAGCCCAACAGGAAGTTGGTATGGGATTGCGAGGGGTTCCCAGGGTGCAGGCGGGAGAGCAATCGGTGGTCAGGAACTGATTGGTGGTCAGCAATCTATTGTCTCTTTGGGATGCTCTATTCAAGTCCATCTGTGCGTCTAGAACAGTTACAGGGTATTGAGATAGTCAGCTGTTATGCCTGACCACCGGCCTGAGTACCAAGATTCATGGCTGTGAATAGACTGGTCAGTGTGTCCAGCGTGTTCAGGCTTTCCGAGATTTTCTTTGCTGTTCAGTTGTTACTAATCCATTGCATCTCAGCTCCAAACTCAGGTGAGAACTGATCTGTGTGGGTCACTTTGTCTCTGGGTCTAAGCTAATTGGTCTGGCTGGGACCATGCACTAAAGGAAGAGGCCAGCCTCTCAGGGTGTTTTTCACACTCTTATATTCCTCCTGCAACATTTTATAGAATGGGAGGAATGCCTGTTCCTCAAGGTTGACCATGGGCAGAGAGTGTGGGCGTCAGGCTGGCTTTGCTTTATTAGGACTGAGCCTCCCATACTTTAGTAACTATCTTCAGCTTCACGCTTGTCTCCTAAGGAAATCAGTTTTGCTACACCTCAACCTCAGCTCCATCCCGTTATTCTCATAGGAAGGAGTCAGGAGGGGAACTCGCTCTACGGACCCTGGCTGGGTCTGGGCAGGAGTATGTCTCATACATAGTTTGGGAAATTGATTTTTCACTAGTGTGCTCAGGACCTAAAAAAAAGACAGAGGAAAGAAAAAGCAAAACACACTAGTTATCTAGTAGCCAGATCTGCTAAAGGGAAGGGTAAAACAGTTTTCCTTTTCACTGCCCCTGAAAGTACTAACTGCTGGTACCGGTGGCACTAATCTGGTAAAATGAAGATAGGCTCTTCCGTTCAAGAGCATGGTTGATACAGCTTTTATCTGATCTTTCTTTTTTTATTTTTATTTTTATTTTTTTATTTTTTATTATACTTTAAGTTTTAGGGTACATGTGCACAACCTGCAGGTTAGTTACATATGTATACATGTGCCATGTTGGTGTGCTGCACCCATTAACTAGTCATTTAACATTAGGTATATCTCCCAATGCTACCCCTCCGCCCTCCCCCACCCCACAACACGCCCATGTGTGTGATGTTCCCCTTCCTGTGTCCATGTGTTCTCATTGTTCCATTCCCACCTATGAGTGACAACATGCGGTGTTTGGTTTTTTGTCCTTGCGATAGTTTGCTGAGAATGGTGGTTTCCAGCTTCATCCATGTCCTTACAAAGAACATGAACTCATCACTTTTTATGGCTGCATAGTATTCCATGGTGTATATGTGCCACATTTTCTTAATCCAGTCTATCATTGTTCGACATTTGGCTTGGTTCCAAGTCTTTGCTATTGTGAATGGTGCTGCAGTAAACATACGTGTGCATGTGTCTTTATAGCAGCATGATTTATAATCCTTTGGGTATATACCCAGTAATGGGATGGCTGGGTCAAATGGTATTTCCAGTTCTAGATCCCTGAGGAATCGGCACATTGACTTCCACAATGGTTGAACTAGTTTACAGTCGCACCAACAATGTAAAAGTGTTGCTATTTCTCCACACCCTCTCCAGCACCTGTTGTTTCCTGACTTTTTAATGATCACCATTCTAACTGATGTGAGATAGTATCTCATTGTGGTTTTGATTTGCATTTCTCTGATGGCCAGTGATGATGAGCATTTTTTCATGTGTCATTTGGCTGCATAAATGTCTTCTTTAGAGAAGTGTCTGTTCATATCCTTTGCCCACTTTTTGATGGGGTTGTTTGTTTTTTTCTTGTAAATTTGTTTGAGTTCACTGTAGATTCTGAATATTAGCCCTTTGTCAGATGAGTAGATTGCAAAAATTTTCTCCCATTCTGTAGGTTGCCTGTTCACTCTGATGGTAGTTTCTTTTGCTGTGCAGAAGCTCTTTAGTTTAATGAGATCCCATTTGTCAATTTTGGCTTTTGTTGCCATTGCTTTTGGTGTTTTAGACATGAAGTCCTTGCCCATGCTTACGTCCTGAATGGTATTGCCTAGGTTTTCTTCTAGGGTTTTTATGGTTTTAGGTCTAACATTTAACTCTTTAATCCATCTTGAATGAATTTTTGTATAAGGTGTAAGGAAGGGATCCAGTTTCAGCTTTCTACATATGGCTAGCCAGTTTTCCCTGCACCATTTATTAAATAGGGATTCATTTCCCCATTTCTTGTTTTTGTCAGGTTTGTCAAAGATCAGATGGTTGTAGATATGCGGCATTATTTCTGAGGGCTCCGCTCTGTTCCATTGTGGTCTATATCTCTGTTTTGGTATGAGTACCATGCTGTTTTGGTTACTGTAGCCTTGTAGTATAGTTTGAAGTCAGGTAGCGTTATGCCTCCAGCTTTGTTCTTTTGGCTTAGGATTGACTTGGCAATGTGGGCTCTTTTTTGGTTCCATATGAACTTTAAAGTAGTTTTTTTCCAATTCTGTGAAGAAAGTCATTGGTAGCTTGATGGGGATGGCACTGAATCTATAAATTACCTTGGGCAGTATGGCCATTTTCATGATATTGATTCTTCCTACCCATGAGCATGGAACGTTCTTCCATTTGTTTGTATCCTCTTTTATTTCATTGAGCAGTGATTTGTAGTTCTCCTTGAAGAGGTCCTTCACATCCCTTGTAAGTTGGATTCCTAGGTGTTTTATTCTCTTTGAAGCAATTGTGAATGGGAGTTCACTCATGATTTGGCTCTCTGTTTGTCTGTTATTGGTGTATAAGAATGCTTGTGATTTTTGCACACTGATTTTGTATCCTGAGACTTTGCTGAAGTTGCCTATCAGCTTAAGGAGATTTTGGGCTGAGATGATGGGGTTTTCTAGATATACAATCACGCCATCTGCAAACAGGGACAATTTGACTTCTTTTCCTAATTGAATATCCTTTATCTCCTTCTCCTGCCTGATTGCCCTGGCTAGAACTTCCAACATTATGTTGAATAGGAGTGGTGAGAGAGGGCATCCCTGTCTTGTGCCAGTTTTCAAAGGGAATGCTTCCAGTTTTTGCCCATTCAGTATGATATTGGCTGTGGGTTTGTCATAGATAGCTCTTATTATTTTGAGATACATCCCATCAATACCTAATTTATTTTGAGTTTTTAGCATGAAGGGTTGTTCCTGAATGACTACTGCGTACATAACTAAATGAAGGCAGAAATAAAGATGTTCTTTGAAACCAACGAGAACAAAGACACAACATACCAGAATCTCTGGGACACATTCAAAGCAGTGTTTAGAGGGAAATTTGTAGCACTAAATGCCCACAAGAGAAAGTAGGAAAGATCTAAAATTGACACCCCAACATCACAATTAAAAGAACTAGAGAAGCAATAGCAAACACATTCAAAAGCTAGCAGAAGGCAAAAAATAACTAAGATCAGAGCAAAACTGAAGGAAATAGAGACACAAAAAACCCTTCAAAAAATCAATGAATCCAGGAGCTGATTTTTTGAAAAGATCAACAAAATTGATAGACCACTAGCAAGACTAATAAAGAAGAAAAGAGAGAAGAATCAAATAGATGCAATAAAGAATGATAAAGGGGATATCACCACCCATCCCACAGAAATACAAACTACCATCAGAGAATACTACAAACACCTCTATGCAAATAAACTAGAAAATCTAGAAGAAATGGATAAATTCCTCGACACATACACCCTCCCAAGACTAAACCAGGAAGAAGCTGAATCTCTGAATAGACCAATAACAGGCTCTGAAATTGAGGCAATAATTAATAGCTTACCATCCAAAAGAAGTCCAGAACCAGATGGATTCACAGCTGAATTCTACTAGAGGTACAAGGAGGAGCTGGTACCATTCCTTCTGAAACTATTTCAATCAATAGAAAAAGAGGGAATCCTCCCTAACTCATTTTATGAGGCCAGCATCATCCTGATACCAAAGCCTTGCAGAGACACAACAAAAAAAGAGAATTTTAGATCAATATCCCTGATGAACATTGATGTAAAAATCCTCAATAAAATACTGGCAAACCGAATCCAGCAGCACATCAAAAAGCTTATCCACCGTGATCAAGTGGGCTTCATCCCTGGGATGCAAGGCTGGTTCAACACACACAAATTAATAAATGTAATCCAGCATATAAACAGAACCAATGATAAAAACCACACGATTATCTCAATAGATGCAGAAAAGGCCTTTATTTACTCTTTCTATTTGTTTTCCTAATTCTGACAATCTATTGTTTAAGGAAATAGTTCTTATAGAGAAGTACAGTATCATACTATTGTTTTCTTATACAAATTAGGGGGGGTCACAGAAAGTCCCAAGTCTTCCAGGAGGTGAGGAGAAAACTAGGGAGAAACAAAAGAGAGTGTTTTCTGTTCACAAAGATATAAGCTGAATGAATCAGATAATGCCTGGAGATAGAGTGTAGGAAGAAATATTTCACTGCAAAGAGGGTGAGGGGCAGCAAAGAAGTCTGTGATTTCACATTATGGAAAGGGAAACTCCCTAGATGACTGAACAGATTTAATTAGTGAAAACTCTTCACACATCTTATCTTAAAAATGATTGAGTAGTATTTTAACAATCACTTTAAAATATTCAGTATTCATTAGCCTTGAAGTTTCTAATTCCTCCGCTATACTCCTATAGCACTTTGCTGTACTTCAGAAATTAGCACATTTTAGAGTATAATTATCATTTAATATTCACCTCTGTGTCCCTTTCTCCTTTTGCTCCACTACATTCATTCACATATTCATGTGTGCATACATGCACATATTCATGTGTACATACATGCGAGACAGTGTTAAGCCAGAAATTATGAAGGGCGACTGGGCAACATGGCAAAACCACGTCTCTACAAAATTACAAAAATTAGCCAGGTGTGGTGAGATGCACCTGTAGTCCCAGCTATTGAAGATGGAGGTGCTGAGGTAGGAGGATTGCTTGAGCATGGGAGGTCGACACTGCAGTCAGCCGTGGTTGCACTACTGCACTCCAGCCAGGGTAATAGAGCAAAATCTTGTCTCAGAATAAAAAAGAAAAGAAATTATGAAGGGTCTCCACAAGGAGGAAGATGATTGTACATCTCTCTAGTAGGATACTCTATCTTTAGACTCAAAGGCTGTTTGCTATTGAAAAACTTCGTTTAGTCAAAAGGCCTGGACTGTGTAGGAGGAACACAAGAAATCTATGAAGAAATTTCCCACAACAATCATGATCCATGAGTTGTCTGGCATATGACAAATTAAATTAATCTTTGAGTGAATGAACACCCTGTTAAGGAAGTCACATTTCAGAGGGAATTAGAAAAAAATGTACACAAAGGTCATAAAACTATTCTACTCAAATTATGCATAGAACACTATAGGAATGTAGATGAGGAAGTAATTAAATCTACTGGGAATAGTCTAAATACAGATAGTGTTGGAGAAAGAGCCACTTATTTAGACTGACCTGTAAAAAGTGATTAGATATGCAACCAGAAATATGGAGAAAAAAATGCAGAGGATGAAGATTCAGGGGAGATGGAGTATAATTAAAATAGCAATGTTTCTCAGAAACTTTATCTTAATACATATCACAAAGCATTTCCACATTGCATATATCATTATTTATTTCTAGCCCATAAGCCTAGATGTATAGGCACACCTTGGAGATACGGCAGGTTCTGTTCCAGACCACATCAATAAAGCAAATATCACAATAAAATGAGTCACACAAACTTTTTAGTTTCTCAGGGCATATAAAAGTTATATTTCCACTATACTGTGGTCTGTTAAGTGTGCAATAGCATTATGTTTAAAAACATATACCTTAATTTTAAAATATTTTATTGCTAAGAAATGCTGATGATCATCTCAGCCTTCAGAGAGTTGTAATCTATTTGCTTGTATAGGGTCTTGCCTCAATGTTGATGGCCGCTGACTGATCAGTGTAGTGGTTGCTGAAGTTTGGGGTGGCTGTGGCAATTTTTAAAAATAAGGCAACAATGAAGTTTGTCACATCAATTGAATCTTCCTTTTACAAAAGATTTTTCTGTAGCATTCAATGTTGTTTGATAGCATTTTACCCACAGAACTTTCAAAATCGGGTCAAAAACTTGCAAACTCTGCTGCTGTTTGATCAACTAAGTTTAGGTAATATTCTAAACCCTTTGTGATGATTTCAACAATGTTAACAGCATCTTCTCCAGGAGTAGATTCTGCCTCAAGAAACCACTTTCTTTGCTCATCCATAAGAAGTAACTCCTCATCTATTCAAGTTTTATCGTGAGATTTCAGCAATTCAGTCACATCTTCAGGCTCCACTTCCAATTCTAGTTCTTATTTTATTTTCACCACATCTGCAGTTACTTCCTCTACAAAAGCCTTAAACCCCTCAAAGTTATCTATGAGAGTTGTTGATATTTTGATCTCTTCCCATAAATCATGAATATTCTTAATGGCATCTAGAATGGTGAATTCTTTCCAGAAGGTTTTCAATTTACTTTGCCCATATTCATCAGAAGAATCATTATCCATGGTAGCAATAGCCTTATAAAATGTATTTTTTTTAAATAGTAAGACTTGAAAGTCAAATTTTACTCCTTGATTAATGGTCTACCAAATGGATGTTGTGTTAGTAGTCATGAAAATGACATAAATATCCTTGTACATCTCCATCAAAGCTCTTGGGTGAACAGGTGCATTGTCAATGAGCAGTAATATTTTGAAAAGAATATTTTTTTCTGAGAAGTAGGTGTCAGTAGTGGGTTTAAAATATTCAATAAACCATGCTCTAACATATGTGCTATTATCCAAGCTTTGTTATTCCATTTATTAGAGCACAGCAAAGTAGATTTAGCATGATTCTTAAAGGTCTTAAGATTTTTGGAATGGTAAATGAGTATTAGCTTCAACTTAAAGTCGTCAGCCACATTTACTCCTAAAAAGAGATTCAACCTACTGTTGACTTCTTCTCTCTATCTAAGAAAGTCCTAGCTGGCAACTTCTTCCAATAGAAGGCTGTTTTGTTTACATTGAAAAATCTGTTGTTTTTTTAGCCACGTTCATTAATTTTCTTAGCTAGATCTTCTGAATAACTTGCTGTAGATTCTACATCAGCACTTGATATTTCACCTTGCACTTTTATGATACTGGAATAGCACTTTAAGTTTCCTTCATGAGCTTTTTCTTTGTATTCACAACTTGGCTAACTGTTTGGCACAAGAGGCCTAGCTTTCAAATTGCCAGGGCTTTGGACATGCTTTCCTCACTAAGCTTAATCATTGATAGCCTGATTTAAGGTCAGATATGTATGAATATTCCTTTCAAATGAAAACTTAGAGGCTATTGTAGGGTTTTTAATTGACCTAATTTCAATATTGCCATGTTTCAGGAAATAGGGAGGCCTGAGGAGAGGGAGAAAAATGGAAAAATGGCCGGTCAGTGGAGCAGTCAGAACACACACAACACATTGGTTAAGTTCCCTGTCTTACATGGATATGGTTCATGGTGCCCCAAAACAATCACAGTGGCATCATCAAAGACCACCAATCACAGATTACCTAATGAACATAATCATAATGAAAACATTTTAAATATGAAAATTAGCAAAATGTGACACAGAGACACAAAGTGACCCCATGCTGTTGGAAAAATGGCACAAGTAGACTTGTTCTATGCAGGGTTACCACTAACCTTCAGTTTGTCAAAAGTGCAATATTTGTGAAGCACAGTAAAGTGAGGTACAATAAAATGAGGCATGTCTGTATTATCTTCATTATATAGAGACCACCATGACACTTAACTTCTGAGTGTCATAAAAGCTCTAGATTTTCAGGGATTTTACAAGTCCCTTAGTTAATTCACCTAGTGATGCCTGAGTCACCTTCATAACATTCTTAACAATTATCCATCCTAGGACAGGAGCTGCATGATGCAGCTCACTCCATCTTTGGGTAGCAATGACCACTGAACATGTGCCCTTAGTCTAAACCTACTTTCTCCACCCTTGATTCTAATTATTGAAGCCATGCAAAAGTATGTGTAGGCTTCACTGTACACTATAAACTACCAGATCTTGGTATTTCCTCTCTAGTCTGTCTTTCTTTTAAAGACTAAACACCTCTGCTCTGTGTCCCTGATATTCTTCATGTGACATAATTTTTAATCCTCTGTATTCCAAGTAATTCTTCTGTAAACACATCTTTTTTTTTTTTAAAAAAAAAAAAAAGGCAGGTCTACTGTGGCCGACATCTAGTCTGGGCAGTTGGTATGGTTTGCCTGTGTCCCCACGGAAATCTCATCTTGAATTGTAGCAATCATAATTCCCACATGTTGTGGGATGGACCTGGTGAGAGATAATTGAATCGTGGCGGTGGTTTCCCCATACTGTTCTCATGGTACTGAGTAAGTCTCATGAGATCCGATGGTTTTATAAGAGGAATCTCCTTTCACTTGGTTCTCATTCTCTCTTGCCTGCTGCCATGTAAGATGTGACCTTCACCTTCCACCATGATCATGAGACCTCCCCAACCACATGGAACTGTGAGTCCATTAAACCTCTTTTTCTTTATAAATTACCCAGTCTTGGGTATGTCTTTATCAGCAGCATGTAAATGGACTAATACAGCAGTACCAGGGTGACTTTTATTACATTAGCAAATCAACATATGGGCTTTGATTGTACTTGAAATCAAATCACATTGCTATGACAAATGTTAGCAGATAGCCTAAGGATTATTGTTGCACGCCAGTATAAAATCTCAGAGGCTATAACAATCAATAAAGCTCAAAGGAAGACAAAGAATCACAAAGATGTTTCTGTTCTTAATTACAAAAGAATTGTTATAATTATACTATTTGATGAAACAGGTAAGCCATTCTCAAAAAATATATAATCAAGTAAATTATTCATATACGGATATATGTCAAGTATTTGTGTTATAAGCTTAAAGCAGGCTCTTATTTCCCTTTTTATTTAACCAACTTTTTTTTGTTATGGCAAGGACACTTAACATGAGATCTATCCTCTTAGCAGATGTAGAAGTACAGTATTATTAATTATAGATAAAATGGTATACGGCAGATTTCCAGGACTGATTCATCTTGCATAACTGTACATTGTTACCTACTGATTACCAACTCACCTTTCCTCCTCCTTCTCCCAGCTGCCCCTGGCAACCACCATTTGACTCTCTGTTTCTATAAGTTTGACTATTTTAGATTCCTCATATAAGTGGAATCAGGCAGTATTTGTCTCTCTTTGCCTGACATTTCATTTAGCATTATGTCCTTCAAGTTTATCCATGTGTATTGTATGGCAAAATGTCCTATTTTTTAAAAGTTGAATAATATTCCATTGTGTATATATACCACATCATTTTGCATTATCGCCAACAGTGTACAAGGGTTCCAATTTCTCCACATACTCAGCAACACTATTTTTTTCTATTTTTTAAAACAATAGCTATCCTAAAGGTGTGAGATGATATATCATTGTGGTTTGAATTTGCATTTCCCTGATTAGTGACATTGAGCATCTTTTTACACACCTTATGGCTATTTATATGTCTCCTTGGAGAAAGGTCTATTCAAGTCTTTAGCCCACTTTAGTCAGATTACTAGTTATTTAGTTAGTTTTGCTGCTGATTCATAGGCTAGCTAAGTTGGTAGAGCATGAGAGTCTATGTATAACATTTTAATCCAAGCATATACACATATCCATGCTGTATCGCTGCATGACCTTCACACATTGCAAAAGCTCACTTGGTCATCGCCATTGCTTTTGTGTATTCAAACTCTTTACAGTATTTGTGAATAGTCAAAGATATTGCTTATTTAAAATGAAGAGAGTATTCAATGTATATCCAGGGCAAGTCAATGTTTTTTCTAGTTAATACATGGGTTATTGAAGTAACTACTGATACCAGTAAATTAGTATGAGACAATGCTAAATTCTGCTGTAGAATCGGGACTCATTCATTCAAAAATGATTTATTCAGCATCTACTCTGTGCCATGAAATGTTCTTGTCCTAGGTAGACTCTGGTCTTGATGCTTTGCTCCATTTATTTCTAGCCTCATAGATGGCTGATCGGACATTCCCGTAGACTGGTCATTTTACAAAGTTATGAGAGTGTCCATGGTTATGCTCAGTCAATAGTATATGTAATATTTCATCAATTCAAAGAATATCACTGTACCTCACATTTTAATATCTATTAATTCAGAGTGTGTCTGAAATTTGCTGCTTTTTGACAACCAGACAACAGTCTAATGGAACACCTTTTTAAAAGTGCTGTCTTCTATGTTCTTGGTAGCACAGAGGATGATTCTCTGTGGAAAAACATGTCATTATCGACTCAGTTGAACAGGTACTCAAAGATTGAAAATTTGAAATGTAAAAAAGTTTTGGAGTTAATCAGAGTACTATGTTTTCTTTATCTGTATTCACAAGAGCAGTATACAATTACATTTCTTTTAAATAAGTTTTTTCTTACAGTGTAATGTAAAGATTGCAAATTTGAAATGTGAAAAAGTTTTGGAATTATCTTAATCAGAGTACTATGTTTTCTTTTTATTTATTCACATGAGCAGTCTATGATTACATTTGTTTTAAATAAGTTTCTTCTTACAGTATAATGTAAAGATTCTAAGTGATAAGAGCAGTGTATTGATTTAGTTGGCAGTATTTCTTCTATCTTAGCAGTAGATAAAATATTTTATAACAAATACCATTTTAAAGTCAATGAAGTCAAGTATGTAATGCAAAATAATATTGTAAACATAAAATTGTTACTTAAAACACAAACACTAAAGCCAGGAGTCAAGTTTGCAAAAGACAAATATAGTGACTATATAAAGCAGTCTCTCTGAGATTTTAAGGTGAGGTCTTTTGGGATTAAGAGGTTTAGTAAACAACCATGGCTTTACCAATCTGGGAGGGCCTCACTAGATACAGGTGGACTGCCACTGACACCACCAAAATATGCATACCTGGAGAGAATCTGGGTGACTCGGGAAGCTGTTTTCACTTAAAAACCCTTAGCCAGATATCTCCTGGTATGTCTTCCTGAAAATATTCTATATTTAGAGAAGCATTCACATATGCAACAGGACAAAGCATTGTAATGAGATCATCACAGAAAAAAAATTTTTTCCAGTTCCTCCTCCTAGAAAGGCCGGAAGAATCTTGAGATGTGAGAATAAAATACAAAAGCCTATATTTGCCTATAAAAGTCAAGCTTGCCAGCTTGCCATATTCTGAATGCAGTCAATGTGTCTTCTCCTTGGCAAGCATCCTTAGCTCTATAGGGGCTTACCAGGAAATGAGTCTCTTCAGGCCTCCATAGAGGAGGGAAAGACATGGTTCCAGACTGACATTTTAGCTGGGTGCCTATGTGGCATGATTGTATGGCTATTGTTAGCTAGAAAAGGTTCAATTTTACTGCCCAATCCATACTCTACAATCAACCTTTACAAACTGCATGTAATTCGCCAAACACTCCATGCTTTTCTACTTTATGGCTTTCAACATAGTTTCTTTTTTGCCTTTTCCCATCACGTTTTGCTCCTGGTAAATTCCAGTGTGCATTTCCATATTCATTTTGAATTTTGTCAAATGTGACAACCTCAAAGAGCCTGCCTTGACTCACTCTCTCAACAGCTTTGATTTTCCCCATTTTATACTCTCCGGTACTTTCACATTTATATCCTTATATGTATTACAGTATATTATAATGATTGGCTTACTTCTCTGTCTCCTCATTAGATGGTGAGGTCCTGAGAGTAGAAACTACCAACTGAACCTATGCCTATCATAGAATATGACCACATAAATATTTACTGAATTCTACTTTCTGGTAGAAGTTTATAGGATAGACTTCCAAATTTAGAAAAACCATAAAAATTCATTAAATAATTTGTTTTCTTTTTTCATTATAATATTTACCATTAAGACCTTACTTTCCAAAATCAGATTTTATTTTTAATTCCTCACTTCCTTTTTCCTAATAACTCAGTGCTCCTGCCATAGTGTTCAGCCTGAATAGGACTATCCTGAGACATACTAGGCTAGATTATTCACACAAGAGCTCAAAAGTGTTCCATTTCATGTGGTAAGCAAAATTCTCTTTGACATTCACAGTAGTCATTTAGCACAAACCAAAGCTCTTTCATCAGCATATATTGTACTGATTTTCAAATTATAAGGATGGTTTTTGAACACACCAGCTGAGAAGGGATTTAGTTTTGTGTATGCGTTTAGCCATTTCTCCTTATCCTCATATCCCTGTGTATGTGAGTGTTTTCCCCTATTTCATATTTACTTTCCAATTCCCTATTTTTTTCATAATTTTATGAGGAAATATTCACAGGCTCATCACTGCAGTCCAGAAGGACACATAGTAATTATTATGATCAACCTACTTAAAAAAACAGATAAAAGATGAGAAATTGCCTTTGAAAAGAAAGAAAAAAGAGGAGTTATTGATGGATGTTTTAATGCCTCATTCTATTTTCAGCTACTCTGTTCATATTACCACCATCTGAACATGAATTACGTAAAGGAAAGAAAGGTATTTGTTCTTTTCTTATCTCTTTAAACTGAAGCTGAATATTTTAGATTGGACAATTGGTCCTATGTTTATCCCATTTGCCTTTTGAAGTACTATTATACTGTACTTTATTCAGAACTGCAGATGCACATACCACACTTGGGGACAAATGAGATGACTTATTTTTGTATTGTATTTTTAATGAAGCCTTTGGAAAAGGCTTCAGAAAGAAGTTTTGAAAAGTTACCAGTGAGCACAGTAATGAGATGCTGCCTTTCAGTTCAGCATTGAACTGGGACAGAGCCAACTAATAAGCAGTTGTTCCATGGAGCAGGATTTTAAAAGCAATCCTCAAGGAATACTCACAAGGATTTTAAAGTCAACTGCACATTTTTTTTCAATATGATTTTTAAAAAAAATTCTTTTAATTGCCTCTGTTTTTTCTTAGGCACATTGTATCATTGTGGTATTTCAATAAATTATTAGAAGGCTTTTTTCTAAGATTAGTTTTAGAAGACTTTAATTAACATACTCCCTGTTTGAGAAATGCTTGGCTTTCTTCAGAGTAGACCTCTTAAGCTATGTCTAGACAAGTAAACAGTTTCATTTAGTGGATATTATGGTCTTTCATACCATTTGACCATTTTTTTAGGTCAAAAACAGTTGAATATTGGCAATTTCATATGGTTCAACCTTCAGTGTGTGCATGAGGAGGTGCGTGTTTTATTTTTATTGTAAGCTTTAACTCAATATTGATTAAAATACCAAATACCTAAATAATTATATCAAAGAACATCTATCAACAAAAAAGTGGTTCTTCATATTAAAACATATTGAACAAAACCTATATTAGAAATTAAATAAAAACTACAGCACGTATGGTTCTCTGCATGTGTTTAGCTATATTATATGTAATGATGTATCCTAATTGATTGTACCAATGCAAACCAAAGAACGTTCATAAAATAAATCTGCAGATGAACCTGAGAAACTTAGCCAGAAGAGGTACAAATGTTACTACAAATATACTGACAAAAAGCTTTGGTAATACTGTTTCATTTCTAATTAAAAAGCAAATTGTATATGCATACCTACAATAGCATATTCTATCTTAGAGCTTTGAATTCTTTTTGCTGCGTAGTTATACAAAGATTACTATATGTTACAATTTTTATGTATAGTTGCAATTGTATACCACAGTTTTAATAATGCCATTTGGTGAATTTCCTTTCCTCAACCCTCAAATACTAGGAATACAAAAATCCTGGAAGGTGGGCTGGGGCAGAAAAATAAGACAACAAAGGAGGTAGCTAATCTACAGACTGAATGAATAGATACTGAAGAGTCAAAGGTTGATTTTAAAAAGTATGAGAAGCCATTATCCTCAGCAAACTAACACAGGAACAGAAAACCAAACAACACATGTTCTCATTTATAAAGGGGAGTTGAACAATGAGAACACATGGACACAGGGAGGGGAACAACACACACTGGGGCCTGTCGAGGGCAGGGTGGAGGGAGGGAGAACATCAGGATAAATAGCTAATGCATGTGGGGCCTAATGCCTAGGTGATGGGTTGATAGGTGCAGCAAATCACCATGGCACACATTTACCTGTATAACAAACCTGCATGTCCTGCAAATGTATCCTGGAACTTAAAATTAAATTAAATTAAAAAAAAAGAAAAAAGAGAATACTAGTAGGGTTAGTAATAATGAAACAAGTTTGTGATTAGTGCTAGTAGTATTAGTGTTAATTAATAGTGATACTTCTAAAGGATGTTAAATATTAGTTATATTATACTGAAGAAGTATAGTTATCTTATACTTCTAAAGGATGTTAATTCTTCCCAGACCACCCTGAAGACATGTAAGCCCAGACTCTGAGAAAATAAAAACCACTGATTTTCATGGGTTAATAAATGATGATGATAGTCAATGAAACCTTGCTTACTTGAAATTCTTTTGCCCAGTGAAAGGTTAAAGCATATATAAGGATATTACCTAAAAGCTCTACGAATCATTCCCTAATTTTAAGATAAATTTCACCTCAGAAAGCATTTCTAAAAATGGTGAATTTATGAAGACTTTCTCCTCCACTTCTGTTGTGAAGAGCGATGACTTGTAAAGCATCTTTGCTTACTGAGAGGCTAGAGACATTCATCTCATGTACTCGCTTCTGATCTTATTGAAGTGGAAAATCAAAGCCTCACATTTTTTTGTCAGAGGTTGCTGAAAATGATTACTTACTAACATATTTTCACCAACATGAAATATTAGTAGCCAAAAAGGATGCCTAAGCCACCCTTATGAACCAAAGTTCATATATATATATATATATATATATTTGAGATTTTTAAACCCCTGTTTACTGAAAAGGTGTAAATTTTTAGGATGCTTCCATTGATCCATTCATTGTTCAAAAATTTGTGTCAAAGTCCTATTATGTATCCAGACCTTATGGATACTAGGAACTATCTTTTCAGACCCTGGTCCTCACTTAAATGCCTCATACAGAATTGCTCAAAAAGAATCTTGTATCATATGAAAAGAGGTGACAATCTGGTGTGCACCATTTGGTGTAAATCCAGATGGTTCCCGGGGTTTCTTCTTTTATCTATGATCAAGGTAAGGTTAACTTCAAACCTCACTGCACAAACTAAAATATCCAATGCCATTCCTTTTTCTGAAAACCTCTAGAGTCTTAAATTTTAGTTATAAAACATAAATAAGTTCTAGAAGTCAGCTCTAAAATATAGCATCTATAGATAACAATATCTTATTGTTCACTTAAAAATTTAATAGGATAGATATTAAGTGTTCTTACCACCACCAAAGAGAGAGACAGAGGGAGAGAGACATCGAGAGAGACAGGAGACTTTTGGAGGTGATGTATATGTCTATTACATTGATTTTGGTGTTTATACTAATTGAGGAGAAAATGGGGCATTATTCAATTAGTATAAAGATAACTTTTATATAAATTTAAGAGGTACAAGTGCAGTTTTGTTATATAGATATATTGCGTAGTGGTGAAGTCTGGGCTTCCAGTGCAACCATCACCCAAATAATGTACATTGTACCCATTAAGTAATTTATTCTCCCTCACCCCCCTCCCATCCTCCCACTCTTCCAGGTCTCCAATGTCTATTATTCCACACTCTATTTTCATGTGTTCACATTATTTAACTCCCACTTATGAGTGAGAACATGTGGTATTTGACTTTCTGTTTCTGAGTTATTTTACTTAATATAATGGCTTCCAGTTCTAACTTTGTTGCAGCAAAATACATGATTTCATTCTTTATTAGGGCTGAATAGTATTTAAGTGTATATATATTAGTGTACATTTTATATATATGAAAATGTGGTGTATATATATATATGTGTATATATACCAATGAATGATTGGATAAAGAAAATGTGGTATGTATCTAAATATAGGTTGATTCCATATCTTTGCTATTATGAATAGTGCTGTGATTCACATACAAGTGCAGGTATCTTTTTGCAGTAATGTTTTCTTTTCCTTTGGGTAGATACCCAGTAGGGGGATTGCTGGATTTCCCCAAGGGAAAATTCATTGCTTTCTTTATAAACTTAAATATTATTTGTTAAAATAACAACAACAATGAGGGCTGGGTGCTTTGGCTCATTCCTGTAATCCCAGAACTTTGGGAAGCCGAGTCATGAGGATTGCTTGAGTTTAGGAGTTCAAGATTAACCTGGGCAACATAGTGAGAACTTATTTCTACTAACAAAACAAAATCAAGAAAATTAGCCAGGCATGATCGTGTGCACTTGAAGTCCCAGCTACTCGGGAGGCTTAGGTGGGAGAATTACTTGAGCCTGGGAGATCTAGGCTCCAGTGAGCTATGATAACTCCACTGCATTCCAGCCTGGGTGACAGAGTGAGACTTTGTCTCAAAAAAACAGCAACAAAAAATAACAACAATAAAACAGTGCATATGAATTTAATATCCAGTTAATATTCCTAACCTTCTCTATAGAACATCTTATTAATATGAATTTATTATATATTAGAAATTATAAACTTATATAATACAAATTACATTCCTGAAAAGTCACAGGAGAAAGCTATATCAAGTGGGTGTATATATATGGTCAGTGAAGACGTGTGGTACTTAGAAGGTAGAACACTATTCTTATCACAGACATTTTCATTTAAGCCCACATTTATTGTTAGGGTTGACTTGACTATAAGGAACTAAGATACTTAATGAATTATTAGAAATATCTGAAGGAATTTCAAAATCAAATACGATTGTTTTAAGGTTTCAAGTCAGGGCTCATTCAAATATATAAAGCACTCATCAGCAGGAACCGTTTCCTTTCATCCTCCCTCCTTCCCTCCCTCCCTCTCTCCCTCCCTTCCTTCCTTCCTTCTGTTCTTCTTTCCTCCCTCCCTCTGTTCCTCCCTTTCTTCCTTTCTCCCTTCCTTCAATGTAAGATTAATTCTTGTGTTTTTTTGGCATAAATGAGGTATTCAAATAATAAAATTATTACTCAGTAGTTCAGGCTCCCGATCTGATTTATTGGAGAAAAATGATCTGGGTGTTAGAATTATAAGTGTTGAATTTTCTCTTTTTTTAATGACTCACAAAAATAGTCTGAGTTAGTGCGAAAGAGGAGAGGTTAATAGTTTCTTTATTATGAGCTGAACAAATAAGAATAATCAAATTCATAGAAGACTCACATTCAGGATTCGAGGGCTTATGCATCTCTACGGCCCTAAATGAAAAGAAGATGGATCCCAAAATTTGGAGGGGAAATTGTCTCTTTCAGTTTCTTGGACCAACGTGAAAGAGGACTGTCCGCCTGCAAATTTTAGTATCCACTTTTCACTTGCTGTAAGTAGGGAATTTTCCCATGCTTTTTCTTCCTCCTTTTATATTCTTGTCAGGTACATTTTAAAAGAGAAATTAATTAGTCTCCAGTTAGAAAACATCTAAACATAGGCAGAATAATATATTTGCATACCATTCAGAAAGTCTCTTAAACTTTTCTTGCCAAAAGCAAGAGTTAAGAAACAGTAGCAAGAGTTAAGAAACAGTTGCAAGAGTTAAGAAAAATTTTCAAGTTTGTAATTCATGCTTTCAACAGACATTTATTGGTTATCTAATATATTCAAAATGCTAATCTAGGTGCTGCAGGAGTTTCAAAAAACAAACAAACATAAGACAGGATCTCTAACTTCAAAAGGCCTAGGGTTAGTATGGGAAATAAAGGTAAAGTAAATGCCATGAGATATTTCAAAAATTGATAAATGAAACAGTATACCTGATGAAAAGAAAGAAATAGTATATCTTGGAAAACAAATCACAGAGGGCTCTATGGAGGAGGTAACATCTGAGCTCATCGTTGATGGGTAGAATTTGGAACTCTGAGATAGAGGAAAGATTATCTCAAGGAGAGAAAATTAAGAGACTTCTGTTGGGAAGATTTCTTGACTCAGCAGAAATGAGTGCCTCATTGACTAATGATAACGGCCATGGGATAGAAGAGGCATGCTGGCACACATTAATTGCTAAATCTGAAAGATAAATAAACTCTTACAGAAACTAGATTAAAGAGAAGTTATTGGAGATAAAGATGGGCTAAGCAGCAAATCCTTTCTCTCTGATTTTTCTTCTGCCTGATCCAGTTTGGCAATTAGATCAAAAATCGTTTTGATGATAATGTCCACAGATACATATTAATACATTCAACCAATGGATAATAACATATCTCTACAGCCTCAGCTCCCACCACCACTGCTGGTCATATCAAAACCCGAGTTAGACAAAATCATTTCTTTTTGGGAACATATGTTTCACCATGTATTGACTTATTCACATGCTATCTGTATCAGTTAGTTATTGTTACATCACAGAGCAACCAAAAACTCTATAGCTTAAAATGACAATCATGTGCTATTATAACTTACTTATCTATGCATTGGCTGGGGATCTGTAATCTAAACTGGACTCTGCTGATCTCAATTTGGTTCCGTCATGCATTTGCAGGCAGGCTGGGGTCTGCCCTAGACAGAGTGTGGCTGGTGACTTTTAGCTGTGGCAACTCTGCTCCATGTGTCTCTTGTTTTCCTTTTGGCACCAGTGGTCTATTCTGGGTATATCCTTCTCTCTGTGATGGCAGTGACTCATATGACAAGAAAACACTAAAGCCACTTAAACACTAAACCCTAAACCTAATGCCCGAATCACCAAGTCACATGAAAATAGATGCTAGTGCAAAGAGAACTGAAGATCTGAAACTTTAAAGCAATTTACTTCACTGTTCCTATATCAGTAATAGCCATATAACAGTGTCAGGTAACTGATCAGTGATTTTCTTCCCTGCTGTCATGTCACTAATATTTCTATCTTAAAGAGGCCACAGAAGCCATGCAGTTTCTATCAGCAATAGAGAATAAATTAGGCCTCAAAAATAAAGGTAGAATGGGATTTTGTAAACAGGGAGTGGGAAACCTCTCAAGTGTTTCACTCCGTACATATTCAAGGCAAACCTCGTTATCATCCTTTACCCTTTGTCTCATTTCTACTGTATTTTCTCTCCAAACCAAATTTCTAACTTCATATATATTTCTCGTCTAACTCCCCAATTATGATATCACTTCCCTTTTCTCCAATCAACTTAGAGTTACTGGCTATGTTCTTTATCAGCTACTAACACTGGTCGAAGGGATTTACCCTATACCTCCACAACCTTTTCATCCCAAATGTCTCCCAATCATCAGAAGTATGATCACAGCTAGACTTTGTCAACACTTAGAACAGCTCAACTGAAACCTCACATTTTAAAAGGTTTCTTGCTGACTACAAGCTCTGGGCTTTTCAGTTCTCTTGGTCTTTCATGTTTTTAAATCTCATCTTGATATTTCAAGATGATCTTTTGATGTCTTCCTTTTTATGCCATCCTCCATGCCTCTATCATGTCACTGTCATTGGTCGTAACCAATTTGGCTTTATTATAGGAAAGCAACGTTTGTATGTTTGTTTCACATTAGACTATCAATTATTGTGATTCACCATATTAGGAGATTAAAGAGGAAATTTAGAATAATATTAATAAAACAAAAAGCCTTTGACTAAATTCAACATCATTCATTAAATGAAAAAAATTGAAACTAGTATTTAAAGGGAATCTTAATTATTATGATAAAATATTCCCTTTTCGTGTTTGAAAATAAAAAATCACTGTTTGCTTCCAGGAGGTTGCAGTTTCTGATAACAGGAGCTGAGTGCTCATAATTAATGGAACCTGGGGGCTCGGAGCTGATTGCAGATGTGCAGCATGGAAGTAGCTAAATGTATGACCTGTTCCCGCCACTCTCACTTGCATGGAGGAGCAAGAGCAGTTAACCCAAGGCTTGAAATAGTGTTTCTCAAACCTTGGCATACATTGGAATTGCCTGTTGGGGATGTCAAAAATCTCTTTCTTTCTCTCTCTCTGAATGCCTGATTTAGCAGATCTGAAGTGAGGCCTGAGGATTTTCATTTTTAGCAAGTTCCCAAGAGATATTGATGCTGCTGACTGGGGGACCCAACTTTTAGTACCACTGGCATGGAGTGTGATGTTTGGGCTGAAGAGGCCAGGCAATGGCCATTGTATTAGTCTGTTCTCACATTGCTATAAAACACTATCTGAGAATGGGTAATTTATTAAGAAAAGAGGTTTAATTCTCTCATAGTTCCACAGGCTGTACAGGAAGCATGGCTGCGGATGCCTTAGGAAATTTACAATAATGACAGAAGGCAAAGGGAAAGCAGGCACATCCCACATATCTGGAGCAGGAGGAAGACAGAGGAAAGGAGGAAGGGCTACACACTTGTAAACAACCAGATCTTGTGGAAACTCACTCACTATCATGGGAACAGCAAGGAGGAAGTCTGCCCCCATGATTCAATCACCTCCCACTGGGCCCCTCCTCCAACAATGGGGATCGCTATTGAACATGAGATTTGGGTGGGGGTGCAGGGCCAAACCATATCATCCATGGTAACTTTTGCATAGGCTACTACACCAAAGCTGCTGGGAAGACTAGCAAGCAGCTTTGGTGTAGTGGCCTGTAATTTAGTGCTTTAAAATTTTAGTCTCTGTGACACTTTCGGTTCACTCCTGTTTCCGTTAGCTCAGATTTCTAGAAAACAGAGCTTGAAATAAAAGCATATTTGCTAATATCTTGTGGAGGAACACCGTCCCAGTGAAGGAATAGAAGAGTTACATGGGGTAGGAGGGAGCGCAAATACAAGGTTGATATCCAGGGCAATAGATTGCTTGTTCACATGGAAGTTTTCGGACTACGTCTCAGGGCTATCCACTAAAACAGTGGTCCCCAACCTTTTTGGCACTTTCATGGAAGACAATTTTTCCACAGATGGGGTGGGGGCGGGAAGATGGCTTCAGGATGAAACTCTTCCCCCTCGGATCATCAGGCATTAGATTCTCATAAGGAGTGCACAACCTAGATCCCTAGAATGCACAGTTCACAATAGGGTTCCTGCTCTTATGAGAATCTAATTCCACCACTGATCTGACAGGAGACAGAGCTCAGGTGGTAATGGTTTATCATCTGCAGCTCAACTCCTGCTGTGTGGCCCAGTTTCAAGACGGGTACCAGTCTGTGGCCCAGGGTTGCAGGATGCCTGCACTGAAAAAAGGAATAGAGAAAAAATACATCTGCACACTCCTGTATTCTACTGTAAGTGAACTCCCTTACAGGCATTGATTTCATATGCATGAGTGAAAAGTATGTCCTGCAAATACCCAGTAAATTCTGTCCTTAGGAAAGCCCTGGGGTGATAGGTGTGAAGCACTTGGTAGAGTGTGGGACCACAGGCTAATGGCCACCTGAAGTCAACTAGACCCATCTAGCAAAACATAAAACAATGAAAACAAGGTCCTGGTGTCAGGTGAGAATTAGATAATTTGAAATCAGCTGAAGAAGTATGCATCTTGCATACTTTGTACCACTTAAACCTGCATTATGTCTTCCCATTATAGCTGGCATCCATCATACAATATGTATGATTGATAAACAGTCTTAGGGTTTTGCTTGACAAGCATAATTTTAAAAAATTATTTCCTTTGAATGATGGTCTTCATCCTGTCAAAACAAGATGCCCTTACTTTTCATCCGAAGGAGGAGGTACATATTCCCTTTAAGATAATGGCCACGTGCAATCTTTGTAAAGATTTAATACAGGTGACTTAGTGTACCAAGATGCAGTCGCTACTGCTGCTGCTGGTCCTGACTACAAAGATGATTTACCTACATTTGTGGTCCCAATTGCAGATTTCTTTCTCAGCCAGCTTGTTGGCTGGTTTCTAATAGGAGATTTATTTCCCTTAGTGGGCTACAGTGAATCTGCTAGGTTATTGCCACTTTTGAGTAATAGCAGACTTACAGCATGATAATAATCAGAATCAACTTATCTGGAAAACAGTCCTGGAGATCTTTCCTCCTGTTAGTTGGGAATAAATAAACACTCACTAGATCTAAGCTATGGACTTAGGAAGAGACTTTAGAGCAAAAAAGGTAGGGTAATATGGAATTCTGGGCAGTCTGTTCATGTAATTTATTCATGCCTTCTGAACTTCCTTGAACATGTTCCTGAATGGACGGAATGGATTGCTACCTGACCCTTTGATATGAGAGATCTAGTAATACCCAGCTCAAGATGGGCACCTCTGGTAACATTATCACTTGGTCCCTAAAGTCAGGTGTTCTGTCTCTAGTACACTCACTAGCACACTTAAACATTTTTTTTTTTCCAAGCAAGGTAGTTTTCTGCTGTAGATGGCATGAACTTTTTCCAGGACCTTACTGGTCTAAACTGTGATTCTATTACTGGGGCCTGCTAGAAATTCCACATGGTATCATTGTCCTCTCTGGCACTACTGAATCTTACGTCTTAAAGTCTAGGAAGCTTGATCCACAGACTTCTCTTACTCTAAGTCTCACTTGAAATTGGCAGTCTTCCAAGTCAGAAAGGTCCTTTTGCCATAGCTCTGGGAACCAATAGGAGTTTTCTGCCAGCTACTAAATATATCTACCCCAGTTATATACTCAGGAACATGCAAATGATAAGGAGTCCCTATGGATGCATCAAATGTTCCATTAAGATGCAATTTGAACATATCTCTTATTTCATTATAGGGATATGATAGCATGTCAGGTCTGGTAGTATCAGTGCCAGTCAACTCAATTCATCTATCATTCCTTAAAAAGTCTGCTTATGCCACTTTCTCCAGCACACATTTATACAGGTTCATTTTGGAAAGAATTGGGAATATATACTCTATGTAAAACTGGTGCATTTGCAAGGACTTTCCTCAAGGGGCCCTAGTCTGGTTTCTCTTTCAGTCAATGTGCTCTGGGTCTGTGAACTGACTCTGACAGAATCTGGGTAGGGGAGCATGATACTTCATTGTAGTGGCTGATATGAATCTTTTGCTTGACAGATCTTGATTTTTTTTAAGTTACATCAGTCAATCAACACCTTAAGAGGCTCTTAAGTCTTGCCTCTAAGAACATCATGATTTATTATTCATCACCTGATTCTTGAGATGACCGTCCTAGCCCTTGATCATCATGCTATTTTGTCCACCTAGCTACCACCAATTTCTCATTCCTAATTTCTTCCATTTGATGATCCTCCCATTTCCATTGATAGTGGGAAATCCAATCCCATGGCAGCATGTCCCTCATCAAACTGCCTACAAAGCACAGCCACTTCCAATCTTAAATTTGCCAAATCTCTCCTTTCACTATTTTTTCTTGGCTTAAAGAATAACCTCTAGGACTTTCTGAGAACCATTGTCAAGCAGTGGCTTCTCAGATCTTATATAGTCAATATATTCTAACATTTATTCTCCATGACCCTTGTGACATTTCCTTAGTAATATTCTACATAGACTTTAACATTTCCACCTAATTTACTGTAAATCATGATGTCCACACTTCAACAAGTGATTTTAGAAAACTGTTAGAACTGGCTCCAGGTGTCCTTGCTAGGGCATTAAGTCCCATATCAACAGTAAAAAACCCATGTCAATAAGTTCTCCCCAGGCACCACTATATTCTACTGCCCAACTAGTACCACACCATGAAGATCTGTTTCTATATGTGCTATCCTAGTCCCTGAATGTAAATACTAGTCAAGTTCTGTTATTCCTTTGTCTTATTAATAATGTCTTTCTGGCTTAGGTATTATATAATTCAGAAAGATCTTTAAAGAAAATTCCTCAATACCTACCACCTAACTACAAAAAGTTTTTACTAAATTTACCTTATCACATATCTATCCATCCTTCTACCCATCTAGCAATGTATCTTGTTTATTTAATGGATTAAATGAAATTTAGTTTGCTTTTTTGTTCACACACTGAGTTGTGGGATCTTGAAGGGTAGTGACTGTTTAATTTATAGGTTATTTCTATAATACAGTCTTAATAGGGTCCTAGTATAAGCTTATTAAATTAGAATCATCCAGTATAATGAATTATTTGTTTTGAAGCAATGTTAATCAACTGTTTAAATGCTAATAGTTAACATGGCCTAATAAAAAGCTTAAGCTTTAGCATTAGAAAGATGCAATTTTAATCTTTTATACTTTGGCCAAGGCACTTGAATTCTCTGTTTTCTCATGTGTACTGGCCTGTAAGATTGCTTTGAAGAATGAGAGTCCTGTATGCAAAGTCCTATATGCACAGCTTCTTGTATATAGGAAATAGTCAATGAGTGGCATCAGCTGTTTGTCTTGCTGAAAGAATTTAATTCTAACCTTTTGGTTAAGATTAGGCTTATGGGTGTGTTAAAGTAAGGAGACAATAGAGGGGAGAATTTCAGTGTATCCTGTTGAGTAGTATATTATGAATTATCAGGCAACAGAAATTGAGACCAAACTTCTGATATGAAGAGTCTATATATGTAAAACCATTTCATCTACATTTTCCTCAGCACCTTTTCTGTGTGTTTGTTTCATCTCTCTGGATATGCATGGATATGTTCTGCTTAATGATGAGGGATCCAGTAAATCAGAGACTCACCGCTCATTTATTAACTGGGAAATACTAGGACAATTAACGTTGGCTTCTCTTGGATGTATTGTTAGATCCTTTCTGTCACCCCACCCACAGGTAGTTCTTTTTTTCTTTTTCTCACACGTACTTTGTCTTGGACTATAGCTGCTACTGTTTAGCTTGGTGGATTCTAGAAAATGCCAATGACTTGCAAATTTTAAATTACAAGATATATACATTAAGTAATATCCACATTACATACTCCCTCAAACTGGAATTTTACTTTTTGTGTATTGTAGGAACATAAGACAATAAAAAATTGGTATTAAAAACTGAGACAAGACAATGCAACAAATAACAATAACACACAGTGTGTGTCACTTAATTCTGAAGCAAATCTCCCCTTCCCTTATATTAACTGGCCTATTTGATGTGAATGAGGGTATTGGTAACAATGCAATTTTCAAGCCAGGAGCGGAACAACATTCAAACCAACAGCTCTCCTAAGGACCCTAAAACTAATGGACTCCCTGTCAATATCTAAATCTTTGCAATCTTTTCCCAGAGAGGATGTTAAAGGTACAATGAGAGAATTAATTGAATGAGGAAGTAAAGTAGGATAAGCAGTGTAACATTGAACCAACACACTGTTTCAGGGGTTATGAAGCATTGCAAATACAGTAGTCATCCGTGTTGGTAATAGGGCATTACATGTGATATTCCTATATTGCAGAAGAAAATAATATTCAAGGGACAGTTTGATGGGACTTGATATAGGTTTATTTTCTATTCCTAGAATATTATAAAATATTTATTTGACCTTCAGAAAACTATTAAATGAAAATTATCAAAGATACCTTGTAGTCAGTATATTTGGCTGGTAAAGAGTCATAGCTATTCTTCTGAGTTCCTAACAAAGATGATCTGTTTTTAGTACAGCATTCTTAATTTTCTATCCTAGACAATTTCCTCATGTATGTATTTTATTACCCTTTAAATTGCTGAGGTCTGGCTTTCTTTCTGATTCCTTTAATTTCTGTTTCTAACACTGAGCAGACAATATTAAATGAATGTACAAATGAATGCATGGATTAATTAATGAATAAACACTTGTCCACATCACAAGCTTTTTTCAATCTCTGTCTCTGTAATTCCGAGTCTAGTTCTTTCTGCTTTCCTCATTAAACATTTGCATCTAAAATAAACATAAATCCAGTACTTGTGTTATTTCACCCATTCTGTTTGTTTCAAAATTTTGCATGCTATTTCAGCCCCTACTGGATAATTATTTCTTTGGATAGTGGAAGAAAAGCAAAACTTACCTGTTTTTGCACACATTTTGCTCATGTATCGGAACATATATCTGAAAAGAATTTCTCTCAAATTTGGATTTTTTTACTTGAGCTATTTGTAACCCCAATATTTGCATACTACAAATGAAAGTGAAAAGCATTACCACCAATAATGATGTCTGTTTAGGTAATTTAACATGGAAATAAGGCATAAATTACATCTCTTCAAGGAAATAGAAAAGTAGATCTTTTCTGTCGCTTGGGAAAATAAGTTCCAAGTAGCACATGAAATGGAACAGTTTAGCTGTGTACATTAGTGTGCTTTGGCAATTGAACAAGAAATGAATGGATGGTCACTCTTTCAGTTCTTGCCAAAGCTGTTGACCTGAATCCAGGACTTATTGGAAGATAAGAGCCGTGAGGGTCAATCCAATTTGACCTTTTAATTCCTGTATTACATGAAGTCTCTCTGAGACAGGATGAAGCTTTTTTACTGGCGCTTCTGAGTACCATTCTAAGAATAGTTTTCTGCTTAGCACAGAGCCAAGGACTCTGATTTGGGGGCAGATAATGGAGGAAGGAGAATGTGTCTTCCTATCATTTTTTCTCAGGGGCTGGAAGCTATTTCAGCTTCTTTAACCTTATACTTAGTAATTTTTCCCTTGGATTCTGGGGACAGGTTTTTTGGCAGTCTTAAATTACAGTGTGTTAAAGGTGGTGTAAATTTGTTGTGTATGGGTTCTTAGATTTGGCAAGTTGAAAATCATTTCTATCATTGATGACTAGCTATTTGATATTCTAAATCCCAGATCAAAGTTTCAGAAAAAAAACTAAAAGTGGAGATGTGAAAGTGGAGTCATGGGGCTATAGAGCAACAAGCAATTAAGAGGCTTTCTGTAACAGGACACGAGAAAGATGATGAGGGCCTGATCTAGAGCAATATCTATAGGATAGAAAAATATAGGTGTAAGACTGTATACCTTGAGCAGTCTTTTTAAACAATTGGGAAAAATAAAGAGTTGAAGGTTGTCTTTAATATTTTTGCCATTAGCAGCTATGACAACAGCTGATACTATTAATTGAAAAGAGAAAGGTAAAGGAAGAATGAGGGATTTTTTGGTAGAGCTTAAGAAAAAAGATTTGGTTTGCTTAAAGCTAAGGTTGACATACTTATAATTTTTGGGGGAGGATAACTTTGGGAGGTTGAAAATATGAAATTAGAGCTCAGTGAAGAGTTATTAGCTAGAGATACAGATCCGAAAATCACTGTAACATGAGTTGCATCTTTACTGAGTAACAATGGAAGGAACTAACTTATTCTTAATCTTAAGTGAAAAACTATAGCACACAGATGTTGACTATTTTTCCTAAGAATACCATGGTGAGTGAGTCTGTTCAGGCTGTTGTAACAAAATGCCATAAACTGGGTGACTTAAACAATAAAAAGTTATTTTCTCCCAGTTTGGAGACTGCAAGTCTGAGATTGGGGTGCTACCATGGCCAGACTCTGATGAGACCTCTTTTCTTGGCTTACAGATGGGCCTCTTCTCATTGTGCTCACACGGTCTTTCCTGAGTGGATGGAGGGAAAGAGATATCTCCCTTTCTTCCCTTCTTATAAGGCCACCAACCCCATTGGTTTAGAACGCACCCTTATTACCTCATTTAACCTTAATTACCTCCTAAAAGCCCTATCTCCAAATGTAGTCACATTGAGGGTTAAGGATTCAACATATAAATTTGAGTAGGATGCAATCCAGCCCACAGAGTGAGCCTGGAAATTGAACCCAGATAGACTGCGGAAGTCATGCTCTTTACTGTTAATCTCATGATGCAAGCCAGTCACTGGCCTTGTTTACTGAGAGCCTATAACCCAAATCCTTTGTGAATGTGGGGAAAACAGACAGATGGCATAGAATAGCACACATACAAAGGATAGTGATACTGAAAGTGGTAAACCTTAAATTGGGAATGCAAAAATTTATAAAACATAGTTCGTTCTCAAGAATATTACAGAAGTCTAATACAGACACACTTTAAATATATTATAAAAAGAAAGTTACATTTCATTGCAGTATTGCTACTAAAACCTACAGATTGCTTCCAGGTACAAATCACCATCCGCAATGCCTAAATCCTTGTGCTTTGATTCTGCACACATGTTTTAATTTTTTGGGGGGAGTGGTGTCTGTCACAGAGACTGAAATCAGTTCTCAATTCTCACACAAAAGAAAAAGGGTGTCTGTTGGAAACACTTCTATATATGTGGAGCAAGGGACGAAACACTCCTTAAAGCTCTGTGATTTACACAAAAATAATTACAAATACACATTGACTCTTTATACTTTCACAGGTATTTTTTAAAGGTGTCTTTAAGTGCTTCAAACTACATTAACATGTCACTGCAGTGTTATAACAAGAAATGTATGTTTTAGAGATAGTGTCTAAACTGATTTTACCATTGGAGGCTGAGTAGGAAATTTTCTATTACAAAAATAAAGATGATTGAATCCTGAGAGAAAAAAATAATAACTTCACAATGTTTATCTCCCACTTCTTGTTTTTTTCTGCTTCTAATGTTTAATCTGAATGTCGTATTTGTGGCTGAAATAATTCATTTATATTTGAGTCTAAATCGCTCTGTTATGTGACTTCATGTGTAAATTTCAGAAAAACAGTCATTAGGCCAGTCCAAGCTTCAGGGCAGTTTTTGTAGATAGGTTCCAAAAATCAGTGGTTTGTCAAAAATTCTGACAAGTCTGTAGAATGTTTTGACCTTGCTTATAGTTATCCATGTCACCCCATCCACTGCTTCCTTGGCCCCATGTTTTTCTACTGACTGCTCTGTCATTAGGACAAGAGGGTGTATGCAAACCTTCACCAAATAATTGGGATGCAAAATATTACCAAGAATATCAGGAACATGAGAGAGAATAATAAACAAATGGCCATTTATCGAGCAATTAATATTTTACAGCCATCTTTATGTGACTTTTCATTTGCATCTTATAACCCAGTCACTTTGGTATGCTTAATATTGTACCTCAGTGAGTATGGTGGGTAAGGGTACTGACTTTCCTATCAGACAGGCATAAGAAGGTTGGAATTTAAATTCTGCTACTTAATAACTATGTTGTCCTGGGAAGATTTTTTTTAACCTTTCAACTTATTTTCATCTTATATAAAACTGGAAGTGAAAATATTACCTACCCCAATAGGGTTGTGGCTGGAATGAAATGAGCATGTCAATGGTTAGCACTTTTTCTAGTAAAAAAAAAAATCAACAAGTGATTGTGGCAGGGTTCGCTAGAAATGTTGCGACTTGTAGAAGGCCACACATTCTGAATGAGGTTTGCTAAAACTTCAATGTTTTCCCCTATAAGATACTTGTTGCTGAGTACAATAAATGTCTCAAATCTGCTCTCTGGTGTTTACTAGAGCCAGGCTGATTTTGATGAAGTGTACCTGTAGTCCAGGGTATATTTTAATGGATGCTTGGGATTTAAAAAAAAAAAAAAGTTAAATGCAGAGTGCTGATAAGAAATAGAGACAGAGAAAGTGAAACAACTAGAGATTTGGGTTATAAATGGAGATACTTGCTGTCCTGTGACAAGTGCCAGAAATAGACAACTCTGCCTCAGGGGATCACAGCCATCTAGAGAACTCCACATCCACTGTGCCTGCTCCTCTCTCCTGAGGGACTCTCCCTGCATCTGCAGATATTCCGCCTACCACTTTCTACCTCAGCAGGGAGTGAATAGGTTTCTACTCTTTCAATTTCTGTATTGTTTCCCTAGTTGTGTAAATGTTAGTCTTATGGAAGTATGCCTAGAAAGAATATTAGTGAAGATCAAATTTCAGTGGCACATATATTTCAATGTAAGCATGTTAAAAGACTTTGTCTGGATTAAAATATGGATGTATGCATGTGTATGTGCTTACATATAACAAAGAAAAGGGAAATATGCCCCAGTCATAGGAAGTTTCTACTGCAATCACATGCTTACATCATGATTCTTTTCCCTAGTTTATGTGCATGTATCATTTTTTAATTGTGTTCCTGGTAAAAATTCTACATGGCTTCTTACATTCTTAATTATTTTTATTTGCTGAATCACAAAATGTAATACATAAGTACCTTGTAAGTCTAGGGAATAAATTTTAATTGCTCACTTGTATTTTTCTTAAAGCTAGAACATGCATAATAAAACAGCTTTTATTAAGCAACCAGAAAAAATCCTGCCACTTCATATTTTATGTATCTATTATTAATACTTTGTTCTGAACTATCCATTGGCTATTTACCTGTGTGCTACGATGAGTTTTTATGTTTGTCATCTCATGTATTTAGACACAAATGTGAAGTGGAAAGGGACATATGCTTCTTAGCATGAGAGAGAGATTTAGGTGTAATTGGAGAGGAAATAGGGTCACCTGAGATCACAAGGCTGCCAAAATTGCAGGCACGACTAGGCTAGGTGGAATAAATGACTAAATATCATACTGAGAAATTAATATCCCCAGACCTATTCTTTATTATGTGGTACAATTGCTTTTTGCACTTTGAAAAATAGGTTGTTCTTGTGGTAATGGCTTTCTTATGAGCAAAGATATAAGAAAAAACAATGAAATAACTAACCATGGTCTGAAACATGAGTTTATATGAAAATAACCTTCTAGTCTCAGAGAAGGTACAATAGTAAATTGTGAAGTGGTCTTTGTCCAAGGATGACCTTGATAAGTTTCATCATATCCCTCCTCTTTGCTTGTCTCCTACTTCAATACCATTTTGAAAAGAAGAGAGAAACTTTATTTCTTCTTGTAACACTCAAAAGCTTAGTTATTTTCACTTCTTGAAAATCAAAAAGTAAGCACTTACAGGTTCTCCTAAGTGCACTACTGAAGAAATGTTTAGAATAAATTCTTCTTTACATACATAACTGTTACCTTTATTTCATTTGCGTGCCTACAAATAGTATCAAGCAGGTGATTGGGTTGGATAGATATTACATATATTTATTTAAATAATCTTTATAGGAAAATAAAAATACAGTATGTCATAGTGAAGCCTGATTTATTCCCAACTTTTTTCTGGGTTTGCACAATTTATTTATCTGACTCTTTTTTTCCTAAATGTAATCCTGTGTAATGGCCAAGTTCACAATAAACATCAGGCTTTTTGGTCTCAATAGTGTTCCAATGTTTCCATTCACATTGTTTCCTGATATTTTCCTGATTTGTACATTAAATATCTATTTTAGGCATAATGCCCATCATGGTATTTTTCATGTATAAGATTCAGCATGGGATATAATTATTTTTCAAATGAAAGTGAAGTATGTGTGTGTGTATATATATATATGTATATATAATAAATGAATGTATTTTGTGTGTATATATACATATGTTATACATGAATATATTTTATATATTTTATAAATTTATGTAGTATATCTATTTTATACATGTTTAAACATACTATAAATTTAGATAATTTTATAACTTATAGATATACAATTTTAAAAATATATGCATTGTGTAATTTATATGTTTCGTATTTAGAGAACTAATAATCTGAACTCCAGATGCCAAAGAGGGGCAGAAAAGAATTGGCAGGAAGTGTAGGAATAATAGGAAACTAACAGGATACATGAACTCCTTAGGCCTCTCCTTACCCTACAATTTCTATTCCTGACAATATATTCCTCTCACCTTCTTAGGGAATCTGGGCAATTCACATCAACATTTACTTGTTCTTTTTGTTAAGAAGCATCCAGGGGAAATATCTATACATTCAAAAGGTCCATCTTATATTCACCAGAAGAAAATTAAATAGTCTAGTCCACCTTCCCAGGTAGAGCACTGAACCCATACATAGTGTCACACAGTACTTCTGTATAATGGAACACTCCTGTGTGTGTGTGTGTGTGTGTGTGTGTGTGTGTGCAAGTGTCAGAGAGAGACAGAGACAGAGAGAGGATGGACATTCTTTATGAAATATACATGATCCCTAGGCATAATTCCAAGTTGCAGAGACGAGTTATACGTAGGTGTAAATAGTAAAGGAGCTACCCAAAGACAGTACTACATTTATATGATGTGCAGATGAGGAAAAAGAGGGGGGCGAGTGGAGAGAGTTGCATGTTCAATCAGAATAGGTTAGGAGGTAATTATCTTTTTTGTCCTCATCATTTGGTAAAGGCTTCATAGAGAAGAAAGTGTTATGGGAGCCTCTTACGTTTTCTCTACTACATAAATTTCAGGGAATGTTTTGGGCCTAATGATTTAGCATTTATGTGATTACACTGCATTTTCAAATCTTTTTACTTGGGCAATGTATTTGCTGTTTTGCCTTATTGTGCAGGTGTATGTTATCGGAGATGGTTCAAACTGCCTATTACATAGCACTTCATGCTTTGTTGGATGATAAAATAGAAAAGTTACAGTGATGCTTAATATTATCTAACTTACCTATCTCTTTTGAAAATTACTTGACCAAATTTCTCTTCGCCAAAATTTTTCTTGCACTTTTACATTTTAAAAAATTATAGCAACACCAGGAAACTTTGCTTTAATTAACAGGAGTGATTGGGTTCAATGAACCAACGAGATCATGGAATGAAATATCATTTGTATTAACCTTTATTCCTCGCTATCTATTGATCTTTCACCATGTTCAACATGGTTGAATATAAAAATGAGAAAAAATTAAGAAATGGCTGCTAACATTCAGAAGAATGGACCTGTTTCTAAACAAGTTCATAAATGAGCTAATAAAATAACCAAGGATAAAAAGGTAAGAGTAAAGAGAAATCACCTCTCCAGGGAGGGAGTGTGGAGAGAGTCAAGAAAGACTTTATGGAATATATAGTAATTAATTTGTGCCATTAACAATAGATAAAATTTTCAGTCAAGAATTTGGCTTGTTGGGAGGCCGAAGAGGGTGGATCACCCGAGGTCAGGAGTTTGAGACCAGCCTGACCAACATGGTGAAACCCCATCTCTACTAAAAATAAAAAATTAGACAGGCGTAGTGGCACATGCCTGTAGTTCCAGCTATTTGGAAGGCTGAGCAGGAGAACAGCTTGAACCTGAGTGTCAGAAGTTGCAGTGAGCAGATGTTGTGCCACTACACTCCAGCGTGGGCGACACAGCAACAGAGGGAGACTCCGTCTAAAAAACAAAACAAAACAAAAAAAGAATTTGGCTTGGAACATAAAGTGACAACATTTCTGGAAAGATCTGAGTACTGGGTAGTCCATTTAGGCAGGACGAATAGAAGGAAATGATACCTTAACATCAGCATCAACTTCTATTGGGTGATGACGCTGTACCGTGCTGTTAAACCCATAGTGCTTATAACATCTACCATGATATTCTGCTGATGTAACTCTTGAAATGTGTTTAGCTGCAAATGCAAATTAGTGTTCTCCATCACCTTTGTGGATTATAATAAGCAAAATGTGGTTTAACATCTGTTCCATTCTACACTGAGTCAGTAAGTTGAAGTATGCTATAATGTTATTTTTTTCTTCCTAGACATAGGTTTCCTTGGAGAGAGATTTTTTGGTGTTATGTAAGAGTCTTTCAGATTTTATTTCTCCAATGAAATAAATAGGAAAGCTTTTTAAATCCAGTGTATTCCTTGTCGGGTCAAAAATTCAAGTCTAACCTTTCAGTGTTTTTTAAGAGCAAAAATATGGAAAATAAATTATACTGATTATACTCAAAGCCAAAATTTGCTCTCTATGTTCTTCTGGAAGTAGAAAAATTAAAAATTATATCCCGTTTATCTAACAAAAGGAAAGAAGGAAAGAAACGAGGCATTTGTGAACTATATTGGGAAAAGTAGAAGTCCCTGATCTGCATTTAGAGATTTGTGCTACTTCTTAGTACATGCGATAGGGCTCATTTGAGATGTAGTCATTTGCATATTGATTTGCCCAGAAATAGAGAGAAAGTTTTCTTTGCAATTGTGAAGCACTGATCTGGTTATTTTTAAATGGGCATGCTTATTTGCAAAAAGAAACTTTTTAAAACACTGACTCACATATTATACTGACAATGAAAACTACAGTGAGGCATGAATGGGGTAGTGAAAACAGGTAAAAGTTATTGAAATGTGGTCTCATTCCCCTATGTAGATCTAGGAAGAGAATAATACCACTAGCCAAATATAGGTAGGATTGTGTGCAAAGGAAGTAGTATGAATGGTTTCAAAGCTGGTTGTTAATTTCACCCGAGAATCTGATATGGTTTGGATATTTGTCCCCTCCAAATCTCATATTGAAATATGCTCTTCAATGCTGGAGGTGGGGCCTAGTGGGAGGTGTTTTGATTATGGAGGCAGATCCCTCATGAATGGCTTGGGGCAATCCTAGCCGTAATGAGTGAATTCTCACTCTATGAGTTCATGTGAGATTTGGTTGTTTAGAAGAGTCTGAGACTTCTCCCTTCTCTCTTTTGCTTCCTCTCTCTGTCCATGTGATGCCTGCCCCAGCTTTGCCTTACACTATGAGTAAAAGTTTCCTAAGGCCTTCACCAGATGCCAGCACCATGCTTCCCATATAGTCTGCAGAACAATGAACCAATTAAATCTCTTTTCTTTATAAATTACCCAGCCTCAGAAATAGCAATGCAAAAATGGGCTAACACAGGAACTTAAAAAATATGAATATCCCCTCCCCTCTTCCTTCCTTCCCTCTCCCTCTTTCTCTCACTCTACTTTTCTCCTATGCTCTAGTCCACAAGTCATTATGAAAAGCAGCCTTAGAGGGTCTGGAGACTATAAGAGATTGAACAAAAGAGTAAACATACTGATGATACCAGAAGCTGGCTTTCTCACTGTGAGAGAATAAAATTACAAATATGAAATGGAAGAATAAACACTGTCATATTCAATTGGAATTATATGGGTGTGAACTCATGGTTTTATATATCTATGTGTATATATATATATCCAGAGATAAATTAAATACAAAAGTATTGTGTGTAAGAGTATATGTGTGTCTATATTTGTCTATATTTCCAATTCTAGTAACTTGCTAAAACATAAATAAGGAAGTGTTCAGATAATGACTGTGCCATGTCAAAAGGACAGATGGCAGCTTGAAAGGACTCCCACTGCAATATCTAGAACAATATGGGTTATTAATATAAAAATACTGATAGTAATGGGTACTATTGGAATACATCCTATTAAATAAAAGAGAAATATATAAACAGAAATCTAGGAATCCACAGTGAGCACATTAATGTGGAGAAGAGAAATCTCTTATTTACAGTAGAATACCAAACATTAAATGTAGAAGGAATAGTGGAATGGGAAAATTATATTTTCAATTATGGTAGTAATAATTCAGTCAACAAAGAACATCAATGTATGTTAATGGAAAAAAACATTTTTACAGAATCTCAAAAATGTCCTCTCAAAATACTTACAAATACAATGGGGGAAAGAATTACTTTAGAGTAGAATAACTTAAGCAGACTATGATCAAGACCTCAATCAAGTGATCAAAGTTAATGTCATCAGGATGATTGTGTGCCACCTGAAGGAATGTAGTGAGAAGTGGTAGTCTCATTCGGTGCCATTTCTGCCAAAATAGCTCAAATCTAGTTATAAGAAAATAGACAAATCCAACTTGAAGAACATTCTACAAAACAACTGGCATATATTCAAAAATATTAAAGTTAGTAAGGTCAAGGAAGAACTGTGGAACTCTTCCAGATTTAAGGAAACTGAAGAGATATAAGAACAAATTGCCACATGACACCCTGGATTGGATTATTTTGCCAAAAATGGCATTTTGGGACAGTTGAAAAAATGGTATCTCTGGATGAAGGGTATATGAAATTTATTTGTATGTTTCTTGCAATTTTACTTTGTAAGTTTCAAATTATTTCAAAATAAAAACTATCAAACAAATAGATGTCTATCACACAATATTAAATATTAAATCAGGATCTCTGAGTATGTTTACTTTTTTAAAAGATCCTCAAATGACTCTAATGTGCAGCCAGGGTTGAGTACTACTGGGCAAAGATGCATCTGTGCAACAGTGTTCATTAAGATCATATTCTGTAGTAGGGAGAATTATAATTATGGGTCTGTCTCATTTCATTTAGCATGAATTATGACAATAGAATTATGTCTAGCATTTAACCGGTGAGTGAATGCAAATGCTCTATTCTTTAAGAGTTGTTTGTATAGAGCCATTATAACCAGTTTTGTTGGCTATACATCACACACTCACTTGCAATATTCCACATGGTATATTTATTTTTTAAATGAAAATTAACAGAAATGTGCTTTAGTCTGAAATTTAGTAATCTCCAATGAGATAACTAGAGACAACTGGTTTTCTAAAACTACATTTGTCATTGTTTTATATTGATACTTACTGTTTTATATTTATGTATTTTTTGAGACTATATGTATTTTTAAAAATATATTTGAACATTAATGGTGTTCTGTTCTATCAGTGTATCAGTTGTTACATATGAAATTGCATTATTCTTCTGTATGTGGAATATCTCAAAACGGAGAAGAGTGTGTGCTGGTCCTTGTTGCACCTCTCTCTCCTCTTTGTCTTGACTTAAATCTGTGTAGTTGGGAACATCATCTTCTTGTTTCTGGCTGCAGCTGAAGGATGCAGCAAGTTTTCAGATTCTGCAGATAGTCCAAGATATAAGACCTTCAGATGTGGATACCTTTTTTTGTGGTCGAGATATAACAAATGAGAAAAATTTTAATGGTGTTGTCAAGGTTTGCCTCAAGCAAAATTGTGAAGTATGCCAGAATTGTCACTGACGCCTACCATTTCTTGCAGTGCCCCATCTATCTTCACCACCTCTGTCTGCTATGTGTCTCTTGGGTGCACGGTCCACACACTCTCAGTTGTCATAAAACTTTTACTAAGTTGTTATTAGATAAAGTGTTACGTAGTAAAAACTTTGATATTGATCCCTTTCAGGGGTATTTCTTAAAAATGGCATTGGTTCAAGCTAATTTATTATTGGTAGAAAAAGAATAATTCAAAAATGATAATAGCTATTATTTATGAGCCCATTTATCTGCCAAGCATTTTGCTGTATACTGTCTGTTCATTGTCTCCTTTAACTCTCACAAGTACCCTATGAGAGGCTGTATATACACATTTTATGGATGAGAACCTGAAGTTTAGAGTACTAAAATTATTTGCAAAAGATCACAAAGCTAGTAAGTGACAGATCTCTGACTTAAACTCAGATGTGTCTGACTCCAAAATCTATGTGCTTAACCATTAGACTCGGTTGACTCTCATGTTTTGGATTGGGAGATGCCTAAATTATCTATGCCTGATTTTACAGAAATGTGTCAAGTATAAGCCTTAAAAAAAAGAGAAAAAAAAAAAACTACCTCATTACCCCATCCCTTTTCTCCAGCAGACTGCTCCATACCATTTTCAGATCATATGGCTCACAAGAGTAGTTATCCAATTGTTCCTCTTACCATACTTTCACTCAAGTGGCAGTCTCACACTGAAACAGATCCTCAACTTGTATAGTGAGTATTTAAATAAAGCTGTTGAGAGGGGTGGGTGATACTCTGACAATTTGCCAAACCCTCACTTAGGTTTATGTAGTAGTTCAAAGAGAAAATTCAGTAAAGCATATCCTCTTAAGGAGTTTCTGAATTCATTTGTAAAACTGTCAAACCCATCAAGGTGCAGGTCTCAAATACAGAAATATATCCTCTTAGCCTTCTCTTCAAGATACATATTTAGTTCAGCATTTTCTATGGTTTAAATAAGGCTATATGATCCAAAGCAATTAAATTGCAATGAAGGAAAACAGAATAATTAAGAGCCTCTGATATATGCAGTATATTTTAAGATAATTGTAGTTAATTACTTTCTTGGTGAAGTTAAGCCATTTCAGTTCAAGCCCATTTAACTGAAGCAGTCAAGTAATCAAGAGAAACCATGAAACATCTTTGTTTTTGTAGTATTATTTAAATACATTTATGACACATCATAGTCATTTTTATATTTATATATACATTGTACTTTTTCAGCTAATAATTTCCAAATTATTCAAAAATTATATCTTGTTTTCCCCAATGCTGTTACTGAAGAAATATATGAATTAATTATGCAAGTATGATAAAGCATAAGTGATAAACACAATTATTTTGTTATATTACTAAAAACAGTAATATCTTCCCAAATCACCATGCTAATAAAAATAATAACTATCTTTCATGTAGCACAGACTCTGTGCCATATACTGTGTTGAACAATGCTCATACATTACTTTAATACATTTAATTCTTACAATTTGGGGGTACAGTTGGGGTGTCATGATTATTATTTATTCAGTGAAACAATTAAAGATCTTTAGACTTAAGCAACTTTCCCAGTAACCATATAGCTAGAAATGAGCATATATAGATTTTAAACCCAAGGCTAACTTCAAAATTCGTTTTCATAACAATTAAGTTATATAACTAAGGTTAAATAAAAACTCTAGTACTGATGTTTCCATTAATAGAGTCATTCTAGTTTTGGCATTCTTGTGCATACATAATGCTGTCATGAAACCATATTGCCTTGGAGCTAAAGTGCCATTTTATGCCAAATATTTATTTGATAGGGAAAATGAGAACCACAAAGGATAAATGATATTCCTAATGTTAACCTAGCAACATTCCAAGAAACAAAATATCTACCAAACATTAGATAAAAGATTAAATAATGTTCACTACAGCTTACTATTAAGCCTATTTATTTACTCTTTTAATTTAAAAAGGACAGAATTGTCAAAGATGATGGTTGGTTGATAGCTTAGGCATGACCACTCAGGAAGACAATACATGAGCTTTAGCCTATTGCTTAAACTCTAGATCTCTGTTTTCTCATGTGTAAAATATAAGTAATATAACATCTAACTGCTTTGTTTTTGTGATTACTAAAAGGAAATACGTTTTAAGTGCCTGGCATACAGTAGTACCCAATAGGCAATAGCTATATTATTGTACTACTTTATTAGACTCTTCATACATTAATGTCAGGGCCTCAGCTTTGCTGATACAAGAAACCCAATTTTAGTGGCCTCAGAAATGATCCAGTAGGTTACAAAAAATTTTAGCATGTGGCTTTTTCTTAGTGGTGGCATGCTGATAAATGTTTAACTACTGGATTTTCTTGGGGGAAAAGAAAACTAATTTGTAGCAGTTGCTAATTTTTACGTGTAAATTACTTCTAACAATGTCAAATTCCAAGCTGTCAACATCAACTGACTTGTAAAGTTCTTCAAAATTTACCAATAGGCTCTCCCAAGCATGTATTCACCAGCTCCAGCACCCACTGATTATCTCACTTATTAAAAAGTATATATATATACACACACACACACACACACACACACATGTCTATAGAAATGGGGAAGCCAAATTATAATTACAAATTGATTTTGTAAGCACGGAATTATGAAATCAAACTATGGTTTGGTGAAACTGAACTATGAAACCAAATCTTTGCCCTAAGGCAGCCTCTTTCTTATACGATGCTGGACAAATTTTGCCCTTGGGAAATACATCATTCTAGGCTACATACATACTATTGACTGCCCTGCACCTATACACAGTTCATGCTAGAGCAGAAAACCTCCCTGAAGAATACCACCCCTTATCTTGATTGAATTTGACCACTGTTCAGTTAATTTAAGCAGCATAGGTAAAAACAATCTCCGTGGATGTTCATTTCCACAGATGTCCCAGCTTATTCTCTTGTCTTAATCATTTCTTACTGTACTCTTAGGCTGTGATCTTCTCCTAAGGTCTTAGGTACAATACTATATTGGTCACACTACCAGGATAATTTTAACTTTTGGAAGGTTAACAATAAATTTACATATGGCACAGCTGGGACAATGTCTATGTATTGCTGATATTTTCATTTGATATTTTCCTAAAAGATAAAGGAATAAAGTCAATCAAGCAAAGAGGAAAAAAAAGGAGTGTGTCTCCAACTATTTGCTGGTGAACTTTTTCAAGTCATTCCGGCAGTTTATAATGAAAGCCCATGTCAATTATTCTTAGTTTTTTGGTATGAAAAATTAATTTGTTAATTCAATTTTATTTTTATCCAAAAGTGAGTGATATAATTTTTTTATTGTACTAAGAAATTCACAGTAGTCTTAAGAATGCAAGGGTAATTCAATTCATGAAAATGATTAATTTAGTATATGACATTACAGAGTAAAAGTAAAGAAAAAAAAGATGTAGAAAAAGCATTGGTGAAATTCAATACCCTTTCATAATACAAAATACTTAATAAACTAAGAATAGAAGTGAACTTTCTAAACATAAGAAAGGCCATAAATGAAAAACCCATAGAAAACATAATATTCAGTGGTGAGAGACTGAAAGCTTTTTCCCTTAGAGATTAGGATGCTTATGTTTGCCACTTCTAGTCAACGTAGTACTGGAAGTTCTAACCAAAACAATTAGTCAAGAAAAATAAGTAAAAAGCATCAAAAATAAAAAGATGTAATTCATTTGTGTTTTCAGATGGTATGATCTTTTATGTAGCAAACCTTAAAGCATGCACACACACATACAAAACGGTTAGAGTTAAGACATAAATTTAGCAAAGTTGCAGGCTACAGAATTTACACACCAAAATCAGCTGTATTTCTATATATTAGCAATGAACATTCCAGAAAAAAAATTAAGGCAAACAATTCATTGACAATAGCCTAATAAAATACTTGGAAATAAATTCAATCAAGAAGGTACAAAATGTGTACACCAAACAAAGAAACATTGCAAAACAAAATTAAAGAAGACACAAATAAATGGAAAGATATCCTATGTTCATGGATTGGAAGACTTAATATTGTCAAGGCAGCAATAGTACCCAAAGAAATCTACATAGTCAAAATAATTCTTTTCAAAATCCCAATGATATTTTTCGAGAAATAAAAATCCCATTCTAAGATTCATACATAATTTCAAGGGACACAGAATAGTCAAAAACAAACTTGAAGAAACATAACAAAGTTGAAGAACTCTCACGCTTTCTGATTTCAAAATGTACTACAACATTACAGTGATCAAAACAGTGTGATACTGGCATAAGGATAGATTGATAAACCAATGGGATAGAGTTAGGAATCCAGAAATAACTCTTCACATTTATGGTCAATTGATTTTTGACAAGGTACTAAGATTAATAAATAGGAAAAGTATAGTCTCTTCAACAAATGGTGCTGAGAAAACTGTATATCTACATACCAAAATGAACTTAGATCGTCACCTCACACCACATACAAAAATTAACTTAGAATGGATGAACGATCTAAATTTAATACCTTACACTATAAAACTCCTTAAAAAATCACAGAAGCAAATCTTCTTGACTTTGGTTTGGGAATTGTTTCTTAGATATGACACCAAAAGTACAAGCAACCAAAGAAAATATAATTAAATGAAATTCAATAAAATCTAAAAAATTTTTGCAACAAATGATACTATTGACAGTAAAAAGACAACCCACAGAATGGGAGCAAATATTTGTAACTCATATATGATAAGAGTTTAGAATGAAGACTACATAAAGAACTACCACTCAACTAAAAAAAAGAGAATCCAATTAGAAAATGGGTAAATAACTTGAATAGATATTTCTCCAAAGAAGTTATATAAACGGTCAAAAAGCACATGAAAGAATGCCCAAATGCATTTGGGGAAATGCAAATCAAAACCACTATAAGGTACAACTTCACAGCTACTATGATGACTATAATAAGGATAATAAGCACAATATAACAAGTGTTTGCAAGAAAGGGGAGAAATTGGAACCCTCATACATTGCTGGTGGAAATGTAAAATAATGTAACTACTGAGAAACACAGTTTGATGGAACCTCACAAAGTTAAACAGAATTGTATATGACTGAGCAATTATACTTCTATGTGTATACAAAAAAGAATTAAAAACAGAGACTAATAAAGATAGTTGTATACCACCTATCTTTAGGTAGTGTTTATAACAGCATTATTTATAGTAGCCCAAAGGTGGAAACAACCCAAATGTCCATCAAAACATGAATGAATAAACAAAATGTGGTGTACACATACAATGAAACATTATCGAACCATAAAAAGGAATGAAGTTTTGACATATGCTACAACATGGGTAAACCTTCAAAACATGCTAAATGCCCAATGTTACACCTGCTGTGCCACCACCACTGCCAGTGCATAGTACATGGGCACCAGCAACCCTGCCCCTGCTACATCACTGCTGCAGGTGCAACCATGTGCAGAGGCACTGGGGCAACCCCACCAACACCCTGTCCCTACTACCACTCCTACCCCAAATACTAGCGCAAATGCTAGCAATTGCACCTCTGCAGATGCTCCTTCCCAGACAATGCACATGCACCTTATCACACTGCTACAGCTGTTGGCATGCATGAGCAAGCATGGATCCAACTGCCACTGCCTCAACAAAGCACTTTGGCTGGTACCCCTCCACCAGAGTATTGTGGCCAGCTGAATGGGGATACCTAAGACCATCCAGCACAGCAGGCTCCTAACCTCAAGGGGCCAGAAAACAAAGCCATGGGCCTGGTGTCAGCCCCCAAGCATCAGAGCATGTGGCCCAGGAGAGCTGAGTTAACTCTTGGCCCCCTAAAATCTTCCAGAAATGAAGTTAGTCAACAAAACCCACCTTATACTACAATCAAACCTCCAAGGACATCAAAGAAGATAAAAGCAAAAAACCTAATTCAAAGGACAGCAGCTTCAAAGACTGAAGGAACATCAGCCCACACAGATAAGAAAAAAACCAGTGCAAGAACTCTGACAACCCAAAAAGCCAGAGTGTCTTCTTACCTAAAAAATAAACATGTTAGTTCTCCACCAGTGGTTCTTAACCAGGCTGAAATGGCTGAAATAACAGACATAGACTTCAGAATATGGATAGGAACAAAGATCATTGACATTAAGGAGAATGTTGAAACCCAATCCAGGGAATCTAGGGAATACAAGATGATACAGGAGCTGAAAGACAAAATGGCCATTTTAAGAAAGAAGCAAGCTGATCTGATGGAGATGAAAAACTCACTTCAGTAATTTCATAATACAATTGCAATATTAACAGAAGAAGGGACCAACCTGAGGAAAGAATCTGAGGGTTGGAAGACTGCTGTCCAAATTAACCCAGTAAGATGAAAATCTTTTTAAAAAATAAATGAAGAAGAATAAACAAAACCTCCAAGAAATAGGGGATTGTGTAAAGAGACCAGATCTATGACTCATTGCCATCCCTGAAAGACAGGGAGAGAAAACAACTTAGAAAACATGCTTGAGGATATCATCCACAAGCTTTTCCCCAACTTTGCTAGGGAGGTTGACATTCAAATTTAGCAAACTCAGAGAACCCTTGTATTATACTATACAAGATGGCAATCCTCAAAACACATAGTCATCAGATTCTCCAAGGTCAACATGAAAGAAAAAATGTTAAAGTCAGCTAAAGAGAAGGGGAAGGTCACCTAAAAAGGGAACCCCATCAGGTTAACAGCAGAACTTTCATCAGAAATCGTATAAGCCAGAAGACATTGGGGACCTATATTTAGCACCATTAAAGAAAAGATATTTCAAATAAGTTTCATATCCAGCCAAAGATTCGTAAGTGAAGGACAAATAAGATCGTTTTCAGTAAAGCAGATGCTAACGGAATTCATTACTATCAGGCCTGCCTTACAAGACATCCTGAACGGGGTGGTAAATATGGAAAGGAAAGACCATTACAAGTCACCACAAAAACACCTATGATGCATTCAAGTCTGCATCATAGCCAGCTAACAACAGAATGACAGGATCAAATCTGCACATATCAATATTAACCTTGAAGGTAACAAAAACAGGTGAAATGCCCCAGTTGAAAGGCTCAGAGTGTTAAGTTGGATAAAAAAGCAAGACCCAACTGTATGCCCAACTGTATGCAGTCTTCAAGAGACCCATCTCGCAAGCAATGACACCATATGCCTAAAGTCAAGGAATGGAGAAAAATCTACCAAGCAAACTGAAAACAGAAAAAGCAGAGGTTGCAAATCCAATTTGAGACAAAACAGACTTTAAACCAACAATAATAAAAAAATGCCTAAGAATCCTAAATATATATGCACCCAACACAGGAGCACTCAGATTCATAAAGCATGTTCTTAGAGGCCTTTGAAAAGAATTGGATAACCACACAATATTGTGGGAGACTCCAACACCCCACTGACAGTATTAGACAGATCATGGAGACAGAAAGCTAACGAACATATTTGGGACCTGAACTTGACACTTGACTCAATGAACCTAACAGATATCTACATAACACTTTACCTCAAAACAGCAAAATACAGATCCATCTCATCTGCCCATGGCACACACTCTAAAATTGATGACACAATTGGCTATAAAACCATTCTCAGAAAATTTTAAAAAACATACAAACCACACTCTCAAAATATAGTGCAATAAATATGGAAATCAATACTAAAAAAAGAAAAGAAAGCACTCCAAACCTACAATTACATGGAAATTATACAACCTGCTCCTGGATCACTTTTGGGTCAATGATGAAATTAAGGCAGAAATCAAGAAATTCTTTGAAACTAATGAAAACAAAGATACTACATACCAAAATCTATGGGACACAGATAAAGTAGGTAAAGTGTTAAGAGGGAAGATTAAGAGCTGAATGCCCACATAAAAAACTTAGAAATATCTCAAATTAATAACCTAGTACCACACATAGTCAAACTAGAGAGACAAGAGCAAACCAACCCTCAAGAGGGCAGAAGACAAAAACGAACCAAAATTATAGCTGAACTAAAGGAAACTGAGACATGAAAAACTATCCAAAAGATCAACAAATCTGGGAATTTGTTCTTTGAAAGAATAAATAAAATTAATATACCACTAGCTAGACTAGTAAAGAAAAAAGAGAGAAGATCTAAATAAGCACAACCAGAAATGACATAGGGGACATTACCACCGACCTCACAGAAACACAAATATCCCTCAGATACTATTACAAATACTTTTATGTACACAAACTAGAAAACCTAGAAGAAATGGATACATTCTTAGAAATTTATAATATTCCAAGATTGAACCAGGAAGAAATTGCAACCCTGAATGTACCAATAATGAATCCAAAACTGAATCAGTAATAAAAAGCCTACCAAAGAGAAAAAGCCCAGGATGAGTCAAATTCATAGCTGAATTCTACCAGCTGTAAAAAGAAGAGCTGGTACCATTCCTACTGAAACTATTCCAAAAAACTGAGGAGGAGGGAAGCCTCCCTAACTGATTCTATGAGGTGAGCATCATCCTGATACCAAAACCTGGCAAGGACACGACAATAAAAGAAAACTTCAGGCCAATATCCTTGATGAACATAGATTCAAAAATCCTCAACAAATACTAGCAAATCAAATCCATTAGCACATCAAAAAGCTAATTCATCACAATCAAGTAGGCTTTATTGCTAGTTATAAGATTGGTTCAACATATGCAAATCAATAAATGTGATTCATAACATAAACAGAACTAAAAACAAAACCACATGATTATCTTAATAACACAGAAAAGGCTTTTGATATAATTTAACAGCCTTTCATGTTGAAAACCCTCAACAAATTAGGCATTGAAGGAACATATGTCAAAATAATAAGAGCTGTCTATAACAAACCAACAGCCTCCATCATAATGAACAGGCAAAAGCTGAAAGCATTCCCCTTAAGAACCAGAACAAGACAAGGATGCCCTCTCTCACAACTCCTATTCAACATAGTACTGGAAGTCCTAGCCAGAGCAATCAGGCAAGAGAAAGAAAGACAATGTATCCAAATAGGAAGGGAAGAAGTCGAACTGTCTCTGATTGCAAACGATATGATTCTATACATAGAAAACCCTATAGTCTTGGTCCAAAAGCTCCTTCAGCTGATAAACAACTTCAGCAAAATTTCAGGATACAAAATCAATGTACAAAAATCACTAGCATTCTTTTAGACCAAAAACAGACAAGCTGAGAGCCATATCGAAAACTGAATCCCATTCAAAATTGCCACACAGACACACACACACACACAATATCTAGAACATGAAGGATCTCTACAATGAGAATTACAAAACACTGCTGAAAGAAATCAGAGATATCACAAACAAATGAAAAAAAATTCCAGGCACATGGATAGGAAGAATCAATATTGTTAAAATGACCATACTGCCCAAAGAAATTTACAGATTCAATACTATTCCTATGAAACTACCCACATCATTTTTATAGAAGTAGAAAAAACTATTCTACTATTTACATGGAACCAAAAAAGAGCTCAAATCACCAAGGCAATCCTAAACAAAAAGAACAAAGCAGGAGGCATCACACTACTCAACTTCAAACTACACTACACATTTCCAGTTACCAAAATAACATGGTACTGGTACAAAAACAGACACATAGATCAATAGAACAGGATAGATAACCCAGAAATAATGTTACAAACCTACCATCATCTCATCTTTGACAAAGTCAACAAAAACAAGCAACAGGAAAAGGGACTCCCTATTCAATAAATGGTGTGGGGATAACTGGCTAGCCATATGCGGAAGATTGAAATTGGATCACTTCCTTACACTGTATACAAAAATTATCTCAAGAAGAATTAAAGATTTAAAAGTAAGACCAAAAACAACAAAAGCTCTAGAATATAACCTAGGAAATACCATTCTGGACATTAGTCTTGGCAAAAAAATTTATGACTAAGTCCCCAGTAGCAACTGCAACAAAAACAAATATGACAAGTGGGACCAAAATGAACTAAACAGCTTCTGCATAGCAAAAGAAATGATCATCAAAGGAAACAGACAGTCTACAGAATGGGAGAAAATATTTGCAAAGTATACATCTGAAAATGGTCTAATGTCCATAATGGAATAGAAATTGAAACAATTCAAGAAGCAAAAATCAAATAACCCCATTAAAAATGGGCAAAGGACATGAATAAACACTTCTCAAAACAAGAATTACAAGTGGCCAACAAATATATTTTAAAAATGCTCATCATCACTAATTATCAGAGGAATGCAAATCAAAAATACAATGAGATACTATCTCACACAAGTCAGAATGATTAAAATGGCTATGATTTTGTCATACTGATTCCCTGTTATCACAGAGAGAAGGGTATGCCCAGAATAGCCCACTGATATGGCTGCAGAGAAAAGGAAATTGTTATATATTGCTGATTGGAATATAAATCAGTTCAACCACTGTGGAAAAGTGTTTGGCTATTTCTCAAAGAACTTAAAACACAATTACCTTTTGGCTTAGCAATCTCACCATTGGGTATAGGTAAAGAAATAGTTCTACTGAAAAGCCACATGCACTCATGTGTCCATCACAGGACTATTCATGATAGCAAAGACATGGAATCAACCAAGATGCCCATCAATGGTGGACTGGATAAAGAAAATGTGATGCATATACACTGCGGAATACTATGCAGCCATAAAAAAGAATGAAATCATATTTTTTTGCAGCCACGTGGATACAGCTGGAGGCCATTTTTTTAAGCGAACTAATGTAGGCACAGAAAACCAAATATCATGTTCTCATGTATAAGTGGGAGCTAAACATTGAATATACATGGACACAAAGAAGGGAACAATAGACACTGGGAACTGTTTGAGGGGGAAGGTTGGGGACGGGGTGTGAATTGGAAGGCTACCTGTAGGGTACTATGCTCACTACATTGGTGATGGAATCATTCATACACCAAGCCTCAGTGACATGAAATTTACCCATGTAACTAACCTGCATATGTACCCCCTGAGGTTTAAATAGAAAAAAAGAGGATATCTCTGGCTTTTTATTAAGAATTTTTGTTTTCCTTTTAAAAAATAATGCTTTTGGTAAGAATTTAAAAAAATCATTGGACAGACTATGAAGAACAACTGAAGGCTTTCAAGGAGAGGAACTGAATAATCAGATTCATTTTAGAAGATTGTTCTGGGGTTACATTCTTTTGGAAGTGGAGAAGCTATTGAAATGAAGATCCACTGAAAGATGATTACGTTGTCCAGAAAAGAAACAAAGCAGGCCTGCACAGGCTTGTCAGAGTGAGACCAGAAAGGAGGAGGAGGACAAAGAACCATTCCAGAGGTAGAATTAATGGCCCCACAGTGCTTTGGCTCAGGGGGAAAAAGGAGAAAAAAGAAATAACACATATTAGTAAGTTAAAAATAGACTGAATGAATATTATTGGAAACATGTTGCTTTTAAAGCATGTGCCAAATGTCTTGTTAGGCATAACTATTAGGCCTCTAAATGTGATTCTAAATATTTGTAGGCCTAATTTATGAATACAGCAATAGGAGAATTTACATATATGGATAAATTAAACACAGGAGAGTAGCCAAAATTTACACGAAAGGAGAAAAACGTTAGAGACAAAAGTTTAGTGAATGCATTGTAGTCCATTATGGATGGCTTTCTGGAAATAGAGGTTTTAAAAAATGATTATAAAGCATATTTGAAGTCCAATTTAAAACCAGATAGCAAGAATCTTTCAGATAGCAAGAATCAATTAACATGATTCCCAATTTGTTCTTACAAAAAGTAAGAAGATAAGCATTCAGAAGTAATTCAACATGTGGTCTAGGTTAGGGAGGCCAGTGACATGATAGAGGGATGTAGAATGGCATAAAAGGGAAGACATCAAGAGACCATCATGAAACCAAGTCAAGATGAAACTCAAAGACATAAAAGACCAAGAGAAGTGAAAAGCCCAGAGGTTGTGGTCAGAAGAAACAAACTTTAAATATTAGACTTCCATTGAGTTGTTCTGAGAAATGAAAAACAAATTGCTAAGATTATTATGGCTATTTGGTTGAGGATATTTTTGCCTCTTTATTCACACATAAGATTGTAAATATATCTATCTTCCTCATACCATTCTTTCTAGCTTTTGCTATTATGCTTTCTTTTGCTATTCTCTAGACAAGTTTGTACATATTAGAATTATTACTTAAGTTTATATATATGTCACTAGTGAAGTCCTCTGGGTCTGGTGTCCATCTTGTCTATGGGGCTTTAGAAGAGGAAGGGCAGGAAATAGATCATTTCAGGATTATTCCAATAAATTCTTGCCCTTAGCATATGTGCTAGGTAAGGAGAAAGTATGGCAGACAATTATGCAGTATATAAAAAGCATGTGTTTTGTGAGACATACTCCCTACTGCACTGCAAAACAGATAATATGAGACATTAAAAAACTTGGCCACTTTAAAAATGAAAACTTAGCAGAAAAGTGTTAATGTGGCTTGGAATCTCTAAGCATCACTGATTTAGAATTTCTTGCCATTATAAGTACATGGAATACCTGCTTTAGCGGGAATAATATTGATCATGACTAAAAAAGAATTAGTTATGTATATATAACTCAACTACACTGTGGCATTTGTGGAGCTCTGCCATCTGGGAAACAAACTGTCTCTTTTTACTTGTGAAGATAAAAATCAAAAACAGAGATCGTGAAACACATGGCTGCCAGTCTAGGTTATTACATTGATCTTCATCAAGGAAAAAAAAAAAGAGGTATTACTCAGGAGAAGCATGGTCAAGAGAAAGTAGCCTCATTATTTTTCAAAACCAAGAAAAGTATTATAAGCGATTTATATTTTTATATATATTTCCCAGTCCCTAAACCCTTCAGCAGTAATCAAACGTCATTTAGAAATTATGTTACTATTACATATAGAATTCCCATTCGCCTAAAAATGACTTAAAAGCAAAAAAAAATACCATTTGTAGTATATTTCTTGAAACCTCTAAGTAATAAATAAAATTGTGAAGCACTCATTTTTTCATTTTAACATTTGAAACACATTTGGGAAGATTTAATAGACTTGCTACTGATCCTTTATTTTATTTATTTATTTATTTTTTGAGACAGGGTCTTGCTCTGTCATCCAGGCTGGAGTTCAGGGGTACAATCATGGCTCACTGCAGCCTTGAACTCCTGGGCTCAAGCTATCCTCCCACCTCAGCTTCCCAAGTAGCTGGGACTACAGGCATGTGCCACCACACTGAGCCAATTTTTTATTTTTATTTTTTTGTAGAGACAGGGTCTCATTATGTTGCCTAGATTCTGGTCCCTTTCAATCAAAAATAGTTTAGGCTGAGATCAGCAATTTGCTTTCCAGAAAATTGTGAACATTTTGTGTAATGGACAGAGTTATATACTAGAAAACTGATCAGGCTGGTATTGTTATCCTTATAGTCCTTCCATCATGTGCTATAATGGCAGAAGTGTCTGTCCCTCCAGAAGCTCCACACCTCCCCCATCCACACACAGTAAAACTGAGCAAGCTCTAAATATTTACATTCTTAGAAACATATTCTTATGAAATCCATACCTCTTGCTCAAAAATGATAATCAAGAGACACACTTTTATGGATTAATGTCCTTGGAACACAAATAGAATCTCTTAGGACTGGTATCCACCCACATGAAATCCTTCTGTCTGTCTTAAAGGAAGCAAGAGCTTCTGAGGAGCCCTGGAATGAAATAAATTCATGAACAGACTTCTGAGTGCCCATCCAAATGGCACCGATGTCCTATTGCAAAAGATGAGTACTGGCTTTGCCTTCCTCAACAAAATGATTTAGAATATGTGGTAATCCCTGGTGCAGAAATGCTGTCCTAAATGGGAGAAGCCACATTACCCATCTCCTCCTGTCCCCACCACTCTCACCCAGTGAACATTTGGTATAAGAGGTTATGGTTTCAGTACTAGACAATACAAGAGAAAGAATACTTTAAGAAATACAATATGCAAATTAGACTGGATTATAGAATTTTACACTAGTATTGTGTCTTAAACAAGAATTTCTCTTTAGGTGTCATATATTACCAGGCAATAAATCAAGCAACAAGGAAAAGCAAGGCTTTATTAAAACAAGTCCAAATATGAACTTTTATTATACACTGCTTCCTATATACTCAAAATTATTTTCACACACTTCCAGAACACCTTTTTTTTTTTTATCCTTAACAAAGCTGTTTATTCATTCATTCAATAAATATTCATTGACTATGTAAAAACTGAGCCAGGTTCGAGAGGTAAACAGAAAAGAAATAATCCTTCACTTATCATGAGTTTACAATCTAATTGGGAAAATGAACATTAAAGAAGTAATTAAAGATATGTATGTACTATACAGCTGTATCATAAAAATAAAGAACAATGTATTGTGTGCCATGAAAAAAAATAAGGCTTATTAAGGGATGTTTCTTAATGTTTCTTGTACAATAAATTACTTAAAGAATTTCCGGACAGGAAAATGCTACTGTCCTACTGAATTTATGTGCTTTCTTTTATCATTATTATTATTATACTTTAAGTTTTAGGGTACATGTGTACAATATGCAGGTTAGTTATATATGTATACATGAGCCATGCTGGTGTGCTGCACCCATTAACTCGTCATTTAGCATTAGGTATATCTCCTAAAGCTATCCCTCCCCACTGCCCCCACCCAACAACAGTCCCCAGAGTGTGATGTTCCCCTTCCTGTGTCCATGTGTTCTCATTGTTCAATTCCCACCTATGAGAGAGAATATGCGGTGTTTGGTTTTTTGTTCTTGCGATAGTTTCCTGAGAATGATGATTTCCAACTTCATCCATGTCCCTACAAAGGACATGAACTCATCATTTTTTATGGCTGCATAGTATTCCATGGTGTATATGAGCCACATTTCCTTAATCCAATCTATCATTGTTGGACCTTTGGGTTGGTTCCAAGTCTTTGCTATTGTGAATAGTGCTGCAATAAACATACGTGTGCATGTGTCTTTATAGCAGCATGATTTATAGTCCTTTGAGTATATACCCAGTAATGGGATGGCTGGGTCAAATGGTATTTCTAGTTCTAGATCCCTGAGGAATCGCCACACTGACTTCCACAATGGTTGAACTAGTTTACAGTCCCAACAACAGTGTAAAAGTGTTCCTATTTCTCCACATCCTCTCCAGCACCTGTTGTTTCCTGACTTTTTAATAATTGCCATTCTAACTGGTGTGAGATGGTATCTCATTGCGGTTTTGATTTGCATTTCTCTGATGGCCAGTGATGGTGAGCATTTTTTCATGTGTTTTTTGGCTGCATAAATGTCTTCTTTTGAGAAGTGTCTGTTCATGTCCTTTGCCCACTTTTTGATGGGGTTGTTTTTTTCTTGTAAATCTGTTTGGGTTCATTGTAGATTCTGGATATTAGCCCTTTGTCAGATGAGTAGGTTGCGAAAATTTTCTCCCATTTTGTAGGTTGCCTGTTCACTCTGATGGTAGTTTCTTTTGCTGTGAAGAAGCTCTTTAGTTTAATTAGATCCCATTTGTCAATTTTGTCTTTTGTTGCCATTGCTTTTGATGTTTTAGACATGAAGTCCTTGCCCATGCCTATGTCCTGAATGGTATTGCCTAGGTTTTCTTCTAGGGTTTTTATGGTTTTCAGTCTGACATTTAACTCTTTAATCCATCTTGAATTAATTTTTGTATAAGGCATAAGGAAGGGATCCAGTTTCAGCTTTCTACATATGGCTAGCCAGTTTTCCCAGCACCATTTATTAAATAGGGAATCCTTTCCCCATTGCTTGTTTTTCTCAGGTTTGTCAAAGATCAGATAGTTGTAGATATGCGGCGTTATTTCTGAGGGCTCTGTTCTGTTCCATTGATCTATATCTCTGTTTTGGTACCAGTACCGTGCTGTTTGGTTACTGTAGCCTTGTAGTATAGTTTGAAGTCAGGTAGCATGATGCCTCCAGCTTTGTTCTTTTGGCTTAGGATTGACTTGGTGATGTGGGCTCTTTTTTGGTTCCATATGAACTTTAAAGTAGTTTTTTCCAATTCTGTGAAGAAAGTCATTGGTAGCTTGATGGGGATGGCATTGAATCTATAAATTACCTTGGGCAGTATGGCCATTTTCATGATATTGATTCTTCCTACCCATGAGCATGGAACGTTCTTCCATTTGTTTGTATCCTCTTTTATTTCCTTGAGCAGTGATTTGTAGTTCTCCTTGAAGAGGTCCTTCACATCCCTTGTAAGTTGGATTCCTAGGTATCTTATTCTCTTTGAAGCAATTGTGAATGGGAGTTCACTCATGATTTGGCTCTCTGTTTGTCTGTTATTGGTGTATAAGAATGCTTTTGATTTTTGTACATTGATTTTGTATCCTGAGACTTTGCTGAAGTTGCTTATCAGCTTAAGGAGATTTGGGGCTGAGATGATGGGGTTTTCTAGATATACAATCATGTCATCTGCAAACAGGGACAATTTGACTTCTTCTTTTCCTAATGGAATACCTTTATTTCTTTCTCCTGCCTAATTGCCCTGGCCAGAACTTCTAACACTATGTTGAATAGGAGTGGTGAGAGAGGGAATCCCTGTCTTGTGCCAGTTTTCACAGGGAATGCTTCCAGTTTTTGCCCATTCAGTATGATATTGGCTGTGGGTTTGTCATAGATAGCTCTTATTATTTTGAGATACATCCCATCAATACCTAATTTATTGAGAGTTTTTAGCATGAAGGGTTGTTGACTTTTGTCAAAGGCCTTTTCTGCATCTATTGAGATAATCATGTGGTTTTTGTCTTTGGTTCTGTTTATATGCTGGATTACATTTATTGATTTGCATATATTGAACCAGCCTTGCATCCCAGGGATGAAGCCCACTTGATCATGGTGGATAAGCTTTTTGATGTGCTGCTGGATTCGGTTTGCCAGTATTTTATTGAGGATTTTTGCATCAATGTTCATCAAGTATATTGGTCTAAAATTCTCTTTTTTGGTTGTGTCTCTACCTGGCTTTGGTATCAGGATGATGCTGGCCTCATCAAATGAGTTAGGGAGGATTCCCTCTTTTTCTATTGATTGGAATAGTTTCAGAAGGAATGGTACCAGTTCCTCCTTGTACCTCTGGTAGAATTTGGCTGTGAGTCCATCTGGTCCTGGACTCTTTTTTGTTGGTAAGCTATTGATTATTGCCACGATTTCAGAGCCTGTTATTCATCTATTCAACTTCTTCCTGGTTTAGTCTTGGGAGGGTGTATGTGTCGAGGAATTTATCCATTTCTTCTAGATTTTCTAGTTTATTTGCGTAGAGGTGTTTGTAGTATTCTCTGATGGTAGTTTGTATTTCTATGGGATCATTGGTGATATCCCCTTTATCATTTTTTATTGCTTCTATTTGATTCTTCTCTCTTTTATTCTTTATTAATCTTGCTAGCGGTCTATCAATTTTGTTGATCCTTTCAAAAAACCAGCTCCTGGATTCATTAATTTTTTGAAGGGTTTTTTGTGTCTCTATTTCCTTTAGTTCTGCTCTGATTTTAGTTATTTCTTGCCTTCTGCTAGCTTTTGAAGGTGTTTGCTCTTGTTTTTCTAGTTCTTTTAATTGTGATGTTAGGGTGTCAATTTTGGATCTTTCCTGCTTTCTCTTGTGGGCATTTAGTGCTATAAATTTCCCTCTACACACTGCTTTGAATGTGTCCCAGAGATTCTGGTATGTTGTGTCTTTGTTCTCATTGGTTTCAAAGAACATCTTTATTTCTGCCTTCATTTTGTTATGTACCCAATAGTCATTCAGGAGCAGGTTGTTCAGTTTCCATGTATTTGAGTGGTTTTGAGTGAGTTTCTTAATCCTGAGTTCTAGTTTGATTGCACTGTGGTCTGATAGACAGTTTGTTATAATTTCTGTTCTTTTACATTTGCTGAGGAGAGCTTTACTTCCAACTTTGTGGTCAATTTTGGAATAAGTGTGGTGTGGTGCTGAAAAGAATGTATATTCTGTTGATTTGGGGTGGAGAGTTCTGTAGATATCTATTAGGTCTGCTTGGTGCAGAGCTGAGTTCAATTCCTGGGTATCCTTGTTAACTTTCTGTCTCTTTGATCTATCTAATGTTGACAGTGGGGTGTTAAAGTCTCCCATTATTAATGTGTGGGAGTCTAAGTCTCTTTGTAGGTCTCTAAGGACTTGCTTTATTAATCTGGGTGCTCCTGTGTTGGGTGCACATATATTTAGGATAGTTAGCTCTTCTTGTTGAATTGATCCCTTTACCATTATGTAATGGCCTTCTTTGTCTCTTTTGATCTTTGTTGGTTTAAAGTCTGTTTTATCAGAGACTAGGATTGCAACCCCTGCCTTTTTTTGTTTTTCATTTGCTTGGTAGATCTTCCTCCATCCTTTTATTTTGAGCCTATGTGTGTCTCTGCATGTGAGATGGGTCTCCTGAATACCGCACACTGATGGGTCTTGACTCTTTATCCAATTTGCCAGTCTGTGTGTTTTAATTGGAGCATTTAGTCCATTTACATTTAAAGTTAATATTGTTATATGTGAATTTGATCCTGTCATTATGAGGTTGGCTGGTTATTTTGCTCTTTAATTGATGCAGTTTCTTCCTAGCCTCGATGGTCTTTACAATTTGGCATGATTTTGCAGTGGCTGGTACCGGTTGTTCCTTTCCATGTTTAGTGCTTCCTTCAGGAGCTCTTTTAGGGCAGGCCTGGTGGTGACAAAATCTCTCAGCATTTGCTTGTCTGTAAAGGATTTTATTTCTCCTTCACTTATGAAGTTTAGTTTGGCTGGATATGAAATTCTGGGTTGAAAATTCTTTTCTTTAAGAATGTTGAATATTGGCCCCCACTCTCTTCTGGCTTGTAGAGTTTCTGCCGAGAGATCAGCTGTTAGTCTGATGGGCTTCCCTTTGTGGGTAACCCGACCTTTCTCTCTGGCTGCCCTTAACATTTTTTCCTTCATTTCAACTTTGGTGAATCTGACAATTATGTGTCTTGGAGTTGGTCTTCTCGAGGAGTATCTTTGTGGCATTCTCTGTATTTCCTGAATCTGAATGTTGACCTGCCTTGCTAGATTGGGGAAGTTCTCCTGGATAATATCCTGCAGAGTGTTTTCCAACTTGGTTCCATTCTCCCCGTCACTTTCAGGTACACCAATCAGACGTAGATTTGGTCTTTTCACATAGTCCCATATGTCTTGGAGGCTTTGTTCGTTTCTTTTTAATCTTTTTTCTGTAAACTTCCCTTCTCGCTTCATTTCATTCATTTCATCTTCCATCACTGATACCCTTTCTTCCAGTTGATCACATCGGCTCCTGAGGCTTCTGAGTTCTTCACGTAGTTCTCGAGCCTTGGCTTTCAGCTCCATCAGCTCCTTTAAGCACTTCTCTGTATTGGTTATTCTAGTTATACGTTTGTCTAAATTTTTTTCAAAGTTTTCAAGTTCTATTCTCTCAAAAAAGATTACCTTAATTAAGTGAGGGTAGGGATTTCCTTTACCCAAGTAGATTTCTTTTTTAGTTGTTCCTAGTGTTTCAAAAATATTAATACTATCAGAAGATAAGCATTCAAGATGGAGAAAGTCCACTTAGCCTAGCTCTACCCATAATTACCACCAAATTCCAGACAAAATTCAAAGGCAGCAACCAGAGGACTCTGAAAATAAATAAAAGCAGGTTGATGGGGACCTTGGATTAGGGAAAGATTTCTTAAAAGGGACACTAAAAGCACAAACTATAACAGAAAAATATATAATTTTGCTTTAGTCAAATTTTAAAATATAAGTATTTTTAAATGTAAGTATTTTAAAATTTGATATACTTAAGTCTTTGATATACTTGATTAAGAAATTAAAAATGCAAGCCCAACTGGGGAGAAATATTCATAATGCATCTGTCTGATAATGGGCTTGCATCCATAATATAAAAATAACTCTTACTAGTTACTAAAACGATGACAAACAACCCAATAAAAATAAGCAGAAGATTTGAATAATTTTCAGAAAAGTAAATCTACAAATGGCAAAATAAGCACATGAAAAGATGCACAACACCATTAGTCATCAGGGAAATGCCCATTAAAACTCTAATGAGATAACACTGCACAATCATTAGAATAGCTAAAAGTTAAACACACACATACAAACACAATATTAAATTCTGGTCAAGATGTGAAGAAACTGGAACTTTCATACACTTTTGAAGAAAGTATAAAATGGTGCAACACCTTTGGAAAACTATTGGACATTTTCTTTAAAAAAATTGAACATATATGTACTAAACAATTCACACTTGGCTGGGCATGGTGGCTCACGCTTGTAATTCCAGCACTTTGGGAGGCCAAGGCAGGTGGGTCACTTGAGGTCAGGAGTTTGAGACCAGCCTGGCCAACATGGTGAAACCCCATCTCTATTAAAAATACAAACATTAGTCAGGCATGGTGGCGGGCGCCTGTAATCCCAGCTACTCGTGAGGCTGAGACGGGAAAATCACTTAAACCTGGGAGGCGGAGGTTGCAGTGAGACAAGATTGTGCCACTGCACTCCAGCCTGGATAATAGAGTGAGACTCCATCTCAAAAAAATAAGTAAATAATAATACACACTTAATACCAAAAGGATAGAAATATGATAAAGAGTCTGTGTGTAAACTGAGATCAAATATACTGTCAGTCTAATTTAATAATAATAAACATAAGTGGCATTCATTACCTAATAGAGAAAATTTAAAAGTACTTCCAGGTTGCCTAGAAGAACAATATCTTCTTAAGCCCGTGTAAGGCTACTTATAGGGTCTCAGTCTTTAATAAACCACTATATTATTTATGCAGTGAATAAATCTGCATTTTGGTATTCCAGTGACTTCCCTAGCTGTTCTTTCCTTCCATTAAGAATAGCTATAGTTAAAAATGTAATTATAAAAACAGTCTTACTCGCATGGTCAACATTTTCTTTCCCCTGGGTATCTCTGAATTCTATTTGCTTCCTTAACTGACAATCATATCTTATGCTATGCTCTTTTGGCATGACAGAGCAAATGCACCTGGGGCGGAGCAAGCTGGGTTTCCTTCTGTACCATGTTTCAAAGGAAAAATTGTCAGTAAAATTCTGACTGCTGAATTTTTGTAACTGGTATCACTCTAAGTTACAGAAAGAACACAAAATGTTTAAACAAATATCATACTGATTGAGTACTGGCAGGTGGGAAAACTTGTAAAAAAATCAATGGGATCTGTAACATTTAGCAAGACTCCATCACCCATTATCATGTCAGTAGAAAATGACTTGCATGATATGGACGCTGTTTGCTAGCTTTGTGAGGACAGTTCTTCTGTACTTGGTGTATGTCCTTGGTAGGACTAATTGTTCTGTTTACAAAAATAAGTACCATTAAAAATAAAAATGTGTTGTCATTGAAAAAAAAACGATTGTCGAGCCAAAATGTACCGACTTGCTTACTTCTACCCTCTAATGTATATTAAAAATTTCAGAGACAACAGCTTGAAGCTTTAAGTTATCATTCTTGTAAAATGTCACACAGATTTTACAGCCTTAGATAAGTTCTTTCAGTAGAATAGTGCTAAGGCTTAGGCATTTCCAGGGAAGCTTACAGTTACCACTTTTTCTTTTCCTTTCTTTTTTTTTTTTTGAGACGGAGTTTCACTCTTTTTGCCCAGGCTGGAGTGCAATGGCGCGATCTTGGCTCACCACAACCTCCTCCACCCGGGTGCAAACTATTCTCCTGCCTCAGCCTCCCAAGTAGCCAGGATTACAGGCATGCGCCACCACGCCCAGCTAATTTTGTATTTTTAGTAGAGACGGGATTTCTCCGTGTTGGTCAGACTGGTCTCAAACTCCCGACCTCAGGTGATCCACCCGCCTCGGCCTCCCAAAGTGCTGGGATTACAGGCGTGAGCCACCGTGCCCAGCCTAGTTACCACTTTTTCAATGGATTGATATGAGTGAGGAGGATTGAAAAATCATAACAAAAACAAAATAATCATAACAAGGAAAGGGGCTTTTCCAATTGATTATGAACAAATTTATAGTGAGAATTAATGTCACAGTATTTTCTTAAAATTATGGTGACCCAAGAATTAATGTGTGCAATATTCAGGTTGTATTTCTATTCTTAGTTTTGTTTCTGTTATGTTGTAGAATTACTATATTTAATCTTTACAAAGAATTCCCCCAAATCTGTAGAATTCTATTCTAGGCACAAAATAAAAGTCATCAATATAATCACACTATGTGCAGCATCTAACTTTAAATGTCTTTGAAATTCATAATTTTACTTCATTATGAGTGAATAGCTACTATAAGCAAAACACTTTAGTGACAAGAAGCTATTTAGGAGCAGGTTCCTGTCTTTAAGGAGTTTACAGTAATGTGTGGAATAACATAGATACACAATAGTTGTGAGGTATAACATTATGCTAAGGAAGTTTATGTGTGCTATGCAGAATTATAGGTCATTTTCTTTCAAAGTAGACAAATGATTATAAGAGCAATCATAGGGGTTGTGCCACTCAAACTTATTCTTATCCAATGTGTAGCATTTTAATGAATAATTTTAGAAATGGAATATATTCCAGGATGAATTAATAGTATAGTAGATCCTTGAAAAACATGAGTTTGAGCTGTGAGGGTCTGCTTACACACAGCTTTTCTTCTGCCTCTGCCACCCCTGAGGCAGCAAAAACCCCCTTCCTCTTCCTTTTCTCCCTCAGCCTACTCAATATGAAGAGTAGAATCAAGACCTTTATGATGATCCATTTCCACTTAATGAATTGTAAATATATTTTCTCGCCCTTATGATTTTTTAATAACATTTTTCTGTAAACTACTTTATTGTAAGAATATACTATATAATACATATAACATACAACATATGTGTTAATTGACTGTTTACGTTATCAGTCAGGCTTCCTGTCAACAGTAGGCTATTAGTAGTGTGAAAGGAACATAAATCTCAGGACCCTAAAATCACTAAGCCAAGGAAAAAGTCAAGCTGGGAAATATATCAGGCAAACCTGCCTCCCAGTTTATTCCAAAACAAGATAGCTACAAAGGTAAGAAGCTACATACCTCCCTCACTTTGCCCACAAGGAAACTTCTTGTGGACAAAGAACAGAACTCACAGTTATCCCTCTGAAGCTAACCTAAGACAAATGCATATCTGATTGCTTCTTCTGCCCTATCATTTACATAAAAATGCATATTCACTGAGCCAGACTAAATTGTATATTCAGTGGAAGGCTGATCTAGGACTCAAAAGAATGCAACCTTTTGTGTCTTATGTACTTCTGACCCAGAAGCCCCCACTTTAAGCTATTCTGCCTTACCTGACCAAACCAATGTAGGTTTTACACATATTGATTGATGTCTCATGATTCCCTAAAATGTATAAAAGCAAGCTGTACCCCGACCACCTTGGGCACATGTTGTCCGGACCTGCTGAGGCTGTGTCACCGGCATGTCCTTAACCTTAGAAAAATAAACTTTCTAAATTGACAGACCTGTCTCAGATATATTGGGTTCACTGTATTCCCGGACAGAAAGAGGTCTGGTGGCTTGTTCTCGCAGTCCAATAATGAGATGCAGACAGACTGGGGAAAAAGAAAGTTTATTTTTGCAACCAGTTACAAGGAGAAGGTCAGAGTAACTCATCAGACCAACGCAGTTACAATATTTTTTCTAGTGCATATACACATTTTAAGCTCTCTGCCTATGTGTGGGAGTGCACCTACAAGCAGGAGTGTTTCTTTCAATCTGTATCTAATCATTAGGGTCTGGGGTCTTAATGGGTTTGTTTTTGCATTCCAGCCATTGTACTTAGTGACCAGTTTCTCCAGTTCTTTAATGTTTAACTTATATATTCATCAGAGTTATAGTAAAGGATTAGTGAAAACTGACTGTTCTGGTTGCTAATGGAAACCTGGCCTGCCACAATCCCCACTGTCAATTTGTACGTGATTTCTAGCATGTTAGTTAATTTTTTCAAGTACTGGTTTGTTAAAAGGCTAGTGCAAAAGTGTAAACTATGACATAGCCGACTAAGGGAAAGTGGGTATGCATTCCCTCCATCTACTTCCTGCTGAAGAGGGTTGTCATCAAGGGGTGCTAGAGTGGAAGATGTCTATCTGGTGCTGGTAATGTTTCTGGCTTTAGAGACTCAAAGGCAGCGCCTGATAAGACATGATCTTGTGAGCCTGAGGAATGTTTTGGAACAGCATATAACAATAATATAGTTCACAACATAGTATTATGCTCATGCCCAGGAAGGCAGCTAGGACAAGAAGAATTTTCTGCCACCAGGAAGGTGTTCTACAAAATCAAGATATTATAAACCTAATTTTTCCTTGTATGTGGGGGATGCACCAAGGCAGCCCCATGGTGCCAGAGAGGGGTAATAGAGCACAGACCCAGCAAGAGTCTTGCTGTAAGCTATTTGCATAACCTTTGCCCATTGTAGGAAAAGGTTAGAGGTACGCAGAAATAACAATGTAAAACAGCAGCAATGTAAAGCAGCAATGTAACAATGTAAAACAATACTTTATCATCTTTTGAACAGAAATCCTAGGCCTTCAAGGGGTTCTGTCTCCCATTTGGCAGCCTTGGTGTCCTGTGTCATGAATGTTTCCTCCGGCAGGAACTTCTTCACGGGCATGTGGTGGATCCATGGCTTGATGCCAGCCAGTTTCATTGCCAAATTGGTAGTCAGCAGCATGTCATGGGGCCCTTTCTATTTCTCCTGTAGCTGCTGACTTGGGCTCATTTCTCTTTATTCTTTCAGCAGCACTTGATCACCAGGCTGGTACAAGTGACACAGTTTCGCTGAGTTTACGATACTCCTGTTGCAAGCAAGCTTATGCAAAACATTAAGTATTTGTCCCAAGTGAGTAGCATAGTGTTTAATAGTTGGCTTTCTATTAAGAGGTACCCAAGTAACCCAAGACAGATTAGCAGCAAAGGGTCTCCCATTTATAATTTTATAGGGATTTAACCTCATCCCACTTCTAGGGGTCACTTACCCAAAGCAGTACAATGCTGAGTACCTGAATCCATTTTAGTTGGCACAGTTTGGCACTGTTTTCGTGTTTGATTCATCCTTTCAGTCTGTCCAGAAGGTTGTGGTTTCCATGCTGTGTGAGTTTCCAATTTACTCCAAGAGCGTTGTTTACTTGGGACAGCTAGCTGCAGGGCTGTAGTAAAGATAATCAGTTCTGCTTTCTGTGCAGAGGTTCCTATTGGTGAAGTCCTTACTTCTATTACCTCTGAAAAGGTTACCACAGCATATGCAGCATTCCTTCTTTCATTGGTTACCAGGCTGCTCCCATCCACAATATCCAGTCTGCCTGTGGAAGGGCTGTGTCCTTTAAGTGAGGGCGACTGGAAAATACCTGGTCAATAATTTCTAAACAGTTATAGGTTCTTTTGGCTCTTTGGTAGAGAGAAGTAATGTAGCTGGGTTTAAGACGCTAGCAGTCTGCAATTTCACTGTGGGATTATCTAAGAGTGTGGCCTGGTATTTGCCCAGCCTGCCCTAGTGTCCACCAATAGCCTCCCTTTTGTTCTAGTAACACTAGCACCTGGCGAGGCACATAGATCATGATAGGCTGTCTCACAGTCAACGTTTCAGCTTCCTTTAATAGCAGGCATGTGGCAGCGACTGCCCTTAAGCAAAGGGGCCAGACTTTGGCCATAGTATGCAGTTGTTTAGAAAAGTAAGCCACTGGGTGCATTATTTATCCTAATTTTTGTGTAAGGACCCCTAGTGCTAGACCCAATCTCTCATGCATGTAAAGTTGAAAGGGCTTGTGAGAATTTGGGAGCCCCAGGGCTAGGGTGGAGGTCAACTTATGTTTTAGTTATTCAAATGTCTGCTGGTGGTTTGTTTTCCAAAGGAGTTGTTGTTAGCTCCCTTCAACAGTTCATATAGTGGTTTTACCAGCAGTCCATAGTTAGGAATCCAGACCCGACAAAGCCCTTGCCATGCCTACAAATCCTCTCAGCTATCTTTTGGTAGTGAATGCTGTGATGGATGTGATTGTGTTTCGCTTTTTCACCTTTAAAACTCTGGTTCCCTTCTGTAAGAGGAAACCAAAATATTCCACAGTTTGTTGGCATATTTGAGCCTTTCCTGATACCCAGAGGTTGCTAGACAGTTGAGAGTTTTAATGGTATTATTCTGACATTCCCATCTTGAAGGGTTAGATATTAGTAAATTATCCACATATTGTAACAGTACCCCATTTTTCAATTGTAAACTCCTTAAATTTTGAGTCAATGCTTCTCCAAATACAGCTGGAGAGTTTTAAAATCCTTGTGGGAGCACAGTCCAATAATAATGAAACCTTGCTGATGCTTCAGGATCTGTTCATTCAGAGGCAAACGACAACTGACTTTCTGTGTCTATGGGTATGCAAAAGAAAGCATATTTCTTTTTTTTTTTTATTTGAAACAGAATTTCACTCTTGTTGCCCAGGATGGAGTGCAATGGCATGATCTCAGCTCACTGTAACCTCCGCCTCCCAGGTTCAAACGGTTCTCCTGCCTCGTCCTTCCAAGTAGCCGGGATTACAGGCGACTGCCACTACACCTGGCTAATTTTTGTATTTTTAGTACAGGGTTTCGCCATGTTGGCCAGGCTGGTCTCAAACTCCTGACCCAAGTGATCCACCCACCTCAGCCTACCAAAGTGTTGGGATTACAGGTGTGAACCACTGTGCCCAGCCAAGAAAGCATATTTCAAATCCAATACTGTAAATCATTTATGATCTCCAGGGAGAGAAATGAACATAACATCCCAGGGTTAGCTACACTGGGATGTATGTCCTCTAAAATATTCCAGTTTAGTTCTGTGCAGGGAATTGCCCCATCAGGATCTGGATGTTCATCATGAAGGTATTGTGCCTCTTCCTTTGCTTCATTTAAAACCAGCCACCACTCATCTGCCATGAGCATGTTTAGAAGAGCCTGCATGCACCTCTGCCCAGGAAGGACAGTGTGCAGCCAATATTTTGGTATTATAAGCCCAATAATATCCCATTGGAGCTCCTTGCTGATTGACTCCTACTGGATATTATCCTAGTGGAATTGCCCATCTCCAGACCTGGGGACTCCCCAGCCAAATTAGTATCTTGCCTAGTCCACGGAGGAAACAATAGCCCTGCTGCCTCCCCGTACTCTGAGGGTGACATTCCCTCTCTTTCCTGAGCTGGGCAGTAGCTACTATGGGGTTCAGGGTATTAACTGTTGGGTTTCAGACGTTTTCTCTTCCTCCCCTGGGGTGTCAGGACAGACCTTCGCAGTGCCTTGCACCATTAACTTATTTCCTTTTTCTTTAGCATCCTTATTATACAGCAACGTAAATATCTGGATGTAAGGTATTTTGCCCCACTTGCCTGACCTCTGACAGAGCAATTTTAATTGATAAATGGTATGAAAATATCAAGATCCAAAAACCCGCCACTGTTCCTCAGACCCCAAAACACATATTGGCCAGGCTGTGTCAAAATAGAAGATTAATTTCTTTCAGTCATGGGTGGTAGATAACCAAAGTGCTTCCAATCTGATAAAAGTCTCCCTAGAAGACTATTTGTAGGTATAGATGCAGTGTTGCCCATACTGAGTATTCTAAACTTAATAAATATCAGACAAACAGAACAAATTTTCAAAAACAAATGTAAATAAATTCCTCAAACAAATGCAAAGCAGGTTATCCCAAGGAGTCTTACTATTTCCTCAGTAGTACCCAAACAAATGGCTACATGAGCCCAAATAGAGGAAATAATAGATTCCTGGCTTAGGATCCAATTTTACTCACCTTTTGAGTGCAACTGCTCCCAATCTCTATTCTTTCCCAGTAATAGAGAGACGGGCAGTCTTTGCAGCCAGAAAGGTCCTCAGGAGAGTCCCCAGGACAAACCATACCAGGCAGCTGCTGGGGGTCACCCAAAGACTACCTCTTTGCGAGCCGCTGGCTGCTGAGCTCTCCTGGGAGAGTTACCAGATTTGCTCCCGGACAGAATGAGGCCTGGCTGCTTGTCCTGGTGATCCAATAATGAGATGCAGGCAGACTGGGAAAGAAGGGAGTTTATTTCTGCAACCAGTTACAAGGAGAAGGTCAGAGTAACTCACCAGACCAACTCAAGGTTAGAAGATTTTTTCTAGTGCTTATATACATCTTAAGCTCCCTGTCTATGAGTGGGAGTGCACCTACAAGCAAGAGTGTTTCATTCAATCTACTTCTAATCTTTAACTAGGGTCTGGGGTCTCAATGGGTTTGTTTTTGCATTCCAGTCCTTGTACTTAGGTACCACCTTCTCCGGTTCTTTAATGTTTAACTTATACATTCATCAGAGTTATAGTAAAGGGTTAGTAGAAACTGACTGTTCTGATTGCTAATGGAAACCTGGCCTGCCACAACAGTAGTTAAGCTGTAGGGGACTTAGAAGTTATACACTGATTTTTGACTACATGAGACTACGTCCCTAATCCCCGTATTGTTCAAGGGTCAACTGTATAAACAAAGAAGTGGGCATGGGGATAAAAGCACATTTCAAAAATGCTGATTCTATCATCAGTTTTTTGGCACTAAATGGTTTACATAGGGAGGTAGCAAGAAAAGAAAAGTGAGTTAGTTCTGCAGGAGAAATCTGATACGTGACCAATCTTTCTAATTTTGAAAGCTATTTAGATCTTTTCAAAAGCAAATATAAAATTATTTGAAAAAATCCTGATAAAGATGCAAGAGGAATCCACATTCTATTTGTGTATAAAAATATTCTATTAAGTGTGTTTTATAGTCTGCCTGAGGAAAAATAAATAGCCCACACATTTCACTTAGGATATATAAAGTATGCTTGTACGACAGATCAGTTTTAAATGGCACCAGGATTCTGCAGTGCTATTATTTTTTTTTAATGTGCAATTGCTTAAGAAAGAGTATCAAAGCAGAAAGTTATCTCTGAAGAAAGATAGCTTACTGGGATTTTGTGCAAGGATAACAAAGATTGTGCAGTATTTAAGGTTCTATGTAGTGCCATGTTGACACAAACTAAGATATGTTGCAATCTTGTTTCTGCTGATTGAAAACTGTGCATGAATTGCCTATTTCTGGCTATAATGGATTAGCTTATATCAGACCAAACTTCTACCAAAAACGTCTAGAGGCTATGAATAAAAGATGTAAAATCACTGTTTGAAGGAATTGATAAGACAGGGAGATGACAAATGCAGAGAGGTAAAACTAACATTTGAGGAAACTTTAACCAAAGGCCTTTACAGATCCTAAAATGGCTCTTGAGGAGTTTAGAAGTTGAGCAGAGCACTTAACAATCACAGAGGAGCGGGCGAAGAAAAATTGGGGATCTAGGTATGCCAAGAAGGAAACGCTCTGATAAACAGAAGTCTTTCGGTAGGGATTCCCAAAGGGTTGCATGGTATTAATAGAAACAAAAGCATATTGATATAAAATCTCAGTAGTCCAATATTATTAAATAAATTAAATCCGTAATTCAAACCCTTCAAAAAGAAAACTTTTGGCCCAGATTGCTTTAGCAGTCATTTCTTCAAAACAGTTAACTCTCTATCTTCATTGAATAGAAGGAAAAGCAACACTTTGTAATTGTTCACAATGCCAATGAAACCTTAACACAAAAACTTTAAAAGAACAGAACAAGAAAGGAAAATCTTTAACATAAACATAAGTGAAAAGAAATTCTACACACAACATTAGCCAACCAAATCCAGTGATAAAAAAATATAAAACACATTCTGAATGGAGTTTTAAAAACAGAAAATATCATATGCCGGCAAGGCTATAAAACAACTAGAGATCCCATACACTGAAAGCAGGGGAGTAAATCAGCACAACTATGCTGGAAAGCTATTAGTATCAACTATGAAACCTTTATGACAATAGCAATTCCACTCCTGGGTATATAGTTAACACAAGTAAGAGCATATTTGCACTACAAGTGTTGTGCAAGATTGTTTTAACTGTCTACAACAGCTAAAAACTAGGAATAACTCAAATCCTTATCAACAGAAGAAAGGACAATGTATCTTCATATAATAGGATATTATACAGAACAGAATGAATAAAATACATGTGCAATACATGTGCATCTCACAGGCAACATATTGTGGCTTGAGAAGGCAGGAAAATAAATTCAAATACTCTATAATTCCACTTATAAAAGATTCAAAAACAGGCAAAATTAATTTTTGATATAAGAAGTCTGGATAGTGTACACACTTGAGAAGGAGGCTGAATAGAAACTTGGAAGAGAAACAGAAGGATTGTGCAGTATTTAATAATTTGTTATGTTTCTTTTATGATGATGATGATGATGATTTTTACCTAAATGGTGCTTATATAGTACATTAACTTTGGGGTAAGATAACAAGCTGTACCCAGATGATTTAAAAATTTTCTGTATTTTATGCTTCAATAAAAACATGTACTTAAAAAACTGTTGTTAAAAAAGGAAGAAAACGAATTTGTCATACTTTACAGAACTATAAAATCCATAGATGGAAGAGAATTTGAGGATTACTTAAATCCACACTACAAGTTTATTTTACAAATGAAGACATAAGTTTCAGGTTAAGTAGTGAACATATGGGTGTTTTCACTTTGAGAGAATTCATTAAGCTATCTATTATTACCATGTGCATTTTTTGTGTACATACCTTAATTTCAGAATTTATTTTTAAATTGAGGCACTAGAGAAGAGAGAAAAGTCCTATGATTTTAAAAAATAGCTTATTTTTTAGAGAGTACTTGAAATTAGCTAAATTTTGGCACAGATAAAACTCCTCCAATAGTGATAGGGTAATTAAGGTTGGCACCAACGAAAGAGAACTACAAACAGCAAGCTGATGGAAAATGTTATGTGTGAATTACGTACTGGGTTTTTCATATTTGAACCACCAGAAGCATGAGAAATACATGTTTAAAATGTAAAGAAGGTATTAAAAGTTAAATAATATTAGCTAAACTTTATGCTTACTTAGCATTCATTGAAACTAATATTCATTAAATATTTTTGACTATTTTGATAAAGACATGTCTTAGAAAAGCATATTTTATTGAGTTATCTGTTAATTTTTTAAAAAAGGTTTTTGATAATCATGGCTGGTAAAATCTACTTCACCACCTTCACCACTCATAATTCTAACACAATGCCTGAAGAAAAGTTAATTAACAGAAATAAGCAGGACATTATCAAATTAATAGTTTTAAAAGTAATTAAAAATAATACAACACATTTCCCACTGAAAAGATACAAACTACTGGATGCACAATGAATGCCTTCAAATTTGATGTCAAAGGCTTTTAACTAATGTTATGACTTTGTAACACATTCCATCATTTTCTCCTATAGATTTCTAAAAAAGAACTATAATGCAGATCAATATTCAAGAGAAAATGGAAGCTAGAGGGAAATCCTTTAATCAATGGTATTATATCTGAAAAGGTTATGCTGATACATAGGGAGATAAGGAAGTTGCTCAAGAATTGTTAAGTAAGATACATTATTGTTGAAGCAGCCATTCAAGAATCGCTAAAGAAATGATTTATGAAATCTTGGATATTCCCAAATATGTGACCTTGGGAAAGATTTATTTTGGTTATTTACATATCTCTATTAGTGAGCAATTACCGTAAGAACTCTATGATATTTATATACAGATTTTGAAAATTTTGCATAGATCTATTTCGTCCCTTCCAGGCAATAAAATTTCCATAATATCAAAAACTAAAAAGGAACAAAAATCAACCTCTTCATTTCATTTCACTTGTTTTTTCTATGGAGATCATCACTCCTCTGGGAGGGTAGGAACGTGGGAGGAGGGTCCTGTACATAATAAATATTTACACCATTATTGTTCCCACAGTTCTGAATATGGGAAAGAACAATATCCATACAGTCTAGCATCTTTCAAGAGATCATTTTTCTAAGTTCCTAAAAATTAAGTCAAAGATAATTTATTCTTTTCTAGTAAATATTAGATAAAATTATATTTGTTTTTTATCTACATCTTTCTCCCAAAGAGAGGTAAAACTCAAAAATGAATTACTTTCCAACTCAGATCTCATAGTGGCAACTCTAGAGAGTAGTATTACAAAATAGGTTTAAAAATTTACTGGTTTCAAATGTGACTGTTTTCAAGTGTCCAGAAAAAATAAAGGAAACCTCCAAATTTAATGTAACCATATGGATGTACTAACTAAACATTCCCTAAAATAGAAACTTGAACTCTCCAATAAACATATTATGCCTTTAAATATCTGAGGGTGAATTAAAATTTACTTTTGTAATGTGAAAAGTATTAGTTTATTACAACCATTATTCTTTCTATATGCAAAATATTCCCAGAATCATCCTCCAGACTAATATCTCCTCCTTATTGTTTCCCTAACTCTTGTTTGATATATCATTTTTAAGAAACCTGACCCATTTTGTACATATTTAATCAGAAATTCAAAAAAGTACATTCAAGATAGCTAGAGCAATAATTCCAAATCTCTTTAAATTCTCTATTTCCCCTAGATAATTCCACAAGTAAAAATTTTGAATTGTGATGGGTCATGGAGAATTCTGTTGGTCATGAAAATGGTTCAATATCAGATAATAATCTGCATTGTTGTAGAATAAAATCTTAGGGCTTAATGGATAAATGCTCGTGAGATAGACCCTGACCCTGAAGTTCAGGTTCCCATTTCAGATAAGCAGCAGATCCACATCTTGTTCTAAAACGTACCAGTAGCAAGCTGAGCAAGATATTCAGAAAACAGGACACTGCTATAAGCAGTCACTAAAAGGGAGTTGACCAGTATTGCTCTCTTATGCAGCATTTCATTCTTCTTAATGAAGCAGAGTAAATAGCGGGAAAGGAGACACATTTTCCTCATTGGGCATCACTACCTTGGTAGCTTTCTAGTCTATTCAACAAATATTAACAGTCTAGTAATTATGGAAGCACTTTACGCTTGCCTTACTGGGCATGCCACATCTGAGAAGTGGCAGGACAGTGAGTAATCCAATCCATCAAGAATGTTCAGCCATTTAGAGCACCACTAAATGCCCAAATAAAAACAAGTTCTATTAGCATTTTTATCAAATATTCATGAAACCTGTAGTTTCCACTGAATACATTTTTTATTAGAGAAAAACAGGAAGGTAGTATAACTTTAATATCAGTGTCAAGAGAGAGAGAGTTTGCAGGGCAATCCCACTGATTAAAAGAGTTGCAATCCTCCAAAAGCTTTCTTTGTACTGAAGAATGAATTAAATGAATCATGACCAAGTTGTATATTTCAGGAATGCCAGGTTACATCAAATTGGAATAATTAATGTATTGAGATAAAATGTGGAATAAACATAAAATCTTTTAAATTAGGGGTCCCAAGGCAGGGTGCAGTGGCTGACACCTGTAATCCCAGCACTTTGGGAGGCTAAGGTGGGCAGATCATGAGGTCAGGAGATCGAGACCACCCTGGCTAACAAGGTGAAACCCCGTCTCTACTAAAAATACGAAAAAATTAGCCGGACGTTGTGGTGGGCGCCTGTAGTCCCAGCTACTCAGGAGGCTGAGGCAGGAGAATGACGTGAACCCGGGAGGCAGAGCTTGCAGTGAGCCGAGATTGCACCACTGCATGCCAGCCTTGGTGACACAGTGAGACTCCGTCTCAAAAAAAAAAAAAAAAAGGATACCAAATGGCATTATATCTATTTTTAATGATTCATTCTTTTAAATATCTAAAGCAAGTATAACAAAATATTATCATTAAAGTTGCTTAGTATGTACACAAGTGTTCATTATATTTATCTCTGAATTTATGTTTGAAAAAATATGATAAACTTATTTTAATGAATTACAAGCTTCAAAAATTATAAATACATATGTTTTAAAACATTTAAAAAGGATATACAGTAATAACAAAATTTATAATAATGGAAATGTATCTATTTCCTCTTTTCCAACACCCAATTGTTCTCCCAAGAAAAGTCAATTTCAATTACATTAGCTGGATCTTCTATCTTGCTAAATAATATGCCTTCACAGTTATTTCTTGGTATATTGATTTTTAGAGTTTACCAGTTGATAATTATTTGGCATCCTTCCAGATGCACACACTTTAAGTCCAAGTGTAATTATATCTTTATTTTAATACCTGTATTATTTATCTTTGAAGATTTTTACACACCTGTATTTTTTTGCCTTATCAACTATAGATAAAATCTTTCAACCACAGAACTTTTGTGAATGAAGATCTTTGTATACCAACTCTTCTCTCTACTCCCTCCCAGTTGCTGTCTTATTCACTCTTACGTTGTCAGACTTTGTTAGCTGAAACCAGATCTAACCCTTGCAATGATACTTAAGGCCTCCATGATTTGCTTTAGGGTGCGGCCTAAACATAAAAAATCAGTCTCCAATATCTTTATCACCGTGATTAGTATACTCTGTGCTTTGCCTTAGGGTGGAGCCTAACAATGGAAAACCAGTCTCCAATATCTTTGTCATCATGAAATGTCCAAAGTGGCTCCTTGTCACCCATGTCTGGAGGCTGGGCTGGGATAATTGTAACAGATTGAGGAGGTCGATCATAGCTCTCTCTTCTTGTGTCCTCTCCACGTGGCTAGCTTAGGCTTCCTCACATATTGGCCATCTTGGGATAGTCCTCCTTATAATGTGGCTGTTGGATTCACCCCAAGTGAATGTTTCAAGAAACCAAGGCAGAAGCTGAGGACTCATGATTTAGCTTCAGACGTCATGAAGCATCACTTCTGCCACAGTCTGTTAATAACACAGGGCCAGCTCAGGTTCAAAGACTAGGAAGTTTAACTCATTTAGGGTTATCTTTGGATGAATACACATCAGAACTCAGATAGGTTGACTCTATTTTTTTGTAGTATCCAATGATTTTATTTTTTTCCATTTTCTTTCAATAGGTTTTTAGGGAACAGGTGATGTTTGGTTACATGAATAAGTTCTTTAGTGGTGATTTCTGAGATTTTGGTGCACCCATCACCCAACCAGTGTACACTATTAGTATCCAGTGATTTTCATACAATATATGTTACTAGTCAGATTTCTTATTCCTTCATGGAAGATTCTTAAAGTTCAAGTATATTTTCTTTACATTTGTGTTTGCACTGGCATATTAAAGGTACTCAAATATTTAATGTACAATTAAACCTGATTGCAAAAATTTGCTTTTGGTCCTCTTTATTTTAGCCTGGGTTCTTCAAAACAGACATTCTGATGTCTCAGTAATAATATAACATAATTTTACTATTTCTTACATTAAGAGCCACAATATCTCAAACTCACCTGGTCTCTTCTTGTTTGCTAACGAGGGTTAGCAATCTAGCCTCGTGATAGCCTTTGGAGAGGCATTGGTTTCTTTTTGTTCTTCCTTGGAGGCAATTTCCTTTCTTGAAGTCAAATTTCTCTCTGGAAAAGACAAATAAGCAAACCAACAAATAACTCTCTTTTCTCTGTTGACATTTATACTGAGGCCTGGCATTACCACTGCATCAGCTGCTTTCAATTAAGTTTTTCAGGCTGTTGCTGGATAAATGAGTAAACATCTTGCTTTCCAAAATGGCCCCAAATGTTTTAAACATCAACCAACATTATATAAACAATTTAATGCAACAATTACAGTTTAAACAGTTTTTTTCACTATATACACCTAGTAGCTTAACCTTCTTCTTACCCAGTACTCTCCCTGCCAAATTCAAGCTAATTACCTCAATTACATTTTTAATGTTTGCTTTGTTCAGCCTATTTCTGTAATAAACAAGATTTTTTGTATAATTTCAGGTGGCACTTTTCATATTAATATATTAGCAAATTTAGTTACCAACTACAGAACACTTGAGTTAAGTAAGAAAAATCCCTGAAATAGATTTCTTTTTCATTTTGAAATGTATTTACTCATTGGGATGCAACATCTCATTTACAGGAGTGACCTGTGGTAACTCCCAGTGAGTGTTCGGGGGCTGATAAATTCATTCCAATAAGTCTGCACTCAAATTAGCATAAAAAAGACAATTTTAATCATTTACCAGAGAGCTTTCTTTTGTGCATGGAAGCAACAGTATACTTATGTATTTGTGCAGCCCAATAATAACATTTGAAAATAACAGCCCTTGGTCTCTCTTTAAGGTCCAAGAAAAAAGCAGGCTGCCAAAAGAAATAAAAAATCCTTTAGGAGAGGAAATTAGACTTACAAGCTAAACAGATTTTAAAGAGATTTTGAACAATGCTGATTAAAGACAGGGGCATTAAGGAGATTAACTTTAAAAAATAAAGATAATTGGCTGGGCACGGTGGCTCACGCCTGTAATCCCAGCACTTCGGGAGGCCGAGGCGGGTGGATCACGAAGTCAGGAGATCGAGACCATCCTGGCTAACACGGTGAAACCCCGTCTCTTGTAAAAGTACAAAAAAATTAGCCAGGCGTGGTGGCGGGTGCCTGTAGTCCCAGCTACTGGGGAGGCTGAGGCAAGAGAATGGCATGAACCCAGGAGGCGGAGCTTGCAGTGAGCCGAGATCATGCCATTGCACTCCAGCCTGGGAGACAGAACGAGACTTCATCTAAAAAAATAATAATAAATGAATAAATAAAATAAAGTAAAATAAAGAGAATTAAAAATACATAGAAATATCCAAAATGAATTTACCTATCTTTAAGATAAAGAGCTAGTCAAAGCCTTCAAGAAAGGAGAATACTGGACATTTGTTGGCTTCCATGATATTCCGAGAGGAGACGAAAGAAGACAACAGACAATAGAGAAGTATCATGAACAGAGCATCTCTCCTAAGGGTGGGAAAACACCATGCCATCTATTACTGTGTCTATTTCTATATGTCAGAAGACTAAAGGCTCTGTCAAGGGTTTAAGCACAATATCTACAGTTACACAGTAAGCAAAGTATTATAACATTTACATTTTATCATTGAATAACAATAGTACACATCTAGATGGGGAATAGAGTTTTGGTTGTGTTTTTGTTTTTTTCCCTAGCTTAGAAAACAGAGTGAGTTAGGCCAATGTAGCATATATTGCCCAAAGTCACAAACCCTGTAAGCAGCAACATGAGGACATGAGTCCATGTCTTCAGATTAATTTCAGTTTTCTTAGTTTCTAGTTACATGTGATCCTGAGAAATGCATGCCTTGTCATATGCTATAACAGGTAATGGAGAAAAATCAGGGAATCTTCTCTGTTTAGTCATTGAGTCTGGGTAATGTGAAGTCTATGCCTCCTAAATGCATAGAGCATATCCATTTTTTACTGGAAGGATGAATTCTATTCCAAATCCACATTAGTTTCTCTCCATAGATTGTTAGTACTGGCAACAAGTTTCCTATTAATTGTCTGGCTTTCCTCAACAGAAAAACTGAGATCCAGGTAAAATAAATGATCTGATACAGCAGATTAATGGCAAAGCCTGGACCATAATCCACCTCTCAGCTTTCTCTTCATTGCTCTACACTGTTTTCTTGTTTTTGCTTCATTCAGAGAACTTCAGTTTAGAGAGAAAAACTAAAATTTCATTTTAAAAAATAACTTTTCTCTTAAATGGGAGAGGCAAACTTTGTGACACTTTCATTTGTGTGAACAAAAATATATCAGGAGAACATGTTTCAAATTCTATGCTTTACCCGAAGGAGACAAATCTAGAAGCTTTATGATTCCAGAGTTATAATTATATGAGATAGATAATTATCTTCAAGAAATTAACTTTCCGGCCATCACTCAGCAATAATTAAACATATATTTTAATTGAGCTAATGTAGAAAAAAATAAAGGAAACGTTTAGAAGATAAAACTATATATTTTAAGAGCCATCTGTGACAGAACCACAGCCAACACATACTGAATGAGTAAAAGCTCAAAGCATTCCCTTTGAAAACAAAAACAAGACAAAGATGCCCTCTCTCACCACAACTATTCAAAATAGTACTGGAAGTCCCAGCCACACCAATCAGGCAAGATAAAACAATCAAAGGCATCCAAATAGGAAGAGAGAAAATGAAACTATTTTTTTTTAAATGATATGATTCTATACCTAGAAAACCCCATAGTCTCTGTCCAAAGGTTCCCAGATCTGATAAATAGCTTCAGCAAAGTTTCAGGAAACAAAATCAGTGTATGAAAACCAGTAGCATTTCTATACACCAACAACATACAAGTTGAAAGCCAAATCAAGAATGCAGTTCCATTCACAATAGCCACAAAAATAATAAAATACCTAGGAATACAGATAAACAGGAAGGTGAATGATCTCTACAAAAAGAATTACAAAACACTGCTAAAAGAAACTCAAGTTGACACAAACAAATGGAAAAGCATTCCATGCTCATGAATAGGAAGAATCAATATTGTTAAAATGGTCATACTACGCAAAGCAATTTACAGATTCAATGCTGTTTCTATCAAACTAACAATGACATTCTTCACAGAATTAGAAAAAAAAACTGTTTTAAAATTCACGTGGAACCAAAAAAGAGCCCGAATAGCCAAGGCAATCCTGAGCAAAAAGAACAAAGCTGGAGGCATTACCTTACCTGACGTCAAGCTATACTACAAGGCTCCAGCAAACAAAACAGCATGGTATAGGTACAAAAATAGATACACAGACCAGTGGAACAGAATAGAGAGTCCAGAAATAATGTTACACACCAATCACCATCTGACAAAGTTAACAAAAACAAGCAATGGGAAAAGGACTCCCTATTCAATATATGATGCTGGGATACCTGGCTAACCATATGCAGAAGATTGAAACTGGCCCCCTTCCTTACACCATATACAAAAATCAACTCAAGATGGAGTAAAGACTTAAATGTAAAACCCAAAACTGTAAAAACCTTGGAGGATAACCTAGGAAATATTATTCTGGACATAGGATCTGGCAAAGATTTCATAATGGAGATGCCAAAAGCAATTGCAACATAAAAAAAAATTGGGAAATTGGACCTAATTGGAGTAAAGAGCTTTTGCATAGCAAAAGAAACTATCAATAAACAGAAAACCTACAGAATGGGAGAATACATTTGCAAACTATGCATCTGACAAAGGTCTAATATCCAAAATCTATAACGAACTTAAGCAAATTAACAAGCAAAAGACAAACCACCCCATTAAAAAGTGGATATGAACAGATAATTTTCAAAATAAGATGTTCATTTAGCCAACAAATATATGAAAAAATGCTTAACATCACAAATCACTACAGAACTGCAAATCAAAACCACAGTGAGATGCCATCTCACACCAGTTAGAATGGCTATGATTAAAAAAATCAAAGAATAACAGATGCTGATGAGGTTGTAGAGAAAAGGGAGCACTAGTACACTACTGGTAGGAATGTAAATTGTTTCAGCCTTTGTGGAAAGCAGATTGGCAATTTCTCAAAGAACTTAAAACAGAATTACCAGTTGACCCAGCAATCCCATTATTGGGTATACACCCAAAGGAATATAAATCATTCTACCATAAAGGCCCATGCACACATATGTTCATTCCAGCACTATTCACAATAACAAAGATATGGAATCAACCTCAACGCCCATCAACAGTAGACTGGATAAAGAAGATGTAGTACATATACACCATATATGAAATACTATATAACCATAATAAAGAATGAAATCATATCCTTTGCGGCAGCATGAATGGAGCTAGACACCATTATCCTAAGCGAACTAACATAGGAACAGAAAATAAAATACTGCATGTTCTCACTTATAAATGGGAGCTAAACATTGAGTACACATGGACACAAAGAAGGGAACAACAGACACTGGGGCCTTAAGGGTGAAGGACTGGAGGAGGGTGAGGATCAAAAAACTATCTGGTACTGTGCTTATTACCTGGGTTACAAAATCTGAACACCAAACAAACCCCTGTGACATGCAATTTACCTACAGAACAAATCTACACATGTACCCTTGAACATAAAAGTTTTAAAAACTATATAATTTAAACCATAGCTCTACAAATTATAACAGCATAAGTGAGACAATTAAAACCTCACTTGAAAAACATTAATATGGCAGAAAATTCATGATATGATATTAATGGTGTGTACTTTCTATAGAAAAGAGATAATGGAGGGATAAAATGGAAGACAAAATGCTTGGGTTTCAAGAGGCCACGTGGAAACATAGAGTATAACCTTTTTGCGATAAATATGTATTGAAATAACTAGACAAAAATGGTCATGTTATATAAAGACAATTGAAAATCAGAACATTGATATCTGATTTAAGACCACAAGGTATCATCTGGCTCAGCCCTTAGCCTTTGGATAACTCTATGTTCTAGAAAAAGCCATGGAGGTTAAAAAATATTATGAATATTAGCATCTAGGAGATACTCAATATGCACTTATAGATGAGTTTAAGTGAATTCTTCAAGGTATTTGTCAAAAAGAAAGACCTCTTGACTACGAAAAAGAATAAAAGATCTCTCCTATGCTTCAGGCAGAGTTCAAACTAGACCATTAGATCTATTTTTGAGCTTGACTTCTAGGTGTCAACTTCACTCTCAGGCAGACCCCCTTCTGATGGCAATAGAGTGCAGTGGTCCTGTCTCACATAACCAGAGCTCCAAATCTAGAGGAAGGAAATATTTTCTTATAGCTCTTCCAGAAACCAAAGAACTTTACGTTCATGAAAATCTCAGCAAGTTTCCTTGACTCTCATTGTATCTCACTGCATTAGGTTTCAAGTCCAGCCTTTCACTGTGGACATGGGATGGCTATATTAATTAGCTGAAACTAAATGAGAATCTTTAATTGGAAACTGAGGTAGGGTCAGTTCTAAGAGATCATGTGGCCAAAAATGAAAATAGTTAAATTCATGTAGGAAGATGAGAATATTAATGGCAGTAAAAAGGGGAGAAAGGATGATGGGAATATGTTTTAGGTTAATACTAGTGGCTCTAACAAAGAAATAAAACAGTGCAAAATGATTCAAACTCCCTACAGTGAACAGATAAAATGAAAAGCTCTCAGACACTAGGTCTGTGCAGCCTCTGCCGTCTTCAACATATGCTTCCCGAGGTGTCCTTGAACATCTTCTTTATCACAGCCTTCCAAAGGGGAATGGATCATGGGGGAAAGGCTATGAAAGGATACTTTTAAACTTTCTCAACTGAAGTACAATATAAAAACAGAAAAGTTTATAAAGTATAAGTATATTGCTTGGTGAATCATCACCCATATGATCCCCATTCAGGCCAAGAAACAGAAGACGCTCAGGCTGAAGACGCCCCTTGTCATCTTTGCCCAATCACCCCAACTGGTGACTTCTAACACAATAGATTACTTTTGTCTCTTTATGCACTTTAGATCAGTGGGCATGAGAGGATTTGATGGCCAGGTTTAAAGTGGTGTTTGTTACTTCTGCTTAAATTCCACTGGCCAGGATTCAGTCACATAGACATGCCTGCCTGCAAGAAGAGTTGGAAAACATAGTTCACTCAGACTGTGTTGAGTAGCTAGCTACGGGAGACAGTCAGCAAACATCTATTGTAGTCCTTGTGAGTATCTTCTAATTATCCTTACCTCCCAAGATCTTAGCACAATCAGGATCCAGGAACAAAGCTGCAAGAACATATAGTCATCCATTCCAAAGCCAAGAAAGAGATAACTGTAAATACTAATGCTTAAATATTTTGTGCCTATCAAAACTGAGCTACTTTTAAGTAACTTTTAAACAGAATGGAAGTTATCTCTATAAGATCACTGTCTTACATATATATATATATATATACACATATATATACACATATATATATACGTATATATATATACACACACACACACACACACACACATATACATATATATGGTACAGGACCTATTTTTTTATTTGAAGTAGTATGGATTTTTTTATTTATATTTTATTTTTTATTTATATTTTATTTTATTTATATACATGTAAGAAATATACTACAGAATATATTAACTTCATATATATTAACTTCAAAATACATATGTATATTGAAGTATATGTGTGTGTGTATATATATATATATATATATATATTTGAAGTTAAAAGAAAAAGAAAGGAGAAACAAAGAAGAGTCAGCTAATCTTCCATGAATTTTCCAAGAGAAAGAGTCACATATATGGATATCTTGGTTATAGATGTTTAGTGAGAAAAAAGTGAATAGCAAATATTGCCTTGGCAAATTCCTTGACTATTTTGTTCTAATTCATCTCTCAAATGTTACATTTTACAATTGTAATAGACTGAATTATGTTCCCCCCCAGTTCAGGGGTTAAAGCCCTAATGCCCAGTGTGACCATATTTGGAGATAAGGTCTTTACTGAGGGAATTAAAACAACAAGGTCAAAAGTGTGGGGTCCTAATCCAATAGGACTGGTGTCCATCTAAGAAGAAGAGACACCAGGAGTGGGTATGCACAATGGAAAGGCCATGTAAGAACTCAGAAATCCAAGCCAAGGACAGAGGTATCACCAGAAACCAACCCTGCCAGCACTCTGATCTTGGACTTCTAGCCTCCAGAACTGTGAGAAAATCAATTTCTGTACTTTAAGCCATCCAGTTTGTGGGATTATATTATGGCAGCCCTGGAAGACGTATATAACAGTCCTCCGGAAAACTGAGTAAAATCACTTTTTTCTTTGACATGTTTCTCACCCTTCTTTGTCTAATTGGTATCCCCAGCCATAATTCCCTTCACTTTTCCCTTTTCTTATATATGTTTCACTCTGCCTATCTGTGAAACTTCCTTGAACATTTCAGTTCGCCATAAAGTCACTCAACACCCCTGCTGTTTTATGATCTACATGAAACTAGCTATAATCCTATAATTCCCAGTGTCTACCTTTCTGCATATGAGCCCTATCTCTCTAGTCAGCCTAGCTTCATGAGTTCATGGAATAGGTGTCAGTCAACTGAAAAACATTTGTACATTGCTACAGGTAGAACATATCCTCAGAGAGATTTCAGTTTAGGTGAGGAAGCAGTTGCATTTGACTTTGAAGGGGGTAGATATTTCATAAACAGAGGCGCTTAATAACGCTCTTAGCCATACTACATTGTTGTCTTAGTAAAAGCTCAGAAATTTATAAGATAAATATTTCAAATATGAGAAAACATTTAGAATGGTTTATTAACTTATCTAAAATTGCACAACTTATTAATGGCATATTTTTTCATGATTTTTAAACTATAGCACACTAGCATCTCATATACCATACCATCTTTTTAAATGTTTGTAAGAAAAAATTCTGGGCCTATCATTGCTTTCTTCTTCCTTTAAGATCAAACTGACCTAAGATTAACCAACAATGAATTATATTTGGGTACCAGCATTCTAAAAACCTTAGGATCAGAGGATTTTAAATGGTGATTTCCTCAAGAATACAACAAAGTTATTCTTTAGTTCATTTGTTTGTCCTCTCTTGCTGGAGGTGTGTCACTATGTCACTGAGATACCTACAAATATCTTTGCAACCAGGACTTTCAACGTTCAAAAAAATGTAGTTGTTATCTAAAAATGTCCAAGGGAGAGAGTCACATAGTAAAAAGGCTTTGATTAACACAGCTAAAAGCCTTTCTAACTATATTACAGTGAAGCATGTACGTTGGGTTTTCAGTTTCAAGAGCACTTTCATTTAGAAAAAAAAAATGTATACAATATGGAGTTATAGACACAAACCCTGGGCTTAACTGCAGTCATATTGTACGTTTGTATTCAACCCAATTGATTTAGTTTACTACAGCAGAGAACTGTCAACTGCTTTGCCCTTCAGCCTAATTTTGGTAGTGTTAGCTACGTAATTCTGTAATTCAATTTACTGAATACCAACACTAGGATAAGGGGAAGTTTGGAGAATCACATATTTCTTATCTCACAAGTCCCCTACCTATAAATGATTTTTTGCTCAAAAAGACTCAAAGGCTCTTTATTATAAAGAATAATTCCTGTCGGGCTTGGTGGCTCACGCCTGTAATCCCAATACTTTGAAAGGCCAAGGCGGTGGATCACTTGAGGTCAGGATTTCGAGACCAGCCTGGCCAACATGGCAAAACCCTGTCTCTACTAAAAATATAAACATTAGCCAGGCATAGTGGTGCATGTCTGTAATCCCAGCTACTCGGGAGACTGAGAGAATAGCTTGAACCTGGAAGGTGAAGGTTGCAGTGAGCCAAAAGTGTGCCTCTGCACTCCAGCCTGGGTGACAGAGTGAGACTCTGTCTCAAAAAATATATATATAATAATAGTAATAATAATTTCCAAGAAAGAATAAAATAATGTTAAAGGTCTAGTCTGGAAGCTTTGTGGCTAAATATTTACTGGGTTGTATGTTCCTGCATTTTGAGGTTGATGGAAAATATGAGGACAATAGTTGTCTTTTTCTTTTAAACTATGTTACAGCTTTAACAGTCATCTTGTTCATTTGAAATCTGCCTGTAAAAATGTTTCCCAAATCAGAAGTCCTCTTGAAATCAATTCTGAAGTAAGTTAGAGCTTCAGAGGCCCATTAGTTCATAATTGTGCTATTTCCATTATGGCTAATGCTTTGGGTTTTCAAAATGTAGTGACCCCATTCTCTTCCCACACCCACTCCTCCAATCTATTTGAAGGTTTGCTTTCAGGTAGTTTCTGCCAACAATATCAGTTATTATTAAACAGTTGTCATTCTTCTCTCTCCGACCCTCCTGATATTTGTTTATAAAAATCCAAATTATTTCAAATTACTTCAAATAAAAAAATAGGTCCTGTGCCTTACAAACAAGCCTGAGTCTAACAATAATTCCAAATATATCCAAAGCTTCAATTTTACTCGGTTGCAACGTTAACATTCCTATAGATTGCCCCAGGCCTTCATATATGTTAGACACACATAACTGCAATGTATCCTGCAAGATTAAATAGATCAATTGTTCAATATGTACCAATTCTAGTTTGGCACTTTTAGTAGTAATAATTAACTCTGCTATGTTCGTGTGGACAAATTTATTTTTTCTCAGGGAAATTAGTTCATATATTGCTGTAGGAGCTAATGGCTCCTCTGAAACATACCTTGTCTTCTTAGTGTGGCCCCTGCTTGGTTACAACTAAGCAGCCTTTTCCTTCACAGTAAATAAGAGCCCTGTGTGCCCCAGCTGTCCCTAATTAGGTTACTCAGTGTCTCTCTGGGTGACTGACTAAACATGCTTCAGCTTCTTCCCAACTGATTTTCTTTTTAAAATAAAGGAACCAGTCATTTTGTTAGAACCCCCAAATTATGCTTAGCAATTTTAAGTATACATCTATTTAAGATAACTAAAGCAATTTCATACAAATTCATTAATCAATTTGATTGAAGAGTCTCCATTTACAAAATATAAGCACAAAACATTTTTATTTTTTTTCAGGAACTGCTACCAATAGTACTTTGAGAACTTCATCTTTGTGCTTTGCTAGCAATAAGTTAGAACCCTTTCGTCACTTTTGGGGTTCTTTCAGTTATTGAAGCAGTTTAGTACAGGTAAGATTTTAATTTCATATGAGATGAAAACTCTCTTCATCTTTCACCCTAGTTAACCTTCTTACTCGTGAAACTTGAGCTGAGATGGAGGTAAACACGGTAGGAATTTTGTCAAAGTTTCTCCCATATTGAGGAACCCTATCTTACAGAAGGAGGAACTGAGGTCAAAGGATATTACAAATACTAGCACAAAGGAGATACTTTATATATACTTATGGAAGAATAAATACTAAAATTTCATCAAATCCATTAAGGTATTTGCCAACATGAAAGACCTCTTCACCATGAAAACAGAAGATCTCTCTTGTGATTCAGGCAGAGCTTAAATTAGATCTACCTTTGAGTTTGACTTCTATGTGTCAACTTCACCCTCAGGAGTACTCCCTTCTGATGGCAGGAGGTAACAGTGGTTTCCTGGGCTTGCTTCTGGGATGTTATAGTAGGGATGGAGGGATGGGCCTTGTTAAGTTGGCTGTCCTTTTTTATAGTCATACCTGCTGTTTCCTTACATGAGCATCATATGTGCATGGTGGTGAGGTTGTTTTCCCCTTTCCATTGGTTATCAGCACCTAATCTCATTATCTATAGGAGAACCAAATCCAAAGCATCTCTCAAATGAATTTTTGGTCTCATGTGAGATTCAACTTCATCTCCAGGGATCTTCCAACATGGTGCTAAATGTTCCTATCTTCAGAAGCAACCCATTTTTGATCATATTATGGGGGTGTCGAGTAGCCTCTAAACTTCCCTATTTCTAAAGCACAAACTTTGGGGCTAAGAAAAAAATGTGCAGGGTCAATCTTCCATATTCTCAGCAATTAAGGGATTATAGAGGTAGTCTCCATACCCTCACTATGTGGCCATATCTCCATGCCATCTCTCACTAGAACTCTAGATTTTAGAAAAGGTCAACAAGCCCTATGGTTCAGGTAACATCTAGTAGGAGTATAAGATATCTTTCACCTCCTTTCTTACAGATTCCCAGAAAACTCACATGTATTCTGTACATTGGTTTGCTGTAGCTGCATAACAAACTATAACACCCAAAACAACAGGCATTCATTATCACACAAAACTTTGGTCTGAATGTTGTTACCACTGTAATTTCTGCCCTATTCAGCAACTTCCAGTGATAAGAAATGATCTTGAACAGTATTACACAACACAAGCCACAGTCATGGTTTCTCTAATTAGAACTCTTCCCCTAACAAAGTAATTTTTAATGAAAGAGCCTAAGTTTACTAGCAAGGCCGCTAAAGGATAATTTAGTAAAGTTTCTCAAAGGAAAATACTAATTTTGCATCATGTGACACAAAAGGGCCTGTAAGCAAATACTTTAGGAATAAAGTTTATAGACTATTTCTCCTATGAAGATTCATAGATCACAAATACATATTTAGGTCTTTGAGAAGTGTTCTAGTGAAGACATAGGGTTATACATGCCCAGCTGAGTTTGTAGCACTGCCATTCACTACCTAGATAGTGTCAAATTTCTTGATTTTCTTATGCTTCAAATTATTATTATATGAAATAGGGCAATAATCGTTTTTGTCTCATAAAGAGATTTTAAGAATTAAATGATACAATATGTAAAACTCTGAACATGAACCCCATACATACACTTAGGGAATGCTCAATAAATGTTAAGTAATAGCATTATTAATATTTCCCAAACTTATGATCATGAAAACCCATTTTTAAAACTGTTGGACTAGGGATTATATTGAGAGGCAAATTTATGATCACTTTTCTTTGGTCCATTTGATGCTGGGCCTAAAATACACCACTCAATTTCTTGCCCTGAATTTGAGGAAATAGATGAGATTGCTGAGAAGTCAAACATAATTTGTTTCACTTAAAAGCAATTTGTTTACATCAATGGAAACAGAATTTTGCCATAAGGATCTTAATAAATATTCTTACCTCACACTCTTAGATGACCAATTGTTATATTAAGTGAGGATGACAGAAGGAAAGAAAAGAAGAAATTAATACTCATGAAAATTGGGAGAGAATGTTGTAATTATAGTCATGAAAAGATGGTGGTCCTAGAAGCAGCTAAGGAGTAGTATGGAAAAATGTTCAAGAGAACTTGTTAATAAGTTTATCTACTAGTAACCAACATGTAAATTTATGGTTCTTTTCTCCCTTCTCTCTGTTTTACCCTCTGGGGAACAAAAGGCAGAGGAGAGATCAGAGTAAGGATGTGATAGGTTAAATATATCCAGTTCATGCGGAGTCTACATAAGACTGACCTCTGGGCAAATCACCAACCTGAATTTCTTCTAGTGGATGCATTATCATTTTCAAGTATCTCATTTAAACTTGCATTTCAAGGATGAATCTAGAATTATCAATGTACTAATTGTTCTTGTTCTACATCCTATATTCTAATGAATTCTAAGTTTGTCTTCAGATATGGATAACAGAAATTTATATCTAGGATTTCCTTGCTGGACTTGAGTGAAAAAATAATCTGAATATAATCCAGGGAATTCATATCGCATGATATACCTCTGCTGAATTTCAGTTATGTACTACTGGGTCAATGGGAAACTAGATTTCCTGTCTGGTTACTTACGGAGTACATGACACACAGCCCAAAGAAGTGGGGAGTCGTTTGCCTACAGCTATGATGTGGAAATTTTTCTGACTTACATTATAGAGATTGTTGAACTTTGACTTAAGAAAATTGTTGTAATCTGAAGGACAAGATTTAAAAATCAAAGCAGACAAGTATAGTTATTTACAGGGCAAAGAAACATGCTTTCAGGTTGGTGATTAATAGTCCTTGATTCAAGGAAATAAGGACAAAGGAGGTCGAGTTGCCTTAATTCTTAAACAAAACATGTTGAGGACTTGATTCCTTATGTCCCAACAAATAAATATCGAAAGAAATAAGAGCAATAATTTTTGGATTGCAAGAGCAAATACTCAACTCTATCATGACCACGCCTTTGAAATATTTTCTTTCTATTGGAAAGGGGACAAAAAACCAAAATTTTATTTTTAATTCAAGAACTCTATTGAAAGTATAGTGATGTGAACATGAATATTATAGATTTCAGATTTTTTCAGGAAAATCATTTTTCTTGATTATTTAATTGGAGTTTCAAAAAGTAACAATGACATATTTACACGTTGAATACTTTTGTCCTTCAATACAAAGTAAGTAAATACAGAAAATTCACTGATTACAGGAGGATAAAATTAATAGCATTGCCATATCTACCGTGGTTACATTGAATTTTTGTCCTGCAGAACAAAAATATTAAAACTATCATGAAAATCAGGCTCAGTCCAGGATTCTGTAATCTGCAACACTTGAAAAAACACTGCTTTTCATCAATACTCTAAGCCTTGGTTGCACTCAAGGTAAGCACATTTCAAAGCCCTGCAAAGTACCTCACTGTAGCCAAAAGATATATAAAGTAGACTAATGAAATGACCTTACTTAACTGTGGTATCTTACTTTTATGCTATCAAACATAAAGGAAATTAAATTTTAAGAACACATTTAAAAATGACCAAAAGTCTCATTGTTGAATCCCAACTAAGGAAATTACACTGAGACCACGGTTCACACAATGTACCATCTTAGACCCTTATTTTATTGGCAGGCTACTGTTTTTCACAAGATTACAAAATTAATAAAAACTAAAGACAACACAAGAAGCCAAGAGCTAAAATTCTAAATAAGTATGAGTTCAAAGTGAATAGCACAGAAGGCTGTGTTAATCTTAAAATCTTAAAGAGAGATACAGAGAAGACAAAGTAACCATATTTTATGATACAAAATCAAAATATAACAATGACCATAAAAATGGGGACTGTCTACTCAAGGAGGGCTTATGGTTATTGACTTTTAAAAATACAGCATTTCCAACAACTCCCATATTTCTCTAGAAATGCTGGTCTGTAAAACACTGCTGAATTTACACTTGGTTTAAATTTGTAAAGAGTAAAGCTTTTCCAGGTACTATTATAGAAAGCTGAAAGATACATTTTTCAGAGGCCCCCGGGCATCAATTTTGCTTCCTTTGTTTGAATGAGGGTATGGCTTTATTGATTCTGAATGTGGTTCAGGAAATAAAATGGACTGAAGCTGGAAAGCTGGACAACATTCTCTTAACTGAAGGTGTAGATTTTTTTTTTTAATGTTTTAAGTCTTTCCTGAATGGTAATGTAAGGCTGTGTCTGTCCAGGTTAGGAAAGGTTCTTTCTGTACCAGCAGCCGTGTGTCCCCATAAGGAAGTAAAAGGCTATGGAAAAGCCCTCCGAGCATGTTCCAGTGGCTCCTTCTTTATGTTGCTACTTGGCTTTTTTTTTTTTTTTTTTTTTTTTTTTTGAGACAGAGTCTCGCTCTGTCGCCCAGGCTGGAGTGCAATGGCACCATCTCGGCTCACTGCAACCTCGCCTCTCAGGTTCAAGCAATTCTCCTGCCTCAGCCTCCGGACTAGCTGGAACTACAAGCATGCCACCACGCCCAGCTAATGTTTGTATTTTTGGTAGAGATGGGGTTTCACCATGTTGGCCAGGCTGGTCTCCAACTTTGACCTCAAGTGATCCACCTGCCTTAGCCTCCCAAAGTGCTGGGATTACAGGCGTGAGCCACCACGCCCAGGATGCTTCTGTAGTGTTGAGAGATGAAGCCACCTGGACTTCCTGGGTCCACTGGGGACTTGGAGAACTTTTCGGTCTTACAAGAGAATTGTAAAATGCACCAATCAGTGCTCTGTAGCTAGCAAGAGGATTGTAAAATGCACCCATCAGTGCTCTGTAAAAAATGCACCAATCAGCACTCTGTAGCTAGCAAGAGGATTGTAAAATGCACCAATCAGCACTCTGTAAAAACACACCAATCAGCACTCTGTAAAACGCACCAATCAGCGGTCTGTAAAACACACCAATCAGTGGTCTGTAAAACACACCAATCAGCAGGAATCTAAAAGTAGCCAATCGCAGGGAGGATTGAAAAAAGGGGACTCTGATAGGGCAGAAATGGAACATGGGCAGGGACAAATAAGGGAATAAATGCTGGCCATCCCAGCCAGCAGCAGTAACACACTCAGGTCCCCTTCCATGCTATGGAATCTTTGTTCTTTTGCTCTTCACAATAAATCTTGCTGCTGCTCACTCTTTGGGTCCATGCCACCTTTAAGAGCTGTAACACTCACCATGAAGTTTTATGGCCTGATTCTTGAAGTCAGCGAGACCATGAACCCACTGAAAGGAACCAACTCCAGACACTGTCCCATATCCTCGATGAAGAAAGAAGAACTTTGTAGCAGATGTGTATACGTCCCCTTTCCTTTATATGCCTGCAATGCTGAAGAACTTTATAAGCAATTTTCTTTTCCTGTGATGAAGAGGTTAATACAAAGCATTGTTGACCCATTTATTAATACATTATTTGGAAGAAAGTGGGGAATCTTGGATCCTTCTTGAACAATGCTATGAAAATCACATATGAGAACTATAGAAACTGGATGCCATTCAAAAGACCAAGATGATGAAAAGAACGAAGTTGTGAAACAAAAAGTGACTGGTCTGACAAGAAACATTGGAGATGTTTGCTTACCTATCTCAATGTAAAAACTACATAGAGAACGTTACAAAGATTCTTAGGTAAGAATTTTTTTAATTCTCAAAGATTGAGAAAGTTTTCCATTCAGTTTTCATGAACTGAAAGACAAGTTTGTAATGTCTGAAGAGTAGAATTAAAAGGATCTTAAAGGGATTGCATCTAAAAATATGCCCACTCAAGACTCTGAGTCATGCATAATATGTTCTCATTGTTACTTTAATTTGCATTTTCTCATGACCCAGGATATTAAGCATCTTTTCATATCAATATTGATACATACACATGTACATTAAAGCATGTCTACTTGGGAAAGGAAATTAAAAGGGAAAGATATTAAAACCTCCATCTATAATTTTGTATCTGCTTTTCCTTTGAGTTTTGTCAATCCTTATTCTATGTATTTGAAGCTCTGTTACTAAATAAATTCCATATATTTAATAAATGGACCCGTTGGTCATTATGTAATGGCACACTTTGTCTTTCATAGTATTCCTCTTTATTAAGGCTACTTTGACAGATAGTAATATAGTCATACCACCTTTCCTAAGCTTAGTGTGTGCATGGATACCTTTGCTCATTCTTTTACTTTCTACTTGCCTGTGTATTTATATTTAATGTCAATCTTTTATAAATTGCATATAGTTGCAGCTTGCTTTTCTATCCAATCTGACAATATCTGATTTTATTTGGATTTTTAATTCATTTATATTTAATATAATTACTTGTATGGATGTTTTAAAACCTACTATATTGTCATTTGTTTTCTATTTTACCTCCCTTGGGGTCGGGGGGTGAAGAGAGACAAGGAAGGGCTTAATTGGGTTTTAAAAATATAGAATTCTAACTTGTAGATATACCATATTTTATTATGTAAGAGATTATCAATACCCATCCTTAATTTTTAATAATCTATATAGAATAGCATATCACTACATGTACAACACAGGAATCTTATAACCAGTATAATTAAATGAATCCTTTCCTCTGTATTACATCTATCCCACCTTCTATTTAGTGTGCCATTTTAAAAAAATTATATATGCTATAAATCCCATGACACATTATTTTTTATTAAAATAGTCAATTGATTTTTAAGATAATTTCAGAAAGAAAAATAGCTTTTTTATACTTACTACATATTTACCTTAGTCCCTGTTCATTTCTTTCTATAGAAATTAATTTTCATCTGACGTGATTTTCCTTCTAAGAAGTTACTTTACCATTGGTATGCTTTCCAGTATATGTCTAATGACAGCAAATGCTTCCAGATTTCATCTGAAATTATGTTGATTTGACCTTCATTTTTAAGGCAATTTTCACTAGATATAGAAATCTAGGTAGACAGCTTTCCTCCAAACACTTTAAATATGCAATTCCATAATTTCTGCCCTTCATTATTTCTATTGAGAAGGCAACCATCATTCTTATAGCTGTTCTGCTGTATATAATGTGTCTTTTTTTCTCTGGTTGTTTTTATGATGTTCTCTTTCCTTTTTAGAATTCAGAAATCTTACAACATGGTACCTAGGTGTAATTTTCTTTGGATTTATCTTCCTTGGGATTCACTGACTTTCCTGGGCCTAAGGGTTTGTTTTGTTTGTTTTTAAAATCAAACTTGGAAGGATGATGGTCATTATTTCTTGATAATTTTTAGTCCTATTTCCTCTCTTTTATTTTTCTAAGATTCTGAGCAATAACCAAATGCTATTGCTATTGATATTGTCTGATAGGTCATTGAGACCCTATTCATTTTCTTTCATTTTTAAAAATTTTCTCTGTGCTTCAATTTGGACAATTCCTATTGATCTGTTTTCAAGTTCTCAGATTCTTCCATTGTGTTCATTATATGCTTAATAGCATCCTACAAATTTATTGATATCAGGTATATTTTAGTTCTAGAATTTCTATTTGACCGTTTATAAGTTTTCATATCTCTTTTTAAAATTTCTGATCCCTTTGCCCATATTTCTACCTATTCCTGTTGTTTATTTTTCACACATTTATCCGATTAATTCAAACATGTCAGTCTTCATTGGGCCTCTTTCTGCTATTTTTCTCATGACTGTGCTGGTACAGTAAATGTTATATTACACTGGACATTATGGATGATACATTATAGTCTATATTCTATTACCTTCACCTGAAAAGCATTGAGCTATTTTCTAGTGTGCAGCTAAATAACGGATACATTCCTTTCATCTCCTAGGGCTCCGTTTTGGGTTTTATTATAGCAGGTCTATTTCAGTTTGCCTTTATACATGAGGTGTAGCCATTGCAATGAGAAACAACCTTTCCTTCAAAGATGTGTTTCTTCTGCTATTTTAATTGAAAGCATGAAATGTTCTAGAAATCTCTCTAACTTAGGGGGAATTTAATTTCAACTTCCTCTTTGAGCAACAGGCAGCTGTTAATTCTGCCTTCTTTCAGCCTTCTAGCTTTGTTTTACTGTGTTCCTTGGATTCTCATCCTACACTTTCAGAGTTGAGAAATCATCATTCAAACAGTTTGAATTATATTTCTAGAATTTATTATCAACAATAATTATCAATTATTATTGACAACAATTATTATAAATAACAATCAATTGAGTATTACAAGTTACTCTGCCATTATTGGAAACTGGAACTATGTTTTAGAAAACACATAATAATATAGATTATCAATTTAAAAAATTGAAATCACCTAGACATTGCATAAAAACTAAAGAAATCAGGTCAGGCGCAGTGGCTCACACCTGTAATCCCAGCACTTTGGGAGGCTGAGGCAGGCAGATTACTTGCAGTCAGGAGTTCGACATCAGCCATGGTCAACATGGTGGAACCCTGTCTCTACTAAAACTACAAAAATTAGCCGGGTGTGGTGGTGTGTGGTTATAATCCCAGCTGCTGGGGAAGCTGAGGCGGGAGAATTGCTTGAACCCAGAGGCAGAGGTTGCAGTGAGCTGAGATTGCGCCACTGCACTCCAGCCAGAGTAACAGAGTGAGACTCCATCTCAAAAAATGAAAAAAGTTAAAAAATTTAAAAAAATCTAAATAAACTATGAACTTTGTTAATAATGTCTCAATATTGGTTCATTAATATTAGTGAATGCAGCATAGCAATGTAAGATGTTAATGGGGAAACTAGATGGGTATATTGTAATTATAATATTTTTAAAATTTTTCTGTAAATCTAAAATTCTTCTAAAAAGTAAAGTCTGCTTAAAAAACCATCTGTAATCTTCAGAATATAAAGCTGTAGAGTGACATTATATCATATAAATAGCTTGTAATTCACCCATTTTCTTGCTAAGCATGCCTTAGGCAATTTCACATGCATTGAAATATTCTTCAAAAATGTACTTGAATAAATACATGTTATTTCATCACTTGGATATGTAATGATTTTAAAACTATTATTTAGTTAGCTTTTGAGATTATTTTCCATGTTTCAAACTTATAATACTATAGTAAACATGATGGGATGAATCCCTAGAATTATAATTACTAAGTCAAGGGTAACAACATTTTTGCACTTTGGGAGGCCGAGGCGGGCGGATCACGAGGTCAGGAGATTAAGACCATCCTGGCTAACACGGTGAAACCCCGTCTCTGCTAAAAATACAAAAAATTAGCCGGGCACGGTGGCAGGCGCCTGTAGTCCCAGCTATTCGGGAGGCTGAGGCAGGAGAATGGCGTGAACCCGGGAGGCGGAGCTTGCAGTGAGCCGAGATAGCACCACTGCACTCCGGCCTGGGCGAAAGAGCAACACTCCATCTCAAAAAAAAAAAAAAAAAAAAAAAAGAACATTTTTATACTATTAATACATAATTGCCAAATTGCTCTCCATATCATTTTGCAGTGTGCTTGTCTTCTCATTTATCAAAAGACCATCTTATTCATTAAGTCTTTATCATCTGTTATGCTCAATTTATTTGTTCGAATTGAGCCAAAGTGAGTAAGAATTTCTTTTATCCCCTAAAACCTTGATATATAGTTGGTATTTCATTTTTTACCTTGCCAATGTGATAAATAAAATGCTTCTCTTTATTTTGTATAAGTGAAGTTTGCTCTTTATTACATTATTTTTCATTAGCTACTTGCATTTCTTTCTTTTGATTAACTTTTAATAATGTTCATACATTTATTGAACACTTACTATGTACCAACACTGGCTGGTGCAGTTGATACAATGGTGAGCAAAAGATACATCTCATGGAGCTGTTAGACCGCTATGAGACAGCGATGTTAACCAAATGCCTGCATAACCTATAAAATTGCAATTGTTATATAAATTGCTGCGAAACTTTCTATAAGAAAAGCCAAGAAAAATATCCTAGCATTGTCTATGCATGTCTTATGCCAGTAATTCTATTAGTGTTTATTTTTGAAAAAAAATCATTTACTGTTTACTTTGATTATTGTTTAATATTTTGTTTTGTTTTGCTTCTATATAATTATTCATTTTTATGGGAAAAAATAAGAGTCCAGACAGAAAGCCAAACTGCACATGTATACCATAAATTACTGAACTGCTTCAAGCACTGTGCCCCTTTCAACAGGATGGCTGCAGATTGCAGAGTAATGAGAACAAAGTGCAACAATGGCTTTTCTCCATTTCACTGACTCCTGCTCCAACATGTGCCACAAATACAGTCTGCATGATTATTTAGGATCACATTGAAAGCTGCCCTGATATTCTATGTGTATGATTTAAATACCTTATTGAAGAAGTGTATGGATTTATAATAAGAATAGTTAGCCAGTTTAGTTGCAGAAAATGGATGGCAATTTTTGGCATTCTACACTGCCTAATCACCAGGTGACTAACCCCCATATAATAAGCTAATCTTCACTGTCTTCTCCATTTGCTCATTCCTTAAAGAAAATAAATATCAATAACCAAAGCATATGTGATTGGCAGTTTTGCCACTTGAGGTCATGTCAAAATCTAAGCAAAACCTATTACTATACATGTTTTTAAAGACAAACATTAATTATATGTGTAAGATCCTGCCACAAAAGAAACATAAAAATGAAGCATAAATGAGTTAAACTCAATATTGCTTGATAGAGGCAAACAATAACACAGCTATTAAGAATAATTAGAATCATAACACAGCCTAAAGGGACAGCACTAGCATGTTAGATATGGAAAGAGCTATCATTTTCCAGAAATGCAGACTCACTGCAAATTAAAGGAGGCCTAGGGTGTCAGATGTGTGATAGAAATAGCCAGGTCCAATAGATTAAGCCCTATTAAAGCCTTTTGTCCACAGTGTTAAACTTTACTATGACATTTAATAACCATTTCATGAAGAAAGATTTTTTTAAACACAAAATAGTCCAGTTTAGAAAAAATAAACTATACCATTTAGGTAATGTTTTCATAAACTTTGCTCTGTCCTTATTCTTCCTTTCTAAAATGATAAAAATGTATACTAAGGCATGGTGTCCAAAGATTCTAAATTCCTTAAGAAACTCTAGGCATTACCTCTTCATTTCATTCCCGTGGTAGATAAAACTCTAAGATAGCTCTCAAGATTTCCCACCCCCTGGTGTACACATCCTGTATCATTCTTGGGACTCTGGGATAAATTTTACTCCTGTTATGAGATCACATAACATCACAAAGTTGAATTTAAGAAAGGGAGATTATCTAGGATGAGCCTAATCTAATCACAGAAGCTCTTTAAAACAGAGTTTTCTCTGGTGGGTGACAGAAAAGAAAAGTGCAGACATGAAGCACGAGAAGGATTTGGCACATGGTTATTAGCTTGAAGACTGGCAGAACCATGTGACAAATAATATGGGCAGCCTCTAGCAATTGACAGTAGCCCCTGGCTGACAACCAGTAAGGAATTGGGAACATCAGCCCTACCTACAACTGTAAGGAACTGAACTGTGGACACAACAAGAATGAGCTTGAAAGTGATATTTTTTTTTCCTGAGCCTCCAGACAATAGCTCAGCATAACCAACATCTCTATTTTAGCCTTAGAGACTCTAAGCAGAGATCCCATTTATAGAGTACCCAGACTTTTAACCTACAGAACTTTGAGCTAATACATTGTTGGTCCTTTAAAGCACTGAGCTAGTTGTAATTTATTGCACAACAATAGAAATTAATAGAATTCAGAAGGAGATCTGATATGCTTGTGGACCTTCTTAGGAAGGTTGATCATTTTTAAACATCTATTGTTTAAACTTAGAAGTTGATCATTTTTAAACATCTATTGAAGAAAGTACTGAAAATCCTCTAAGACTTCCTAGACTCAATTCCAATTATCTCTAATGATTAAAAAGATTTGTCAGCAATGGTCAGATTCCAGTAGAAAAACTGTATCTGTTATTTTTTAAAGACTATTTTTTTAAAGAAGTTTTAGCTTCACAATAAAATTGAAAGGAAGGCACAGATATTTCCAATATAACCCCTGCCTTCACGTGCATAGCTTCCCCCATCATCAACATCCCCTACCAGAGAGCTACATTTGTTAAAGACTGATGAATCAATACTGAAAGATCATAATCGCCCAAAGTCCAGAGTTTACATTAGGGTTCACTCTTGGTGTTACATTATATGGGTTCCAACAAATGTATAATGACATGTATCTGCCATTATAGCAACCACCATTTTCACGTCCCTAAAAATTATCTGTGTTCTGCCTATTCATCCCCAAGACCCCTGTAACCTACTCATTTTTTAAATTGTCTCTGTAGTCTTGCCTTTTCCAGAATGACATGTAGTTGGGATTATACAGCACATAGCCTTCTCAGGTTGTTTATTTCAGTTAATAATATGCATTTAAAGTTCAGCCACATCTTTTCTGACTTGATTGCTCATTTCATTTTAGCACTAAATAATATTCCATTGGATGTACCACAGTTGATTTATACACTCACCTACTGAAGGTCATTATGATTGTTTCTGAAGTAATTATGAATAAAATTGATATAAACATCCATGTACAGGTTTTTGTGTGGACATAAGTTTTCAGTTCCTTTGCATAGGTACCATGGAGTGTAACTGCTGAATCATATGGCAAGACTATATATAGTTTTGTAAGAAACCACCAAACTTCCTCTAAAGTGGCTATACCATTTTGCATTTCCACCAGAAATGAATGTGAGTTCTCATTGGCCCACATCCTTGTCAGGATTTGGAATTATCAGGGTACTAGACTTTGGCCCTACTAATAGATGTGTACGGTGGTATCTCGTTGTTTGGATTTGCATTTCTCTAATAACATATGATTTAGAATATCTTTTTATATGCCTACTTGCCGTTTATTTTTAAATGTTTGGTGAGGTGTCTGTTAAGACCTTGGCCCATTTTTTAATCAGATTGTTCTTTTGGCTGACTTTTAAGAGTTCTTTGAATATTTTAAATAATAGTCATTTATCAGATGTATCTTTGGCATATTTTTTTATCCTAGCCCGTAGCTTGTCTTTTCATTCTCTTGACGGTGTCTTTGGCATAGCAGAAGTTGTTCATCTTAATGAAGTCCAGCTTATTAATTATTTCTTTCATGAGTTCTGTCTTTGGTGTTACCACTAAGAGGTTATCGCCATACTCAATGTTATCTAAGTTTTCTCCTATATTATCTTCCAGGATACTGATAGTTGTTCACTTTACATTTAGGTCTATAATTCATTTTGAGATAACTTTTGTGACATATCCATTTTTTAAGTCTTCAGAGAATCCTTGTTTTTTCAGTTTACATGGCTTTCCAAAGCCTTGCTTCAGCTAACCCTCCTGCTTTGCAACACTTGCTTATATCTAGCCTGGAAAAGCTGAATTGTAGCCAACAGAGCTAAATGGCTAGTGGGCTGGCTGCCCTTAGAGATCCATCAGTGGTGATGTTTCTGAAGCCTGGATAGAAGGGCATGTGTCATGAGCAAGCTACTGGGAGCAGTGCTCTGGCTGATTACCAAGAGGCCTCATTACTTGATAACTCACCACATTCAGGATCTGACCCTATGCTTTCCACTCTCAGGAAGTCAATGTCTATGGTACTCTGAGAGTTGAGCCATTATTCAAGAACAAATTCACATTACATAAAACTGAGGAAACAGATGTGTATCTTCAAAGGCAGAGTAAAGTTGCCATATGATCAAAAAGAATTAAGTTCGGCTTAATGAGTGCATGGGCATATCTAAATGCTAAGGTAATATTAATCAGAAAAATACTGTATAAATGTGGATTCAGAACCAAAAGAGTTAAGTCTAAGAGACAATGATAAATAGCATGAAACAAGAGTGGAATAGTGCTTAAGATCATGAACTCTGAAACAAGACTGACCCAGTTTAAATCCTGGCTCTTCTACTAATTAGTTGTATGACTTTGATTATAAGCTACATGCCTCATTTTCCTTATTTGTAAAGTAGGTATGATAATAAAAATATCTACCTCCCAGAGGTAGATAGTTATGAATGGTAACATTATAGTTCAAAACCAGAAAAAGAAGAATAAACTTAATACAAAATTACCAGAACAAAGACAATCATAAAAACCAGAACAGGGACAGGCGCAGTGGCTCACGCCTGCAATCCCAGCACTTTGGGATGCCAAGGCAGGTGGATCACGAGGTCAGGAGATCAAGACCATCCTGGCTAACACGTTGAAACCCCGTCTCTACTAAAAATACAAAAAATTAGCCAGGCATAATGGTGGGCCACTGTAGTCCCAGCTACCGGGGAGGCTGAGGCAGGAGAATGGCGTGAACCCGGGAGGCAGGGCTTGCAGTGAGCCGAGATCACGCCACTGCACTCCAGCCTGGAAAACAGAGCAAGACTCCATCTCAAAAGAAAAAAAAACCAGAACAGAAGTAAATCAAATAGAGAATGGAAAAATTACTGATAGAATCAATAAAAAGAGTTGTTGTTTTGAAAAAAACAAAATAGATAAACCCCTAGTTAGTCTAAGAAAAAAAGATAGCAGACTCAAATAAGTAAAATTGAAAATGAAAGTGAAAAAAATGCAATAGACACCCCAGAAATAAAAATAATTATAAGAGACTATTTTGAACAATTATATTCAATTGTTCAATAAAAACTGCATTAAGATTTTTACATTAAAGTTTATAAATGAAAAATGATCACTATTTTCTACCCTAAGCCGACTTTGACTTCAAAGATCCAAGAGCCATATAAATTGAGTTGGGAACACTTCTTTATTTCTTTTTTTGTCTCTAGCATGTATTATGTGGATTATTGCTTTCTTGAAGATTTGGAACAAACTGCTTATAAAAACAAACAGGCTCATGATTTTTTGTATGAGTTAAATTTTAACTTCTTTAATTTTTTAATGTCTATTAAAGTTTTCTATTTACGGAACTTTGTATTATTTTGGTAAAAATTATCTTGTTAATATGTTTCAATTTTATAGCATAAAGTTGTTTATAGTGTTCCTTTTCTAATGCATTTGTTAAGTCTCTAATCTACTTTTTACTATTAACATTAAATATTTTGCCCTTTCCTTTTTCTTATTCAATATTACTAGAAATTTTTCTGTTTCAAAAGAAAATATTTTGATATACATGTGTTTTCTCCATTTTCTATATTATCAGTTTGTATTTTTGTTACTTCCTTTTTTCGGTATTTTGGGGGGAATTTATTCTGCTCTTTTTCTAATTGATTTAGTAAAATGCCAGAATCATTACTTTTCCATCTTTCTTTGTTTTCATATGAGAATTTTATGGCATATATTTTCCCATAAATGTTCTTTTCGTTGTAGTACACCAATTTTGATATGAAGAACTATCTGTATCAGTTGTCAGTAAATTCTAAACTATTTTCTATTTTCCATAATAGCCCTTTTAATTGTTTTTGGTTTTAATGCTTATAATCCCTATTTCCTTATTTTCAAGTTATATATTTGTATCATTTTTTAAACTTACAGTTTGTGGCATTATCTAATGAGTTTTTGATGTGATCAATAACAACTTAACTGGTATCAATCACCTTCACACCTCCCTACCATTCTCTGTTTATGCAGCTTCAGATTTGTCAAATGCATTGGAGGAAAATCAGCCATATATTTGAGGTTCCTGAAGCCTCTCACTTATGAATCTGAATTTGCAGCCTCTTGTCCCAAATCAGCAAATGCTCCCACAGAAAAATCAGCTGTGGAATATCAGGTTACATCTTAGCAGTTCTCCTTTCTCTGGAATTTTGACCCCTCTGGTTGTTATTAATGTGGCCACTCTCCAATATCTTTAAATAGATTTTTTTAAAAGTTATCTGGCTTTTCTAGGTATTTTCATGGAAGCAATAATCTGATGCATGCCAATCCATTGTCTAGAAGGAAAAAGTATCATTTCTATTCTCTGAATTATTTTTATTTCCTTCCAGGTCAGTCTTTCTCTTTTGTTTACTTTTGGTTTCTTTTTATATTTTAAGATTTTATCAAATATTAAGTAACCCTTCTCTGTTTTAAATTCACATTTATCAATAGCTAACAGCATTGCATATGTCACCAATTGGCAACCTTAATTTTAAAATTAGCAGGTAGGTGCTGATATGCTAGGGTCTGCACTTACCAGTTCCAGAATGCAGAGGGCTTTATCTTCCATCATTGTCACTCATACTAGCAATCCTTTTTTTTCTAGGTGTTTGTTTAACCTTTCAAATTAAAAAACTCTCCCTTTACCCACACTCACTAAGCCTAGTGGACATCCATTCTAGATGTAAAATAGGGAAGAGGTGAGATATGGAGGGGGTGAGTAAAGTGGTAAATGTCTTAGGTTTTGCTAGGCATGTAATAATCTCTGCCACAATTACCCAGTTCTGCCCTTGTCATGCCTAAGCATACATAAACAATATGTAAATGAATGAGGCATTAGGCAGCTGAATGGATTTGGCCTGTGGGTCATAAATTGCCAACTCATGACTCTGAAGAAATGATACATTTATGAGGATCTCTGGATACTTTAGTTTATTCTGACTTGTCATTACTATTTATTTAAAAAATGTAAGAATTGGAGATAAGTAAATTATAGACATGATTCTACTACATATCATCCCATACATATTTATAATTTTATCAGAGTGTAGATCTCAGGCTATTAAGAAACCTATCCTTTTAAAAATGTATGCTTACCACAGTAAATATGGAAAATATAATGTCAGTGTCCACGTTGAAACAGATGGAATAACTACAAAGTCTTCATTCATCCATGTCTGAAATAAAACATTTTAAAACAGAAACAAATTATCTCAATCAAACCTCTTGTCTATTCCAAAGCAAATCATCTTCTTAAAACAGCATCAAAGTGATTGCATTTCTTGGCCCTAAATAAGGTCAATTTAATTATTTTTCTTATTTTAGTGAAACAAGATTAAACTACAGCCATGCTTTTTTTTCAGACACTAGGATCTTAAACATTTAGGTGTTTTTTTTTTCTTTTTTTTTTAAGGAGGAAAATACATTTATCCTTAGAAGTTTCCATTTGATATCAGAAATACAGAAACTTCTAAAGGACACAGCATGTTGCCTAGAATTTAATTGTTGGGGTGGCAAAGTGGGGACTACAACCATGCCATAGAGTACTTCTGTGGAAAAAAAAAAATAAGAAATCACTCCAAAGATTCCTACCAAGAGCAAATTTCATTGAAGTACAGTTTTAGTTTTCTAATTACAAAAAGTCAGAAAAACTTAACCTGAGTCTTCTTGCTAATTGCTAAGTGCCCATCACCCAGTACAAATCAAAACTAGAGTGAATTTTCCCCAAACAAGAAAATCATATTTGATCATGTATTTTCTTTGTTTATTCTATCTTTTCTAATTAATTTTGAAAGAAAATTGTTTTCTCTATGTGGCTATCTCTACATATTTTCCTATTTTCAACAGCAACCACAAATGATACTAAATATTTTGGGCAAGAAAATTTGGTATATATCAGATTTACAGTTACCACTGGTTAGGAATTATGTTTCAAAGAAAAAAAAAAGACCATATCCACTGAACACATGTCCCAAGGAAGCTATCTATATTAGTCCATTCTTACACTACTATAAACATACTACCCAAGACTGGGTAATTTATAAAGGAGAGAGGTTAAACTGACTCACAGTTCTGCAGGCTTAACAGGAAGCATGATTAAGAGGCAGGCCTCATGAAACCTGCAATCATGGCAGAAGGCGAAGGGGGAAGCAAGCACGTCTTACATGGTGGCAGGTGTGAGAAGAGAGTGAAGTGGGAAGAGCCCCTTATAAAACCATCAAATCTCATGAGAACTCACTGACTATCATGAGAAAAGCATGGGGGAAACTGCCTCCATGATCCAATCACCTCCCTCCCTTGACCTGTGGGGATTACAGGTTCCTCCCTGGACATATGGAGATTAGAATTTGAGAAGAGATTGGGTGGGGACACAGAGCCAAACTATATTATTATCCTAACAATTTTACATATATTATCTCATGCAATCTTCTCTTCTATTAAGGAATTCAATGAGAGGTAAGAGAGGTTAAGCAACTTACATCAGATCAATCAGCTATAAAGTGGCAAAATCAAGATTTGCCTCCTGAGTGCAGTCTTTTGGGCATTTAAACTACTTCCCAGAATGACCAAGTGAACATAGTCTCCTGTTTGTTGAGCTTATTCTTTTCCTCTCTATTCCCTTCAGTCTCAGGGCTGTAAATCATCACATTGGTGGCTTAAACCATATTATCTCCAAATATGTTAAGTTTGGCCAGGAAATGAAACAAGTCACTTAGGTCTTAAAAAGGAACCTCAGAAACAAAATTCAAAGTGGAAACACCATTCTTTTATCATTTTGCAATGAATTTTTTTTAAAAATCTTAAATTCTTGGAAACACGCAGGTATCTCATACTCAAAGACACTAAAAAAGAATGTTCTTTTATAATTTTTTTTGTTTTTTTTTTTTTGTTTGTTATATACTTAGTTCCGGGAACAGTGACTTTCATATTGAAGGCATTCAATGAATCTTTTGAATCAATAAATTTTTGAATAAAGTACCTTAAAACACACTGGTTGGCATTCACCACCAGTGATTTTCTGTGGTATAGTTCCCATTTTTCATTTACTTTTGGTTTTATTTCTCATTTGGTTAAATATGTCTTCAAGAATGGTGCCTTCAGAATGACTATACAGGAAGCATTAGGTATAGCAATCTAAAGGGGTTGGCGACGGCTGACAGGAAGGATGTTTTGGGAGTCAAAACCATGGTTACACTGCAAGAATATATTTTTATTTATATTTTGTTTTCATTTAGAGTGTCTTGAGCAACTGACTGGAGACTATTGGAGTGGGGGAAGTTAAACTCCTCTAAGCATTCCTTCAGTGCTACCAATTGCTATTGTGGGTAATTGTTTTTCCTTCTGCCTAAATGCTTGTAAGATTTTTTTTTTCAATCTTGAGAGTAAAAGCTCACCAGAATGTGAGCTAAAGTTACAACACTTTAAATAAAGTGTTTTGCTTTCTTCCACTTAGGAAAATTATTATCTATGTTATGTGATTATTATTTCTGTTTCTTTTGTTTTGGTCTCCCCTTCAGTAATAAAAACCATGAAAAGGTGAGTCGTTACTCTTTCTCTTCCATATCTACGATTTTCTCTCTCATTGTTTTAATCTAAATCCTCTCAAATACTGTGAAGATTTTCTTTCACATTAAAAAATCATTTTCCTGTAGAGACATGCCTGTTCTTCATTGTCCTAAAGGTGGATTTTAATTTATTTGGAACAATTTTTACATATATTACCCATCTGACTTTAAATTTTATCCTAATGGGATCTATTTCCCTCAGGCCTTACTAATTTTCTGTTCTTTCTTAATATATAAAGTTATGATTGCCAAATCTCCCAGAGACTACAGATGACAGTTTTAAGAACACTCTGTCTTTAGGCCTTGAAAATGCTGCTCTTTTTCTCTTAATTTGAAGTAATTTTAAAATAATCCTTTCCCCTTTTAAAATATCTTATTTTCCTCAACAGTGTATTTATATTAATTTGAGTCATTCTATAAGCCTACACTCATATAATCTCCTTTTCTGATCTTTAGGAAAATTAATATGTTCAAACCCCAGTACAATTTCCTGCTTCTGAAAGGCTTCACCTATGTTACCCCTGTTATATATGGGTGGCACCTCCCTCCTAGCATATGAGATAGTTCTCTGCTGTGATAATTTCCATGATGCTCTGTTTCCAGGGTCCCCACTTATATTCATAAACATCAATGATAAGTGGAACTGTCTTAAAATGTACTTCATCACTACTAGTCTCTATCACCTACTTCCTGCTTTGTGTTTTTGAGGTTAAAATTTTGGTCTGCATTTAAAAAGAAGAGAGAGAGAAAAACAGAAACAATATTCTGTGTGCTTTGGAGTGTAGAACTCAGGTGCCATAGAGAGAGAACCCTAACTTCTCTGCCTAATACATACCCGAGGTCTGAGGGGACTGCATCTATTTATTACTCATTTCAACTGCTTTTTGTTTTTGTTTCCTTGCTGAAGTCTGCTACACACGAAAATATATAAAACTATAAAATAATTGATCCCATAGTTGTTTAGAAATTAAGAGTAAAAAAATTGAGACTAGAAAAAATTGAAGGAAGGTAGGCATGCAGAGACCTCTTAGAAAGTTTGGGCAATCTGAATGGGGTTACTAAAAGGAAACTTGAATCTGCATTTTGGGAATATACTTCTGCTAACAACATAGAAAGGATTAGTGGAGCGTATGAGAACAGTTTGGTTGTTACCAGAATGGGAAGAAGAATAAATTATTGAACCAAAGGGTCAGCAATATGTGTTGGCAAGGTTGAGACAGATGGAAAAGATTTTCAAAGATGTAGTTTTCTGGAATTGAAAACCTCTGAACATGGCAATTGAGGGAGGAAGAGGCGTTAAAGGGACTCCCAGGTGTCCGCCTTGTCAATTACCAAGGAAAGAAAGTGGAGTTTCAGGGCAGGCTGAGGAGGGAATGTCATTTTTGGACATAATCACTTTAAGTTTATTTTGCTTTTAGAATATTTCAGATAAAGATGTGTAGTCATACATAAAATTCTGAATCCCAAGAGAGAGATCTGAATTGAAAGTAAATATTAATATGTCATCAGCCTTAAGGTTGTAGCTAAAGTCATGCATACGATTGCTCAGGGAGAGTTTGCTGAGTGAAAGATGAGCAGGCCAAAGACAGACCTCAGGGAAAAATGGATCTTGGCCTATTTGTGACTTCATTACTCCTCATAGCCTCGTAAGCCTGTTTAAGCCTTGAGATTCAGCATTCAGCTTGCCTCAGGAACACTTTGATTGGATTAAGACCGTTGTTCCAGGGAATCAACTGAAGCTCAGACATCTCCTACCCAGCTCACCAGGCCTTGAGTTGTGGTGGCAATGTTGCCAGCTGAGACAGACAGAAGCAGGATGGAATTCTTTGCATAGAAGAGAGGGCCAGGCTTAGGATATTGAAGGTATCAATGGGAAACAGAGTAAATTACTCTGAAAAAATAAATGAATAGATGGGAAAGCAGAGTGGAGTAACAAAAAAGAAAAGCATAAATTGTGTTATCATCCGTCAATTATCAGAGGTATTAAAAAGAAAAAAATATTAGTTATCTAAACCTAGGTCTATAATTTTTAGTGTGGCAGTAGACCCAAAACATGGCATACTCAAAATGCGGTGAAACAAAATGATCCCAGTGGCCTGTGATGGGTAATAAAGTTAAATTAGGATAGGCTGATTGGGAGAAAAAAAAATGTTGTCTAGCATTTCATATTTTGATGTGATTGAAAATTAGGTGTCATAAAATTAGAAAGATGAGACAGTTTATGATTTAAGTCAGACATGAGATATCAGAGCTCAAGATATTCAGATACAGTTGTCCCTTGGTATCAGCAGGGGATTGGTTTCCAGGACCCCTCGTGCATACCAAAATCCACAAATGCCTAAGTCTTTTCCATAAAATAGTGTAGTATTTGCATATAACCTAGGTACATTCTCCAGTATACGCTAGATCATCTCTAGATTACTTACAGTACCTGATATAATGTGATATAATGTAAATGCTATGTAAATCATTATTCTCTATTTTATTTGTATTATTTTTATTGCTATATTTATATTTTCTGAATATTTTTGATTTGTGGTGGTTGGTTGAATCCATGGATGCAGATCCCATGGATATGGAAAGCTGACTATATTCCATGTATTGATAAGTTTAGGAAACATAGATGGAAGTAGGCTGTTAGAATAGTGTTGAAGGATATTGGAACGGAAGAAATCACATTACTTAGAATGTTAATAGGGTCATCCACATGGCAGTTGAAATCACTCAGGAGGATGTCAAAGAGGAAAACTGTGAAATAAGTAATTAATGAATTTAACAGAATGATAGAATATTCAATGGGTTAGAGCAAGGCCATTAGAGATATGCATATTTTTCATGAAGATTGGAAAAATTGTATCTAAAAGTAACAGAGGACAGTGAAGAAAATGATATCACAATGTCTGACACAAACTGACATTAATAAAATATCTATTAAATGAATGAATGCGTCCTGATTCCCAATTCCTTGGTAACTTAAGTATGAAATAATAAAATTCCACTGGAAAAAGTGCCAGGAGAAGTAGTGGTATGGTAGAACCACCTCATAACAAATTGGAGGAACTAATTACAATTTTTTCAGAAAATCTGTGGACTAGTTGTTAAAATATTTAAAATTAAATTATATGAACTTACAATTAAGGCAGTAATATTAAAATCAAAGGTAATAAAAACTGAAATTCATCATTTTCTAATTATTATACTATATTTTACTATTATTCATGCTCCTAGGGTTATTTCTACCTATAGTTTCTGGATGATAGAAATAATTACATAATGATGTACTGCTAGATATCTCTTCCCAACTCCTCACTCAGTAACATCATATTGGTATCTTGAAATTGGCTATGGTGGAGTTTCTATGCCATGGAAATAGGCAGATACTACAGATTAGGGCTTAATTTTTTTTTTTTTTTGTAAATTGTCTAGAAAAAATCTATTGCACAACTGCTGCCTGTTTTTCTAAATAAAGTTTTATTGGAATATGGCCAGTTCAGTGGTATCGTCTATAGCTCCAACATAATGGCAAAGCACAGCACTTGCAACAGAGACCATATGGTCCTTAAGCCTAAAATATTTGCTATCTAGTCCTTTAAGAAAAAGTTTGCCAACTCCTGGTCTAGACTTAAGAAAATAATGGAAAAAATGTTAATAATGCAGATTAAACTTAAAAGTGTGTCATGTCTGTAGCCATTTCGTTGTGAATAGTACAAAGAAAAAAATAAAAAATACTCTTCCAATATTTGAAAAAACCATTTGGTTCACCAGTTACTCATGTTATTGAAAAATGAGTGTGATTCTGACATATGCCTTCATTGTTTCACTTTTAATTTACTCATTAATCCAAATGAAAATACCAATCAGCATTCTACATTCATTTGCAACTGTTGTTTGGTTATGGATACAAGAGTTCAGTAAAAATCAGTAAAAGGTTCTGTGCATATCAATTGGCTACACTGAATTTATAATGAGTATCATACATTATTATTTATAAACTGTATGCCAGTAATTTACTGATATAAAACTGTATACATTTTATATCAGTAAAATGTATTTTTTAAAACCCTGTGTATATATACACATGTTTGTTTCAGGGAGTCCGTTGTTAAATATTTGCCAGAATACCACTGAGTAATATGAAGATATTACAGATGCAGAAAGTTAATTCATAATTGAACATGTTTCCTACAGGGCGTTATGATTTTATTGCTACAGAAGATCAGTAGTAAAGGATGAAGGTTGGTAAGGATCATTAAACAGTACAGAGATTAAAGTACAAAAGTAAATGTGACCAAAATCAGAATTTTGATTTATAAATATGGATGATCATCACTGAATTAGGAGGCAAAAATGGTTATTACTAGTCCTGACCCTTCAAAGGCAATTCTGGCATAGATAGTTTTGGTGTCAGAAGAAGGTGATGTCCTTAGGATACTGAGTGGCTTTTTATACTAGTAGTTTGCCTACTGTACTCAGGCATTCCAAACTGAATGTTGATGAATGTTCACCTATTCAGGTAGAGAGACAACACAAGAGACCCTCAGTACTTGCGGGAACTAAGTCAGCCTCTGTGTCTAGTGCACAGAAGATATTCCAGTCCATTACTCAGTATTGTGTAGGAATCCTGGATTCTGTTACCTTCTCTACCAGCCTATTTCACATGGTTCCAAATTCTCTATATTTCAAGTCTTTATCTACAAAGGATTGTTGCCACTCTACTCCATCTATCTCTTAAGGCAGTTATGAATCTAACTGAGAAAATATGGTGAGATCAGTGTAAGACACTTAAATGAAAGGCATAAGATTAGTTCAAAGCACTTTGCCTAGAGAAAGTATTCAGTGCTTTTACCTGAAAATAAAATACAGAAAGCTTTTGAGATAAAACTTAATTTTCTGTAGTTAACAGTGGGAAGTTAGTGTATCATTTATTGGCCCAGTATTAAGATTTAGGTGAATAAAAATCTAGGCCTATATACATGACCCTTTTTTGTATATCAAAAAGTAATAGAGTTTTTTTTTGTTGGAAATTGAGAGCTCTCAAATAGACTAATTGAAATTTGTAAACAAGGGCCACGGCAGCCGATGCACTCAGGTCACCCAGAGACTATGGAATTTATTAGACATCATTGGCATCTACAACATGGTGAAAGCTGTATTGTCCCTGGCACTCTGAGTGCAATTATTTTGATTTTTCTCTGAGCTTTAAGGTATGAGCTTACACAACAGGGTATAATGTTCTAATCACAATGTTTGACCTCTTCCATATCTACCAGTCACTTCACAAATGTTCCAATTGTCATTTGTTACGTCTAGCTGCTATTGGAGAAAGCTTCCTAATTACATTGTCTAATTATCTTAACAAAATGCAAGGAATGCCTTTTTCAAAGGAAGGGGAAAACTAGCAAAAGTGAGAAAAGGACACTGATAGACATTCGTTAAAATGTTAACTCAGATGATAATTACAGAGACATCTAGAAAGAGCTTTAAGAAGATAATCAAGACACAAGAGACAAAAATTATCAACCTCACTGACAACTGTTTGACTGCTTTTTTTTTTACTTTTTTAAAAAAATTTTATTATTATTATACTTTAAGTTTTAGGGTACATGTGCACAACATGCAGGTTTGTTACATATGTATATATGTGCTATGTTGGTGTGCTGCACCCATTAACTCATCATTTAACATTACGTATATCTCCTAATGCTATCCCTCCCCACTCCCCCCACTCCACAACAGTCCCCGGTGTGTGATGTTCCCCTTCCTGTGTCCATGTGTTCTCATTGTTCAATTCCCACCTATGAGTGAGAATATGCGGTGTTTGGTTTTTTGTCCTTGCAATAGTTTGCTGAGAATGATGGTATCCAGTTTCATCCATGTCCCTACAAAGGACATGAACTCATCATTTTTTATGGCTGCATAGTATTCCATGGTGTATATGTGCCACTTTTTCTTAATCCAGTCTATCATTGTTGGACATTTGGCTCGGTTCCAAGTCTTTGCTATTGTGAATAGTGCCGCTATAAACATACATGTGCATGTGTCTTTATACCAGCATGATTTATAATCCTTTGGGTATATACCCATTAATGGAATGGCCGGGTCAAATGGTATATCTAGTTCAAGATCCCTGAGGAATCGCCACACTGACTTCCACAATGGTTGAACAAGTTTACAGTCCCAACAACAGTGTAAAAGTGTTCCTATTTCTCCCCATCCTCTCCAACACCTGTTGTTTCCTGACTTTTTAATGATCACCATTCTAACTGGTGTGAGATGGTATCTCATTGTGGTTTTGATTTGCATTTCTCTGATGGCCAGTGATGATGAGCATTTTTTCATGTGTTTTTTGGCTGCATAAATGTCTTCTTTTGAGAAGTGTCTGTTCATGTCCTTTGCCCACTTTTTGATGGGGTTTTCTGTTTTTTTCTTGTAAATTTGTTGCAGTTCATTGTAGATTCTGGATATTAGCCCTTTGCCAGATGAGTAGGTTGCAAAGATTTTCTCCCATTCTGTAGGTTGCCTGTTCACTCTGATGGTAGTTTCTTTTGCTGTGCAGAAGCTCTTTAGTTTAATTAGATCCCATTTGTCAATTTTGGCTTTTGTTGCCATTGCTTTTGGTGTTTTAGACATGAAGTCCTTGCCCATGCCTATGTCCTGAATGGTATTGCCTAGGTTTTCTTCTAGGGTTTTTATGGTTTTAGGTCTAACATTTAAGTCTTTAATCCATCTTGAATTAATTTTTGTATATGGTGTAAGGAAGGGATCCAGTATCAGCTTTCTACATATGGCTAGCCAGTTTTCCCAGCACCATTTATTAAATAGGGAATCCTTTCCCCATTGCTTGTTTTTCTCAGGTTTGTCAAAGATCAGATAGTTGTAGATATGCGGCATTATTTCTGAGGGCTCTGTTCCGTTCCATTGGTCTATATCTCTGTTTTGGTACCAGTACCATGCTGTTTTGGTTACTGTAGCCTTGTAGTATAGTTTGAAGTCAGGTAGCATGATGCCTCCAGCTTTGTTCCTTTGGCTTAGGATTGACTTGGTGATGTGGGCTCTTTTTTGGTTCCATATGAACTTTAAAGTAGTTTTTTCCAATTCTGTGAAGAAAGTCATTGGTAGCTTGATGAGGATGGCATTGAATCTATAAATTACCTTGGGCAGTATGGCCATTTTCATGATATTGATTCTTCCTACCCATGAGCATGGAATGTTCTTCCATTTGTTTGTATCCTCTTTTATTTCATTGAGCAGTGGTTTGTAGTTCTCCTTGAAGAGGTCCTTCACATCCCTTGTAAGTTGGATTCCTAGGTATTTTATTCTCTTTGAAGCAATTGTGAATGGGAGTTCACTCATGATTTGTCTCTCTGTTTGTCTGTTATTGGTGTATAAGAATGCTTGTGATTTTTGTACATTGATTTTGTATCCTGAGACTTTGCTGAAGTTGCTTATCAGCTTGAGGAGATTTGGGGCTGAGACAATGGGGTTTTCTAGATATACAATCATGTCATGTGCAAACAGGGACAATTTGACTTCCTCTTTTCCTGATCGAATATCCTTTATTTCCTTCTCCTGCCTGATTGCCCTGGCCAGAACTTCCAACACTATGTTGAATAGGAGTGGTGAGAGAGGGCATCCCTGTCTTGTGCCAGTTTTCAGAGGGAATGCTTCCAGTTTTTGCCCATTCAGTATGATATTGGCTGTGGGTTTGTCATAGATAGCTCTTATTATTTTGAGATACATCCCATCAATACCTAATTTATTGAGAGATTTTAGCATGAAGGGTTGTTGAATTTTGTCAAAGGCCTTTTCTGCATCTATTGAGATAATCATGTGGTTTTTGTCTTTGATTCTGTTTATATGTTGGATTACATTTATTGATTTGCATATGTTGAACCAGCCTTGCATCCCAGGAGTGAAGCCCACTTGATCATGGTGGATAAGCTTTTTGACGTGCTGCCTTGACTGTTAATAAAATATTGTTTGCTAACAGGGAACAATAAAAATTTGGAAAATTCACCAACGTTCTATAACATGGAGGCCTTGAAATTCCCAACCTCACATAGCTGCATTTCTAGAAAAGCATTTTAAAAATTAACTGAGGTCCTGGGTCACCAGATTGAAACCTTTCCTCTAAGATATGAGGTATGCCTTTTAAAGTTCAGATTTAGCTGTATCAGTGTGCAGGTGTGTGTATTAGGAAAGGATTAAACTAAATAATAAAGGCTTTGACTTGCGAGACGAAGCCCTGATATTCTTGTATCAAGCCGTCTCTCTCTAGATGGTAGAGTTAATAACATTTGTTTCTCTTGTGACAAAGATTGGATTCCTTGATTATTCCGACAAGGTCAGAATAAATCACTGTACTAAGAAGATGGAGTAGGAAAAAGAAGGTGTGTTTTCCAGAGTCTCAAAGATAGTAGCTTTGGCAAGAAGCAAAAGTTATCTTTCTTTCTTCAAGTTTTAAACAAAGTCAATATATTGATGATCATTGTTTAAAAAATATATAAACAGGCATTATAGCCCATGCATCTTCTATTTACCTTAAGGTCAGTTTTCCACAGGAGAAAAGTTGGGAGCAGAAATAAGAGTTCAGATTTCCATCTGCCTACTATGTAGTTAGACAACTTTTCTCCCAAAGCCAGCTGAAGCAGCTGTCTTCTCTCTGAGTTTCTCAAGAAGACAAATCAAACAAGGAAGCAGAAATCCAGCCTAATTAAACTCGTGGCTGGAACTCGAAGGATAAGTACACTTGTGCACAGAATATAGGTTGGAAAAAAGCTTTTATTTCATTCTCCGTACTACTAAATTTGAACCTCTCTCTGAGCCTGACCTACGCCCCTTCAATATGACATAGTAAGGGTATTACGGATAGTGTTCACAAAAAGCAGTTTTTCAAGCAGCCTCTGGAGCCATTATCACTGCACTGCTCCAGACTAGTGAGAAGGTAGGTAGCAGCCTTTATGGTCTCAAGCCGTAGCAGTGTGGCTCTGCAAGCACAAGACCTTGATGTCCCCGTAGTAGCTTGTCATCTTTAACAAGGTCTGGCTGCACTTCTGTGGGTGAGTCTCACACTGGACCCTTGGTACGAGTATCATATTCAACAGCCAGTCTATAAAACTCTCCAGTGTGGCCATCTGTTAGTCCTCAACAGAACAGGAAGAATGAATTTGAAGATGAAGTTCTTCCCCAATTATCAATGGCATCATTTCCTTAAAGGTCTTTGCAGAGAGATAGTCCATATGGGCAGAGAAATGTCCACATACCAGTGTCTATACTCTATTTCTTAACCTGCAGTTATAGATTTCAATTTTGGAAAGGTTTTAAAAAGCAACACAGGCCTCTGGTTTCCTAGAGTAACTTGCCTGTTGTTTTCTTCTTACTGCAAGAAAATAACAATACTGTATACACTGGTACCAAATCAACCCATAATACTGCAGATTACCTCCTTTCTTGAGTAGAGCATTTGAAAGGCTAATAGCCAGCAATACATCCTCTCAAATCTCTGAGAACATTTCTCTATGAGGTTTGGAGAGCAGGTACTTATTTATTTTCTTTCAAAGATACATAGCCCCAAAGAGATGGCCTTAAGCCCGCTGAGCATGTGGGATGAATACTCACAACAGTTAACATATGGCACTCCATTCGGCTATCATTTCAAAAATGCAATAATGGAATTATCTTCTTTGGAGGTATGTCTTAAGTCACTGTATAAGAAATAGAGAGTGGATAGCTTCCACATTCCTCTCCAAAGCAATAGCTGCATCTCAGATGTGGCTGAAATAAGCAACTGATGATCTGCCACCTGCACAGCAACCAACATTTCCTGGGATATGAGACAGCCACAGCAGTTGCTAAGGGGGAAATAACTCCACCATTCTGGCATAATAGTGGAGTTCAGGGTGCTAATCTGAGGCATATGTTTTCACCTGACAACAATAAGTACACCTTTGTGGGAAGAGTGTTCTGACCCCTAACGGGGATCTAGTTTGAGCTGAGGTAAAGTTGAGAAGACCCAGGAACACCTCTGAAGGAATCAAGGTACACTTTGTCACCTTCATTCCTGTGTCACCCTGTGTTACCAAAGCAGCAGCAATTCTGCTTGAAGTTTACAACATGAAAATGCTGCCTGAGTTCCTAGCCTGCCGACCCACCTGTAGATTTCAGACTCAAACTGTTCTAACAGTAACTCTTCCTGTACATCCAGACTACACATTTCACACTCATTGACCCCACAATCACATGAGCCAAGTCCTTAAAATCTTTCTCTGGTTAGATAATAGATAGATAGATATTCCATTGGTTCTTTTTCTCTGGAGAACTCTAATACACGTGAGACTATATCAATTCCTGTTTTGTTACATAGAGCTCTCATAATAAGCAAATGTAAACACGGAATGCAAATAAAAAAGAATGGCTTTTATTGGAGCATTAAAAAGTGCCTGATGCAGTACTTATATTTGACATAAGTTTTCTCACTGAAGTTAAAACAGCAGGTTTTCTCACCGAAGTTAAAACAGGCACTCCTTTTATAAATAAGGAAAGAGATTAGAGAGTTTAAGTAACTTTCTAAAGGATATTCAATCTGGCACCTGGATCTAAGGTTTCTAAAGCTTGTGCTGTCTAAAACATTACATTTCTGTCAAACTTTAAAACATCTATATTCTCAATAAACCAACTTTCTTGTTTAAAAAGTGATGGTAATATTAAGAAAGCTTACAGAGAAAATAATAATCAAGAGAAAATAATTGGTAATTATAAATCATTTTAACATGCAGGACATGATGAAAAGAATCAATACGAATAACTAATCATTCATCTCATTGCAATCTGAGTCTACTCAAGGATCTGTACTGTATTACCTGTACCGTATTAAACTTAGAAACATAGACCATCAATGCTTTATATTCTGATTCTGTGCAATTATAATTGAGTCAGATTCACAACTTTAAAAAAGTCATCTAGAATATTCTGAAATTAATGGTAGCCTGCAGGATAAGATAACATGAATATTATCAGCTATTTATATTCAAGACAAAGTTTACAGTATACGATTATCCTTTGGTATTCTGGGGATTGGTTCCAGGACCACCCTCACATACCAAAATCCTTACACACTCAAGTCCCAAAAATCAGCCCTGCAGAAATATATATAGGAAAAGTTGGCTCTCCGTATATGCAGGTTTTGCATCCAGCAAATATGCAAATACTGTATTTTCTTTCTTTTTTTAGACATGGGGTCTAAGAGATGGGGTCTCTTAGAGACAGGGTCTCATTCTGTTTCCCACATTGGAGTGTAGTGGCCTGATCATAGCTCACTACAGACTCAAATTTCTGGGCTCAAGGGATCTTCCTGCTTCAGCCTCCTGAGTAGCTGGGACTACAGTCATGCCATATGCAATGATCACCCAGTACATTGCTAATTTTTAAATTTTTTTGTAGCAGGGTCTTGCGATTTTGCCCAAGTTGGTCTTGAACTCCTGGGTTCAAGGGGTCCTCCCACTTTGGCTTCCCAAAGCACTGAGATTACAGGTATGAGCTACCAAGCCTGGCCCCAATACTGTATTTTCAATCTACTTTTGGTTACAGAAAATTCTGCTTTTATGTGGACCCACACAGTTCAGACCCATGCTGTTCAAGGGTCAACTGTAGAAGTTACTTTTGTCAGCTTAAATGCCAAGAGCATTCCAGAATAGGGCTTCCCACTTCTACCTTCTCTATTTTTAAACTACTTCTATTAGAAATGACCATTTCTAGCTTGGAAGTTGAAGGCATAATTGTAAGAGATATCCTGCCAATTGTCTGTGTGATTTGGGGGACAGTTACTTAATTTTTATATAGTTTTATCCTCTGTAAAGTTGGAATAAAAATAGCCCCTCAAGGGATTGTCATGAAAATTAAATGTAATAAACTATTTAAATCGTGGAATTCAATAATTAACATAGAAAATAGTCAACCAATATTAGCTATTACTATTACAATAATAACAGACACTTATGTGTAAGCAGTGTGCATATATTTATTAACTAATCTTCACAAAAACTTGCTGAGGTTGGTAAGTGATGACAACCCCATTTCACTGACAACAAAACTGAGGCACACAGAGGTTAAGTTTCCAAGGTCTTATAGCTAGTATCGAATAGAATGTTAAACCCATCAATCTGGCAGGAGTCCACCCTCTTCTCACTTTAAGGTATAAGTAATATTTAACTTGTTCGTTCATTTCTAAACACCCAGCACACATCTATGATCTTTGTGGAAACTCAATTTAGCTTCACTAATAAATTACTTCAGCTTCAGGCTAAGCAAACTTCTTAAATAAATCAAGTCACACTATTTATTTTGACAATAACTTCTAAAGAATAATTCAGAATATGTAGTGTCATAAACAAGGTATATTTGTAGTAATAGGAGACAATATCAGAAAGCCTTCCTGTAGCAGAAAATCCAGGACCCAGAGTTACTGAATCTAGAGGCTAGCAACTTGACTTTCCCCAGAGAAAGAGCCTTGGCTGTCACCATTTATCCCCAAGTCCTGCTTTCTGTCATGAGCAGAGAAGGCAAATGATTTAACCACAGAAGAGCCAAATTGTCATAGGGAGTTAGGATGACTCAAATTATGTTTTCTTATTTATTTAGAAGCCATGGAAATAAGGGTCACTGATCATGTTCAAAAGGAGAACTTTTTGAGGGAACAATTAGCCTCAGATTCTATGCACTTTGAACCAAACACTTTTTTTCTTCTTCTAATGAGAATATTCTGTTCTCAGCTATAGCTTACATGAACTAAAATCTTTAGTTTTCTTGTCTGTAAATTGGATATAATAATATATGCCTTATTGTTTTGCGAGATAATTTTAAGGATCAAATTTGCATTTTTTGCAAACTCTTAAGTGTTCTACAATTGTCAGGAAGTATAATCAGAGTAAATGCTTATGAGATGCAATATTAAACTGAAATTAGAGACTTTCCAGATCATAATACTCTAAACCATGCTCCCCCTCATGTTATTACAGATGCAAATACTAAGACCCAGTGAAGTAAACATACAAAGTACTTAGAGAGCCATCACTGCCATGTAGAATTCCATAAAAGCCCATAAGCTCTGCTAATTTAAGTATTTAAGAAGGTTAATTTCCATTCCTTCTGAGATATTAAAGAAAGAAGGTAAAAATTAAACTGAATTTTTTTAAGTTAGCTGTAATGGAGACTTGCCCTTCTTTAATAAAAAAACTGGCCATACATTCTCAATGTGATTGCCATTCTATATGAAGGAGGTCCTTTCAATAAAAAGCATCAGAGAAATCATACTCAGGATACCTAGTGAAGCCATGGATGAATTTGAGCAAACAGGGCAATGCAGGAATGCCAGAGCTAATCTCTGGCACTCACTTGTTAATAACCTTCCACACTATGGAAAGAGCAGAGAGTTATGAAACTATCAAAACAATATGATTCATAAGTTAAGGAAGCCAATGCGCATGCCACAGTATCTTTAAATGCAAAAGACAAAGGGTTTTGGTGAAAAATAAATAAAGATAAGCTGGCATAACTAAAGTTGAAGGTAACATATATATATCCATCAAATTTGGGCAAACAATGCCAATAGAAATACTACGTGTGAAATTTGAGAGATAAATGTCTCTCTTCCATCTCAGGAAACGTTTCAGAGATTAGTGCTATAGCTAACATACTTCAAAAAGTGGCACTTTATGATAAGGAAATTACAAAGGTTATAATGCTTTTTCATCATAACAGATAAGTAAGAAATACTACTAAGCAGGTAAAACTTAGTGTCATAATAAGTATGTGACATGTGGCTGTGTGAAGCACAAAGGAGTATTTAATCTCCAATGACACTTTTCCTGATAGTGCCAAACAAGCTGCTGTCACTGAGATCAAAATAATATTTTCAAATACCTCCAAAACTCTATTCTACAGATATCCATGAAACTTACATGAAAAATAATAAGTTTCAGGGAATAGATGCAAAATGCAAAAGTTAACTAGACTTGCTTTGAGCTCCTGCCTGCTCATAGAGTGTGGGCAGGAAGACAAGTTATGAATTGGTTGTGGGTTCTGGAGTACCAAGGGGTGATGGCTAAAATTGCCATCACCTCCTCCATACCATCACCAATGTGTATTTTCTTCCTTGTAACTTCCAAAGCTTAGATTTTGAGCTATGCTTAGAAATTCTGATTATGTATCATCAAAATAATAACAATAACACAGAGAAAACATCCATATGATGGATAAATGAAGCTCTAATGGAAGTGATGAACTCATCGCAGGCAATCTTCAAATGGCAGAAACTCGGAAGGGTACTCCTACTTGCAGCATGTTGACATTTATACTAGTCCATAAGCAATCAATGTAAATCCAATGTATTTTATATGCCCACCTCTGTGTCGACCACTGCAAGGGATAAAAAATACAATAGAGAATCCTCTACTTCAGCAAGTTTAAAATTGTTTGGAAAGATCATAACTCACATCAAGAAACAACAAAAAACAATGCAAGACACAATATTGTTAAAATGTGAGGATGTGTCTCAGACCACAATGTGGGTGTTTCAGGGAGCTGGAAATCAGCAAGGGCTGAAGAAGTCAAAGAAGGAAACATATACGTCAGAAACTTGAGTCTACATAAAGGAAGGAAAAATAAAGGGATAAATGAAGGTGAAATAAAATATTTTCTTTATCCTTAATTGACCTAAAATACAACTGTGTTTAAGGAAATGGCAGTAGCAATGTATTGGGTGATCACTGCATATGGATAAGGAAAATGAAAGACAACAATGGTGTAAAAGAGGAGAAGGAAGAATTGGGAATAATGTAAGTTTCCTGTACTACACGTGAAGCAGTAGAATGTTATTTGAAAGTAGATTTAAATTAGTTAAAAATGTGTATTATAAACTCTAGAGTATCTACAACTTTTTTAAAAAGCCTAATTGATAGGTTTAGAGAAGAGAGAAAATATGATACAGAATGCACAATTAAAACCAGAAATGGTAGAAAAATTGGAGAAAAAAAATAAGTACAAAACAAATTACCAATCAGGAGATGTGTGGTTTTTACGGCTTTTAGACATTACTTTAATAGTAGTTGGCAGAGTTTTTATGGTTTCTCGGGGTAACCCTTAAACACCAGTATTTGGAATACTTTGCTTGGGAGTGACAATTCTCTCACTTATTTCTCTCTTGATCATTTGTTTAATTTCTTTAGTGAGAACAGCCTTCTTCCCATGGGGTAAACACTTATTCCCATCAATGCATTGGGAAAGGATAGAGAGCTTGACTTCCACATACAGACCTTTCATTAAACCTTAGGAGATAGCAGACTATGACTGTCTAAATCTATTAGAACTTAAGGTCCATGTGGGTAGGAATCATGTCTGTTTTGTTCAGTCATATATCCCCAGATCCTAGAAAGGTGCTCTCCATATATGTGTGCTAAATAAATAAATCTGAAGACATTCCAACAGGCCAAAAAGAGCACTTTTTCCAACTACTTTCCCATCCTCCCTCTTGCTGCACATCCCATTCTCTACTCTCCAACCCATGCCCAGCTCCTTATAACTGGAGAGATAGAGCTGATACTTCAAATAACAAAACTACTCTCCATTTTTAAATTCACTTATAGCATCAATAACTGTGTGAGATGCTTTACATGTGTACTATCTATTCCTTACAAAAAAACCAAAAAACAACAAAAACAACAACAAAAAAAAAACCAAAAAACAAAAAAACCCTGTGAGGTCCTTATTGTTATCTTAGGTTTAAAGTTGAGGATAAGTGATGAGAGGTAAAATGAGTCACTTGCCCCTAGGCCACAGCTGGAAAGTTCCAAACTAGATTTCTCTCTGCCTAGTACTAGTAGTTTCAGATATATGTATAAAATCAATGTATACAGATATATGCTCATTATATATTTTATATATACACATATACATTAATGTATATATGTAAAAGGCTTTTTATATATGTGTATATATATATAAAGGCTTTACAGATAAAATGAATTTGAGGGTGGAGAGTAAGATTTCTGTAAGATTTACAACAATAACAGAGTTTGGATACAGGTATTAACAACAATAGCAGCTGCCAGACTATGAAGGAGAGCTAGCTGCTTGGGTGTCAATTGATGCAAATCACTGCAGCTGCTGGGACAGCTATAGCAATATCTCTGCAATGACTAAGCCAGGCTTGAAACAAGAAGGGAAAATGAAGAATGCAAATTAATCTGAATGGTTATTGATTCACAGGTTCTAATGATGATGAAGAATAAAAGAAAAGAATAATCTGTCAAATAAAAAAATTCAATATTTGCATGGGAAAAAAAGGATCTATTTTCTCTTATTACAAAACAGCAAACTCTTTACTCCAGAAATTCAGTTACTCATCATTTCCATCAGGATTGTAAACAAATGAAGTATTGTTTAAATCATGTAAACAAAAGCATATCTCTAGAATGACTAATGATGTTTGCAAGAGGAAAAGGACCAAAGTCTCCAGCCTATAATATTTTTACCATAGTTCTCATCCTATTACCTAAATAAGGCCAGTTTACAGAACAGTCCTGAAGACCTCACATTATAAAATAGTACACACAATTCATGTTGCGAACTAAGACTGAATTTTAATTCAGGCCCACATTTCTCATTTGGCCTCAAAAGTGACCCAACAAATGATCTATCCCTGAGAATAATCCATGTGCTAAGGAAAAGAACGTGTATTCTGTACCTGTTGGATGAAATATTTTATAAATATCTATTAGATCCATTTGGCCTGTAGTGCAGATTAAGTCTGATATTTCTTTGTTGATTTTCTGTCTGAAAGATTTATCCAGTGCTTGAAACTTGGATGTTGAAGTCTCCAGCTATTATTGTACTAGGGCCTATCTCTCTCTTTAGCTCTAATAATATTTGCTTTATATATCTGGGTGCTCCAGTGTTGGGTACAAATATATTCACAATTATACTTTCTTGCTGAATTGACCCCTTTCTGATTATACAGTGACCCTCTCTGTCTCTTCTCATAGTTTCGGTCTTGAAATCTATTTTGTCTGATGTAAGTATAGTGACTCCTGCTCTTTTTTGGTTTCCATTAGCTCAGAATATCTTTTTCCATCCCTTTATTTTCAGTCTATGTGTGTCTTTATAGGTGAAGTGTTTCTGGTAGGTAACAGATCAATAGGTCTTTGGATAGATTTTTTTTCATCCATTCAGCCAGTCAATGCCTTTTGATTGGAGAGTTTATTCCATTTACGTTCAATGTTATTATTGATAAGTAAGGACTGAACTTCGTCATTTTGTTATTTGTTTTTTAGATGTTTTGTGGTCTTCTCTTTCTTCTTTCTTTTCTTTCTTTAGTGATGGTGATTTTCTCTGGTGATATGATTTACTTTCTTGCTTTTTTCTTTTTTGTGTATCCATTGTATGTTTTTTGGCTTGAGGTTACCATGAGGCCTGCAAATACTATCTTAGAACCCATTATTTTAGCCTGATAACTTAAAACTATTTGCATAAACAAACAAGCAACAAGATAACTAATAAAAACTCTACACCTTAAATTTGTCCTCCTGCTTTTAACTTTTTGTGGTTTCTATTTATATCTTATTGTACTATGTCTTGAAAAGTTGTAGTAGTGGTTATTTTTGTTTGGTTCATCATTTAGTCTTTCTACTTAGGACAAGAGTAAATTATACACCACAGTTACAGTGTGTTTTTCTGTGTACTTACTATTACCTTTGAGTTTTATACTTTCAGGTGATTGCTTACTGCTTATTAATGTCCCTGTCTTTCTGATTGAAGTATTACCTTTAGAATTTCTTGTAGGACAGGTATGGTGCTGATGGAATACCTCAGATATTGTCTGGTGTAGTCTTTATTTCTCCTTCATGTTTGAAGGATATTTTTGCCAGATATACTTTTCCAGAGTAAAAGAGTTTTTCCCTTCAGCACTTTAAATATGTCATGCCACTTTCTACTGGCCTGTAAGATTCCACTGAAAAGTCTGCTGCCAGACATATGGGAGCTCCATTGTATGTTGTTTCATTCTCTTGCTGCTTTTAGGATTATTTCTTTATCCTTGACTCCTGTGAGTTTCATTATTAAATGCCTTGATGTAGTCTTCTTTGGGTTAAATCTCCTTGGTGTTCTATAACCTTCTTTTACTTGGATATTAATATCTTTCTCTAGGTTAGGGAAGTTCTCTCTTATTATTCCTTTGAATAAACTTTCTAGCCCTGTCTCTTTTTCTACCTCCTCTTTAAGGCCAGTAACTCTTAAATTTGTCGTTTTGAGGCTATTTTCTAGATCCTTTAGGCACACTTCATTTTTTTTTCTTTTGTCTTCTCTGAATGTATATTTTCAAATAATCTGTCTTCAAGCTCATTAATTCTTCCTTCTGCTTGGGCAGTTCTGCTACGAAAGGACTCCAGTGCATTCTTCATTATGCATATTGTATTTTTAATCTCTAGAATTTCGCATGATTCTTTTTAATTATTTCAATCTCTTTGTTAAATTTATGATAGAATTCTGGATTTATTTTGTGTGTTGTCTTGAATTTATTTGAGTTTCCTCAGTACAGCCATTTTGAATTCTGTCTGAACGGTCACAAATCTCTGTATTTCCATAATTGGGCCCTGATTTCTTATTTAGTTTATTTGGTGAAGTCATGTTTTCCTGGATAGTGTTGATGTTAGTAGATATTCTTCATGGTATAGGCATTGAAGAGTTAAATATTTATTGTAGACTTTACTGTCTGGGCTTATTTGTACCTGTTCTTTTTGGCCAGACTTTCCTGATATTTGAAAGGACTTGGGTGTTGTGATCTAAGCTGTATCTGCTTTAGGGGACACCCCAAGCCCAGTAACACGGTGGGTCTTATAGACTCATAGAGGTACCACCTTGACAGGTCTTGTACAAGATCCAGAAAAATTCTCTGAATTACAAGGCAAAGACTCTTATTCTCTTTCCTTACTTTATTCCAAACAAAGAGTATCTCTCTGTTCTGAGCCCCCTAAAGCTGGGAATGGAGTGATACAAGCACCCCTGTGGCCACCATTATTATGACCATGCTGGGTCAGACCTAAAGCCAGCACAACACTGGGTCCCACCCAAGGTCTGCGGTAACCACTCCCTGGCTACTGTCTATGTTCGCTCAAGGCCCTGGAGCTCTACAATCAGCGGGAGGCAAAGCCAGACAGGCCTGTGTCCTTTCGTTCAGAGCAGAAAGGTCTCCCATGTCTCAGATGAGTCCAGATGTGCCTTCCAGGAGTAAGGAACTAGAGTAAAAATCCTTAGAAATCTACCTGGTATTCTATTGTACTGTGGCTGAGCTAGGACTCAAACTACAAGACACAATCCTTCCCATTCTTCCCTCCCCTTTCCAAAGGCAGAGGAGCCTCACCCCATAGCCACCACCACCACAGGCCAGAGGGAGTACTTCCAGACTGCGGCTGATGTTCCCTTAAGGCCCAAGGGCTCTTAAGTCAGCTTGTGGTGAATGCTGCCTGGCTTGGGACTCACCCTTAAGGGTAGTAGGCTCCCCTCTGGCTCAGGGCAGGTCTAGAAAACTGTCCAAGAGTCAAGTCCTGGAATTAGGGACCTCAAGATTCTACTTTGTCTTCTAGCCCCCTGTAGCCATGCTAGTACCTATGGTGCAAGACAAAGTTCCCTTTACTTTTCCCTCTGTTTTTCTCAAACAGGAGTTTTGCCCTGTACCTACCATGGCTGGTAATGTACTGAGTTTCACCTGAAGCCAGCAAGTCTCAGAGGCTCACCCAAAACCCTCGACGTAGTATTGTTGCTGGTTATTCAGGGCCTAGGGGCTCTTCAGTTAGCAGATGATGAATGCTGCCAGGACTGGGTTCTTTCCTTCAAATAAAAAGGTTTCCTTCTGGCCCAGAATGTGTCTAGAAATGTTGTCTGGGAGCTAGGGCCTCATGACTCTGACCAGTGTCCAATCCTGCTATGGCTGAGCTGGTATCCAAGATGCAGGACAAAGTCTTCCCCACTTTTTCCCTCCCCCATCTTCAAGTGGAAGGAAAGGATCTCTTTTGGAGCCACAAGATATGCAGCCTGGGGTTAGGGGCAGGGTGATGTTAGCACTCCCTTAGCTGCCCTGGCTAGTGTCTCAGTAGATCAGGTGCCCCCCCCCCACCCAAGTTGAATGTCTCTGGGCCTAGTTTAGCACTAGGACTTGCTTAAGAGTTTCAGTCCTTATGGCCTGGACTGCCTTTCAAATTTACTTGGAGACACAGAGCACTGTAGCCCTTCAGTGGTGAGGTTTGTGGGAACTCAAGTTCTGACCTGCTGACATCCTCAATTACCCTTTGGCTAGAGCTGGTTTATATGCTCCCTCTGTGGGTGGGTATCAGCTGAGCTTGGTCTGCTTTTTCTCTCTGCTCTAACAGGACAGAACTGAGTTCAAAGCCTCACACTTACTCTGCTCTCTCTCCCCCAGCACCCAGAGACATTCTACATACCATGCTGCCAATGCCAGAGGTTAGGGAGGGGTGATATTGGTGACTCAGAACTGCTTCTTCTATCTCTTCAGTGCCTCTTTCAGTGATATAAAGTTAAAACTAGGTACTATTTTTGGTTCGTATGAAGGTTTTTTTGGTTGTGTGTGTGTGTGTGTGTGTGTGTGCATGTAGATAATAGTTGTTAACTTGGTGTCCTTGTGGAGGGTGGGGACTATTGGCGGAGCCTTCTATTTCACCATCGTGCTCCACCTCCTCTCCTCACCCATTTTTTTAAAAACTACTTCCTTACACCTTATACAAAAATTAATTCAAGATGGATTAAAGACTTACATGTTAGACCTAAAACCATAAAAACGCTAGAAGAAAACCTAGGCAATACCATTCAGGACATAGGCATGGGCAAGGACTTCATGTCTAAAACACCAAAAGCAATGGCAACAAAAGCCAAAATTGACAAATCGGATCTAATTAAACTAAAGAGCTTCTGCACAGCAAAAGAAACTACCATCAGAGTGAACAGGCAACCTACAGAATGGGAGAAAATTTTTGCAATCTTCTCATCTGACAAAGGGCTAATATCCTGAATCTACAATGAACTCAAACAAATTTACAAATAAAAAACAAACAACCCCATCAAAAAGTGGGCAAAGGATATGAACAGACACTTCTCAAAAGAAGACATTTATACAGCCAAAAGACACATGAAAAAATGCTCATCATCACTGGCCATCAGAGAAATGCAAATCAAAACCACAGTGAGACACCATCTCACACCAGTTAGAATGGCAATCACTAAAAAGTCAGGAAATAACAGGTGTTGGAGAGGATGGGGAGAAGTAGGAACACTTTTACACTATTGGTGGGACTGTAAACTAGTTCAACCATTGTGGAAGTCAGTGTGGTGATTCCCCAGGGATCTAGAACTAGAAATACCATTTGACCTAGCCATCCCATTACTGGGTATATACCCAAAGGATTATAAAACATGCTGCTATAAAGACACATGCACACGTATGTTTATTGCGGCACTATTCACAATAGCAAAGACTTGGAACCAAGCCTAATGTCCATCAACAATACACTGGATTAAGAAAATGTGGCACATATACACCATGGAATACTATGCAGCCATAAAAAATGAGGAGTTCATGTCCTTTGTATGGACATGGATGAAGCTGGAAACCATCATTCTCAGCAAACCATCGCAAGGACAAAAAAACCAAACACCTCATGTTCTCACTCATAGGTGGGAATTGAACAATGAGAACACATGGACACAGGAAGGGGAACATCACACACTGGGGCCTGTTGTGGAGTGGGGGGAGAGGGGAGGGAGAGCATTAGGAGATATACCTAATGCTAAATGACGAGTTAATGGGTGCAGCACACCAACATGGCACATGTATACATATGTAACAAACCTGCACGTTGTGCACATGTACCCTAAAACTTAAAACAAACAAACAAACAAACAAAAAACTACTTCCTAACCATGCTTGGAGGGAAATGGTAAAATGAATCATTAAGAGTTTTACTTTTTCTTTCTTCAATTTCATACAGGAAACCAAGCCAAAAACATAAGTAAATGGCAAACTATGTAATTGACTCAGAATCAGATGGAAAACTATATTTCAATACAGTTTCTGTAATTAAGTTTCTCTCTGCCAAGAAAATATCTGAGCATATGATATGAACCTTATCAAAGCCCAGTGAGCTGAAGTGGGGGAAGGAGGTAAAAATGTGTTGAACCTCACAGTTTTGAAAATAATATTCAAAAGAAAACTTTAAAGAATCATTTTATTCTTATACTACATGCACAGTAGCTCAGAAGTTTTTCACTATACTAGAAACGCTAACATATTTTGAAGTTTCTTGGAACAAAGTCCCTTTTTTATTTCAATGCTGACACATGAATATAAGAGAACTCCACCTTTCCCTTGAAAGTCTCTTGTGTACCATACCAGACTGGAAGAGTTCTAATACTGCTGAGTTCTATTCCTTTGCTAATATTAGTTTATTATCTTATAAAAGAGAGTGAAACAAACCATAAAGACTTGTCTGACTTCTAATTGAATTTTCAGGAGTGCTACATATTAAGTGGAGTATAACTACACAGCAGCAGAGAAACTAGACTATTCTTCGGTTTAACTATAATATTCATTTTTATCTTGTCTTACTGATTAGGTTGGGACAAAAAGTACTAAAGGAAATAAGTAACTTAATATCATACAGTGGGGTTTCTTTTAGTGTAATTTCTATGAGCAAAATAATCAAATTGCAAAACACTTTTTTTAGGAAGTACATCAGATACATTATTATTACTTTTGTTTTTCTTGGTCAAATGTTTATATTTCTTTTTGCAAGTAAATATGGTTGAAGACAACTGTAGGGGAGCTTAGCTAAGAAGAACCAAGGGTTCTGGGTAAGGTACCAAGTATGACACTAATAACCTGGTGGTATATGAAGCCTAGGAGTATAAAACTATTTCTGACCTCAGAAAGAGGAAGAACCACATACGTTGTTCTTTCAATAGCAGGGTCTCCACCTCATTCTTTATTGACTGGACATAAAATGTCATATTCCTAAATTGCCTAGTAACTAAGGCAATTAAATAAGATATTAGAATTTTTAACACAGACTACATAGGGACTTTGACAAATTTTCAGATTCAAAATCAGGCATTGATTTATTTAAGCTAATCAGCATATACTCTAAGTTGATTGTCTCAGAGATGAGTAGTTCTGTCAATTCAAGTTAACTAGATACAGGCCCAGAACTTCTGTTTCACTGTTACAGGGAAAGTGTACCTGTCACTATTATATAGGAACATGAGAGGATGTGATACCTGATGTTGCTATACACATCCCTGCTACTACATCAGAGGACCCGTTTAATAACAAAGTTAACACAGAAAAGACAACAGAATTGAGTCAAGAAATTAATAGAACCATGTTCTCCTGACATGATTTGATCCCCTTGCTTTATCTAAGGCATCTCTAGCGATTCCAAATGTCTAAGACAACAAAAAATCTTTTGCTGAAGCCATTTTGGGTTGGTTTTTCTGCTACTTGCCATTAAAATCTTTCTTATGCATACAAAAGTTTAATAAGGAAAGAATGTAAGTAAATATAGGGAAGTGGTTAGGAAATTGTTAACTGACATTTTGGTTTCTCTGATAAATTAGAAAACTAGACCATGTGCCAAGAGTAAGATAAAAGTATAATAGCAGGAAGATTGTTTGAGTTTGTAGCCACTAAGAGAGGTATAACTGGGCAGTTATTGCAAGCCCAACTGAGATACAGGACCATGAATTTGTAGTGATACAAATTTATATAATTGTTTTATTTTTGCCCAGTAACATTCAGACTCTGGAATATAGAAACAGATTATTCACATAGCTAGATTGTTACAAGCCTGGAGTTTCACAGGGATGGGTGAAGAAAAAAACAAAAGATAACTAAAATTTAAAGACCAGAAAAATCTAACTTAGATAAAAGAAAAAGAATTTGGAAAAGATATGTGGGAGATAGATGATTTGAGATTAAAATTTAGGTATGTTGTGAATAATAGTAAGATAGCTAGTATAATAATGTCTGAATAAGAAACATATAGAACACACTGGGTAATTATAGAAGTGTTTAATAAACCCACTATTCACAAATGTTTTTGCATGGGCAGGATGTATAGAAACCATAGGAATTAACACAATTCACAAAGGATGACATCAGCAGGGTACATTTACCATACCTAAACATGAAGAGATAGGTGGAGGAAATAATTATCAGAGTCAGGAATGGACACTTACATTGGAAGGGCCTCCTGATAATTTAGAGCAACCTTGTATGAAGGGTGCAGGGGGAATAAGTGCCCTTATTTCATTCTTTATCCTCACTCTAATCTGCTGATTCCCCATGTGTGAGCCAAACTGAAAGCCAGACAGCAAGGGGGCTCATCACTAATGGGTCCATTTAGGTTAAACACATGGGGAACAGAGAAGGGTAAAAAAGTTTGGGTGGAAGGTCCAAAGGGGTAAGCAAAAGATCCTCAGCAGAGGTTTAACATTTACAAATGGGCTGTTCTGAAGGATTGAAAGTTTCTGTATCTAATTTTAGGTAGATGACTAAAGTGGCATAGACTACATGACCACTGCAATTGATAAGGCCTGGATATTGTTAGGCTCAAAGATTGTGTGCTTGGCCAAAGCTGCTAGTGGAGGCACAGCTATGGTGAGTTTCTGCTTATTTAAAATAATATATAAGGAATTTTTAGAAAAATAAACAAACAGAGATTAGGCATACAGATGTTTTAAGGTATTGGGAAATAGACCTTTTGTTGTTTAAAGCCAGACTTTAGGTCTCAAGAGCTAGAATAGATATTAGCTAGTCACTAGAGGGTGAGATTTGTATGATATAACCACAGGCCTTATAGATCTAAATGACCTTCTACTACTCCCAACATGATTACCACTTGCTCTCTAAACTCCTTCCTGGTTGTTTTTTATATAAGCTCACATGAGAGTTATGGGTTTGAGGAATTCAGATTGTGAGTTCAACCCATGATTAGTGTATTTTGTCAGTAAACAGATAACATGGGGATAATATTTCCTGTACTAAGGTGGAAAAAAACCTCATGGAAACATTAAGACCTAAAGATTAAGAAAATTTTAAAATTAGGTGTCTCTGGAACACCTTCTCTAGGAATAGATGTTTCTCCAAGACTCAAAAAGGAAAAGAATCACACTCAAAAAATAATTTGGTCTTGATCAGTAGATCAGTAGAAAGGTGGGGAAAAAAATCTAGTCAATGATCTACAGGAAGGATAATCTTCTCAAAAGACAAGTTAATAAAATGAATATCTAGGAAGATATGACTATGACTGGAGCAGGAAGAAATCTAATAGAAGGAAAGGAGGCTCTCAGAGAGTGCAACGCATAGCTACTCCCAACAGAAATGCATTCAGGAAACTCACCCCACTGCAGCAAGAAAGGAGGATGCAGAAGAAAATATTGTTGCTTCCTTGCAGTAGCACAGGTTATTATCTAAGCCTGGGGAATTCCAAGCTGGAGAAAAGACCAGGTTTAAACTTGGGGCACGTGGCAGAGTGTGTTGGCCCTAAGTGGGCCTCTTGGGACTCTAGCTGTGGAGGCAGCGAAGGCAGGTTCATTTACTTCAGGCATTTGCTGAGGGGGAGATATTGATTGAGATAAATGTAGATATTAGGAAGCAACTCCCTAGGAGGAGGAATCCACAGGAATTAAAGCAGAAGAAAATAGCCACTGTAGAAAGAGCTTAAAAATCCTTTGGGATTCCATTGAAGATGGAAAACCAAAGAGCAGGAGAAGAGAGGAGAGGGAAACAGGAAGAGTTAGGGTGAAAGGGAGAGAGAGAATTATCTTTTTTAGAGGAATCCTGATTTCTTTGAGCAATGGGCTGAACCTGAGAACAGTTTTTACATTTAATATTTTTCTCTTTTCATTTTCCACTGTACAGACATCAGGCTTTACCCTGGTTTCAATATATAGATGGAGGGAAATATTCACAGAACAGACTAGTAATTTAAGACACAAATAAATTAGTTGGAGCCAGTTAGAGAAAGGACAAGATATTATCACATAGCTCATGGCAGGTGGAAAGAATAACAAGTCCCTGTTTTGTCAAATCCGTATTGACTTCAATAGGGATGGTACCATGTTTGAAAGGCTGAAGAAGAGACTTGGTGCCAGTGAAAACACATTGGGTTTATTGAGGGCACTTACATACAGAGCAGTTCAGTGGCAGCGGGCTGGACAGGAGAACCAGAACGGCTTGTAAAAACATGCAGTTTATATAGCATTTTCACTTAGCACCCTCTCCCTAGCAACCTCCACTGACAACCTCCATTCAACCCAAACAAAGGGCCTCAATATCTTGTCTGGCCCACATCCCAGGGGATGGGCCAGAGTTTCAGATGTTTGTTCCTCATAGATAAAGAAGAAATTTCCAACTTGGTCACTCCTGAGTTTCTTAGCTCAGAACTCTGAGCACATATTCTTCTTAGATAATTCTTCTCAGGGTATGCTGAAGTTATTGCTGTCAGGTGCATCTGCTTTACAGTCCTAGACTTTTGATCACATACAGACTCATCTTACCTGCCCTAGAGCAGTTAAAGGAAAATGTTTATAACCTTGGGGAAAGATCTGTGAAAAGGTAAAGATGACCAAAACTTTGGAGAAGGTACATCAATATTTGACTCCTTATGAGGTGATACAGAAGTTTCCCAGGCAGCACAGTCTACCGAACCATCTTCCAAAGCTCTGAGTGGTCAATCCCCAGCAAAAATCCTTTTAATTAACTAAACATAATTTGTCACATTATTTTTTTTTTTTGAGACAGTGTCTGACTCTGTCCCTGAGGCTGTAGCACAGTGGCACAATCTTCGCTCACTGCAGGCTCAACCTCCTAGGCTCAAGAGATCCTTCCACCTCAGCTTCCCAAGTAGCTGGGACTACAGGTGTGTACAACTATGCTCTGCTAATTTTTGTATTTTTTTTTTTTTTGTAGAGATGGGGTCTCACCATGTTCCATAGGCTGGTCTTGAACTCCGGGGCTCAAGTAATCCACCAGCCTCAGCCTCCCAAAGTGCTGGGATTACAAGTGTAAGCCACCATGCTCAGCTTATTCTTTATAATAGTCTCAGTTCTGTATTGTTTTGGGCCACTCTTTTCATTTCTCATTAGTTTGATTTTTATTCTATTCCTAATTAGGAAATATCTGATTGTTTTAAGTCACAAAGAGTTTATGACATCAACATATTTTAGAAAGCCATAGAGAGTCTTTATATTAATTTCATTATGCTAGTGAGCTCATTTCTCCTCTTGCTGAATGTTCTTTTCATATGGCTGATCTTACATATGTAACAACACATACTGTACAATAAAAATTTTGGAAAGATAGCTTTAGCCAAATTGATGATAGTTGAAGATTATTTGAGACAAATTGAGTCCTTAAAACAAATTATAGGAGAAACCAGAATCTTCTGACAATTATATAATTCAGGAAAATAAATAAAACTACAAATATGTAAATTGAAGATTATAAAAAATTATTGTGTCATTCAGAAATGTGAGTTGTTCTTTTTTCCTGCCACTGTCCTAGAGCAATAAATATTGGATATATCCCTTAAATGACTACCTACACAGATGTTCTTAATTTTGGTAGAATACTGGACTCACCAGGGAGGTTTATAAAATACAAAAAGGCCCAGCTTATTTTTAGAAAAAAAAAAATACTGAGGCTGTTACTTTTCCCTGAACACAATTTTATTACAACACCTATTTTTATATTTATCTTTTAAAATTTCATCTTTTTATTCTTATTTAATGCATGTTTCCTCTAACTCCTAAGCCCTTTGAGGTCTGGGACTTATTTGTCTTTGTATATTCAATGACTGCTATATAAAGGCTATTTAATACATTTTTATTGTATGAATACATAATAACCACAATGCTTAGAGGTACATTTCTGTTGCAATTCAAAATTAGAGAGCATGGCTTCTGGCTTTTGGCATGTGTTAGTACCCTGCTTACCTCCCATCAAGTGAGGTACCTGAACTTCCTTAGCAGACCGAAATCAAATATTGTCCTCTCTCTGAAGTGTGCTTAGGATCACAAAAAAGTCAATGGAATGAGCTAATGTCTGTTTCTCCAATTGTCTTGGATATTCTAGAAATTATGATTTTCAATGACTTGAGGCTCTGTATTCACTATATATGCCTCAAATTTCATAATCTACTTTTCAGGTTTTGTTTGCAAAAAACTACAAATGCTTATGCTTTTATTAACTCAGCATCACTAAAGATAATCAAATTCAAATTTTTCTTTTCACCAAGGGGAACAATGTGATTTTCAGATACACTAAATTTCCAGCCTAAGTAGATGTTGCTTCATATATTGTAAATGAGTGTTTGTTTATTCATATACTCATAGACATAGATAGATGACAGATAGGTAGATAGATAGATAGCGTACTAGTCTGTTCTCACACTGCTATAAAGAACTATCTGAGACTGGGCACTTTATAAAGAAAAGAGGTTTAATTGACTTATAGTTCCACAGGCTATGCAGGAGGCATGGCTGGGGAGGCCTCAGGAAATTTACAATCATAATAGAAGAGTGAAGGGGAAGCAAGCCTGTCTTCATGGTAGTCAGAGAGAAAAAGGGCAAAGGGTGAAGTGCTACATACTTGCAAACAACTAGATCTCATGAGAACTCAGTATCACAAGAACAGCAAGGGAGAAAACCGCCCCATGATCCAATCACCTCCTGCCATGTCCCTCCCCCAACACTGGGGACTGTGATTCAACATGAGATTTGGGTGGGGACACAGACCCAAATCATATGAGATAGATGGATGGATGGATAGATAGATATATAGGATAGATATACAGAGATATATAATTTTGAAAAATTTTACATAAAGAATGTGTTTTTTGAGTCCAAATCCAGTCTACATCTAAGAATCCAAAACTGAATAGGGAAATGCTATTCAAATTTCTAACTGGGCATATAAATTCTAGTTAAAAGAACTCAAAGCTAAGAATTAATCTAAATATTTTGTTTTCATTTATGTTAAAAATATTCTAAAATGCACTACCTCCTCCTATAAAAAGCATGACATAGTAATTGAGCTTTTAAACCCAATCATGAAAATGGTCAAAATACTTCAATACCCCAAGATCTCATCATGTCACAAAATTACACATCTAAATAATACCCTAAGGGATTAGAGTCCAGACCCCTCATTTTGTAGGGAAGGGCCTAGACAGTTTAAAGGACCTGCCTAAAGTTACACAGAAAGTAGGTAACAGAGCCTTGATTAAAACTTTTCTTCTCATTCCTGTTCCAGTGCTCAAAGTAGAAGCAGCCTCTGGAAGTAAGAAAGGAAAGGGCCCCCATTCTCCCTTATGATTTGCACCAACCATGGCAGTTCTTGCTCAACTGATGCTGAGAAAGCTCTGAGGGGTTTGAGTTTTATTTCCCCTGCTGGCTCTACCTGCTTCACACTCTTTCATTCCTTCCCTCTCTGTGTCTACCCTGGGAGCACAATGCCCATGTCGTAGCAGGATAGGAAGCAGAAGATGAAGGACAAAAATCTCAGGTTTCTCCTATGAAATACTAGATACTAGAAAGCACTGGAAAAAATATACTCAGCAGTGTTCTGAAAATGTGATCAGGACCTCCTGCTTCAGAATCACCTGCAGTGCTCAGCAAAATCAAGTGTTCAGCGCTTAGCCCACATCTCCAGAATCAGAATCTCTAAGGCACTGGACTAAGAGTTTGCATTGCTAATGAGCTCCCAGAATGTTATATGTACCCTGAAGTTTGAGAACCACAGGGGTACAAAGTGTGATGAGGAATTTTTAAAAAATTACTTCACAAATTTTATGTATAATACATAAACAGCTTAAGGAATTTTCAGAAAATGAACACCCATGTACATAAAGAAGGAATGAATTTTTACCCAAGTATTTTGTCTTAAGAAAACTAGTTTGTGTGTGAAAACCCTTTTCAGATATGTGTCATTTTTTGAAGAAATACAAGAAAGCATGAAGGAATGAAATTTAAAACTAAATTCAAATTGATTTGTAAATGTTATAATGCTTAGATGTAAAATAAATATTTACATATTACTTGTTTTACTTTAGCAATAATCAATTGGAAGATACAACAAAAGATAAAACAGAAACTAATTCACAATAGCATCTAAGAATATAAGATATCTAGTAATATAAATGAGAACATTATAGTCCTCTACAAAGAAAACAACTTTACTTGGAAAAGTAAGAAAAACATTGATGAAACATAGACTTGTTCTATTCTTGAAACGTATAAATGTTTATTTTATTTATTTATTTATTTATTTATTTATTTATTTTTATTTTTTTCTGTCGCCCAGGCTGGAGTGCAGTGGGACAATCTCGGCTCACTGCAAGCTCTGCCTCCCGGGTTCATGCCATTCTCCTGCCTCAGGCTCCCGAGTAGCTGGGACTACAGGCGCCCGCCACCACACCCAGCTAATTTTGTGTATTTTAGTAGAGACGGGGTTTCACCGTGTTAGCCAGGATGGTGTCGATCTCCTAACCTCATGATCCGCCCGCCTCAGCCTCCCAAAATGCTGGGATTACAGGTGTGAGCCACTGCACCCGGCCATAAATGTTTATTTTAAAAATAAAAATTATTGCACTATTATAGGTTGAATCAAATTCCCATTGTAAAAAGTAAAGTAGAGGTTCCTCTTCAAAAATACTTTCCTCCCTAATTAAAAATAAATAACTTATCTTAAAAACAAAATTTATTCAAAAACCTATACTAACATTCTTAAATATCTACTAGCCATAATTAAAAAATAAATATACTTTATATTCTTAACTCCAACAATTTAGCCTAAATACTTGCCCTAACATACTTATACTAGTCCAAACAAACATTAAATCATAGCCTGTTCCTCTTCCTTATTTAAAAGTGTTTTTACCTTTCTCAACATTCCACAAGTTACTTCCTCCTTCCTTTGTTCTCCTCTGCCTTTGCCTCTTTTAAAAAATTCTAAGTTACTAGCCGATCGAAACACATACAAAATATAAAGTCCCATTCCAACCAATAAAAACCAAACACAACAATAAAATAAACACATTGAATTATAAATAATCCTGTCTCCTTTGTTCAATATACTCTCATAACAAAACTATTGACAAATATAACCTTTCTACAAAAAATAAAAACAGCCTTACTAAAAAAATTAAATTTATATTCAAATACTATTTCTTTACAACACCAAAAAACAAACATTTCAAACACCATAAAAATAAGACAAGTAATAATACATTTTGAAATTATAAATGACAAGATTTATAAAGTCTTATCCTGCTAGATAAATGAAACATAAAAAAAGATAAGATTTAAAGCAATAAAACACTATCAAAAATAATATACAATCAATGGAACAGAACACATATCTTAAAAACAGAGGCCCACTATAGTAGTTCTCACACCTAAGCATTCACAAGAATCACCTGAGGAGCAAGGAAACACTGCAAAACTCTGGGCTTCAACTCAAAATTTCTAAATCAAGACTTCTAATTGGTCCCAGTCCTACACTCCTACATGAGCCCAAACCTTCCTGACAATGATAATCAGAGAGAAAATAAACCAGTCAACCGTCTTGGTGGCTGTAATCCCAGAGTAACTCATGCAAGAACCCTAAGTCATACAAGGAGGTGTATGTACAGGGATGGGGGTACTCTGCCTTTTCCAAGAGTAGAGCAGAGACTCGTGCAACGGGAAAGGAGATGAGAATATGCAACTACATCATTCATGAACTAAAATGACACGACTATGACATTACAGGTCTAGACAAATTCAAAGGAGTCCTTGAATATATGTGTCTATACAGACCCACAAAGTTTTGCCTGTTGTCTCTTTTTTTGACTCTATTTATTGGGACATTAAAAGAAAGTATTTTCTGTTGTCTCTTTATATATACACCAAGCATTCATATTTATATGTTTATTTTCATTTACACTTCCTCCTCACCCAGTAAGACATTAGAACAGTTTTATGATTCTACCAACTATTTTGCCAGGGTTTCCATGACTTTTAATTACCAAGTTATTCAATACATTAAGTTACTATCATGAGCTAACACAATAGGCCTCTACACAGTTCATGCTTAGTAATTATTCAAATGCCAGTTGGCTTTTTTCAAGTGTGTGTGAGCCATATTAAGCATGTGTAGTCATAATTATGCAAAGAAACCATAGTTTATTTTGTGCTTTATTGAATGGAAAACAACTGATTTAAGGGTTTTTCAATCATTTGAACTGGAATAATTGTCGGGCATTTTTTTTTTTTTTTTTTTTTTTTGAGACAGAGTCTTGCTCTGTCGCCCAGGCTGGAGTGCAGTGACGCGATCTCGGCTCACTGCAAGCTCTGCCTCCAATTGTCGGGCATTTTTAAAAATCATGTTAGCAATCCACATCATGCCACAAACTTACTTTTGAAAAATAAAATCAGATACAATTTTAATATTATAGAAGTTTATTGCTCATACAACAAATTAGTTCACAAACCGGAAGACCACAGACTGAAAGTGGTAGGAAGCCTCCTTAGAACTGTTAAAATGCAGTTTATAAAAATTGGAAATCATCATTCTCAGTAAACTATCGCAAGGACAAAAAACCAAACACCGCATGTTCTCACTCATAGGTGGGAATTGAACAATGAGAACACATGGACACAGGAAGGGGAACATCACACTCTGGGGACTGTTGTGGGGTGGGGTGAGGGGGGAGGGATAGCATTAAGAGATATACCTAATGCTAAATGACGAGTTAATGGGTGCAGCACACCAGCATGGCACATGTATACATATGTAACTAACCTGCACATTGTGCACATGTACCCTAAAACTTAAAGTATAATAATAATAAAATAAATTAAAAAAAACATAAAAGAGTATGTATTTCGACCATTTTCATGATTGGCTGTTATATATTAACATTCTTTTTAAGGCAAGCAGGGCTGTTGAACTGATCTGTCTGTAGCTGATTGGTTTAGTTTCACTGAATCATACTGACAGAGATGAAAAGCTTCCATTTCACGTTTTGTTTTTTATTAGAACCAGCATTTCAAGTAAATCAGAATAACTTAAGTTTTGGCTACATGGCTATGGGCAGTTGGCCTTGGGGTACATCAAAACTGTGGCCTTCATTTTAATTTTTCTTTAGCATACTAAATTTTAGATGAATGAAAGAAATAAGGATAAGAGACTCTAAATAAAAATAGGAAATATGCTTGAGGATCATAAAAATATAAAATGAATATAAAAATCTGAGGATTTTGATGGCACACACGGAACCTCTGTAATGATCAAAGCAATGAAAGATATTGACAAATACTACTGAAAGATAGGATCTCAATAAAATAAGTTTAAAAGAAAATAATCTAGGCAATTTTTTTCTTGAAAAACTTTGTTAGATAAAATTTTGTTATTGTTAATATGCAGAGTGCTTACCAAGAAGAAAAGTGATTTTTCAGTATCAAGAGGCATTAAAAAAATTGACTGCTCCCTCACTCCTGGCCCCATCAATTTATTTTCAGGAATTAGAAGGGAGATAGCATGCACAAAATGCCTATGTCCATGCATCCTTTTAAGCAGGTAGTGTCCTGTGGCCAACAATGGTCATAATGTTATAATGCTTAGATGTAAAATAAATATTTAAATATTACTTGTTCTACTCTAGAGTAGCAATAACAAATTGGAAGATACAACAAAAGATAAAACAGAAACTAAATGGTCATGGCAGTTAACAGGCTATGAAGCCAAGGCAGGGGTGGGCCCAAAGAACAATAATTCGGAGGTAAGGTGAAATTAAGCGCCAAGAGGACAAATCTAACAGAAATACCCAATAAGGGTATTACCTGCATCAACCTGCAGGTGCCCATTGCTCTGTTCTACACTCAGAGGCAGTGTTATTTGACCCTTTGCCAGCACTGCTAGCCACACAGTTTTACTCTGTTGCTAGAAGGAAAACAGGTATAAAGAAATGGAATGTAGACAATATGAGACGCCAGGTGGTGCCAGCAGAGTCCTAGGCACAGGTGTTTCTATAGGGATCATGGCTTTACAGGAGACAGGTGGGGAATGCTTGCGCACACTGAGTTGCTTAGAAGGAAACGAAAATTTAAGAGTATTATCTCTGCTTGGTAAAACTACAGAAATTTTTATTTTCTTCTTTATACTTTTCAAAGTTAAAAATTCAACAATGTCTATTTTATTTATTGTCAGAAAGATCAGCCATAGAATAGGAAAAAAAAACCCTCCCTTCACATTAAGCTTGAACATTTTAATTCTGCCCTAGATTCCTTAGAAGAAAAGAATAATCATGAATAAAGTTTTCTTAGGGGTTAGCACTTATACTGTGAAAGAACAGTAACTATAGAAGGATATTTTCTCTTTTCATAGTAGTCTATGCTACTGAAAGTCCTATGAGAGTACTAAAAAACAGGCAATAAATACGATTCTTTTCTAAGTCACATTCACACAAGCACTTGCTTTGTGTGTATTTTCCAAGGACAACATTTGTGATAGTGATAATAGAGAGGTAATGGAGCAAATGCATATTTTAAAACGGGATTATAAGAAATATTTCTGCAGTAAATCAAAAGAAAAGCCCGAAGATATTGAAGTAATCCATAGTGGAAAAGGCAATAAATGATCCATGATACCCTATAATCTTTAGGGGCTAACATTTAAGTACCTTTTATACATCTAACTGGCTAATTATAAACATTGAGGATCCCATCATTAATAGAATAAAAAAGAAAGAAAACATGAAATAAAGCTTTGGGAAGAAATTTATGGGGAAATAATTTAATAAAGCAATGGAATAGATCTTATGTTGAATAATACAAGAAAAGCCAAAAATTGTTTGAAGCATTCTTGCTATGGATTATTTTGTAATTATGTATTAAGACTCAGGTGCAATGCTAAATTTTCTCCTTCTAGTAAAATAGACTGCAGCAATCAGTTTCTCCCTTTCAGACTCAGTTTCTACATCTGCAGTCATATCACAAAATTTTGATCAGAATCAAATAAGAAAAAATGTGAACATTCTTATTACGTGTAAAGCATTCTATCTAATAATGTTTTAAAGCTATGTCAAATATATGTAAAACATTTAATGTAAAATGATGAGACTCGCTAAAACAGTGATCTCCTTTTCTCCTACGTTTTTATCCTCCCTTCTAGAAACAGACTACAAGTTTCCTCGAAATGATAAAATTAACCAGCATTTAAGCAGAGACCATTCTAAATTGGCTTCTTTCTCAATGCAGACTATTATGGAGCCAAGGTATTCGATTTTTTATCCAAATGTCCCTTTTTAGTTCTACTGAATAGGAGTATATTAAGCTCTTATTCATATATAAATTTAAACTTAAAACTCAAGTAACAGTGTAAAAGCCATAATTTGAAAGCAAAATTAACAATATTTTCTGAGATAGGTTAAAGCATTATTTCATAAGAAGTGAGTTTCTCTTTCTCCCTTGATTGCCCTAAATATCTGGTAAATAACATTTTAAAATCACATTTACAACATTAGATTTATGACTGCTTTAAATAGTCATCGACCATTTAAACTTCAGATAAGCCTAATCAAGAAAAGAGTTAATATTGGAATAAATTAAAGGCTATTGTGTTTAGCAATTCGTTATTTATATGGAATAAGTCTCTCTGTATACCTGGTTGCGATGCAGGAAATGTTTTCTCCTCCTCTGCCAGCCCACACAACTGTGAGTTGTTTCTAAAGAAAACAGTAGCAGCTGGGAGAACAGAAAAAAATGAGTAATGTACTGTCTTAATCATTTGAGGCCGCTATAACAAATTATTTTAAACTGAGTGGCTTAACAACAGAAATTTTTTTCTCACAGTTCTGGAGGCTGAAAGTCCAAAATCAAGGTACTAATAGAACCAATCTTATAAGGACCCACATTCTAGTCTGCAGATAGCCATCTTTTCTTGGATCCTCACACAGCAGAGAGCAGAGAGAAAACAAGCTCTCACCCCTCTCTTGTTAGGGCACTAATCCCACTCACGAGGACTCCACCCTCATAACCTAATTACCTCTCAAAGGCCCTGCATCCTGACATCATCACATTAGGGATTAGGGTTTCAACAGATGAATTTTGGGAAAGGACAAACATTTGATCCATAACATGTATGTTCCCAAGATATGGCAGTATTAGCAGAGAATAACTGAAGGCCTAAAATGTGTTCAGTGTTATCTTAGTTTTGGGAGACAACGAAAAATAAGCAAGATAGGCTGCTCCCAGATGGAGAGAAAGACTGCAACAAAGAATCATAATGAAGGATGGTGAGCAAACTGCAGGGCAAAATACAATCTACTATGGAGGTTCTCAAGGCATCTAACCCAGTGTAGGAGTTGCCGAAAAGATTTCCAGAGGAAATGGTATCTATGAGTAGGATGAAGGCAGATGAGACAAGGGGCTGGTGTTCAGGCCAAGGAGGTGAAAGGAAATGTGACTTGCTGACGAATAGAAGGACTTCACTTTGACACAAGTTTAAAAAGTGTTTATAGTGTTTATGGGAATGACAAAACAGGAGGCTGTCAAAATAAGCAAAAGCCAGAACTTATGAGGGCTTTGTAAGTCATGTCTAGGAGTTTGAGTTTTTCTAAGAGGTTCAGAAAGTCAGAGAAGGGATTTAAGCAGGGGAATGTCATAAAGATTTGTTTAATAAAAATGAAATAAGAGCTGCCGTTAAATGCTTTCTGGGACTAAATACTTAATAAACATCAACTCCTTTAATCTTTACCATGAGCCTAGGAATTGGGTAATAGTGTAATAGTATTATTCTCACTTTCCCAATTTAAAAAAGTGAATTTTATAGAGGATGGTTGCCCAGAATTCACACAGCTAGAATGTGGCTGAGCCATAACTTGAGCCCAAATCTATTTGAGAAAAAGTAGGGGGGTGGTGGGATAAGTATTAGGTTGAGTCTTGCTAATATTGATTATTTTCATTGCTGAAAACAGCTATTTCACATGATTTAATCTGTCTTAAAAAATCCCCACACCTTCTGAAATTAACTTTCAATTTCAAAAATTGAGCTGCCAAATGCAGATATCAAAAGAACAGAGATGTCATTTGAAATTCTCAGTCCAAATCATTTTGGCAGTCTCAGACTTTGTGGATTTAAACCCAAAGGTCTCTGGCTTAATTCTCATCTCTCTCCACCTCTGTCATTCCAAGTCTTTTTTTGTCTCTTGCTTTCTGCAATTCCCTGTCAGCCAGGAGACTGCTGACTCTGTCAGTGTGTTCCAAGACCTTTGTCTCCTCTGCGTTTTCCCCAATGTCTCTATTCTCAGTGTGTTTTTTATAGAGTAAAAAAGAACTGATTGCAGAGCACATCTTGGAGACTTTCCCCTGGAATCTGAAGGGCCTTACAGAGATTCCATGGGGTGATGCACTCCCCATTCCATTCTCCAGAACTCTCGTGTGTTGCTGCTTCTCCCATCTCTGTATCCTTCACAGACCTCAGCATCTAAACTCAAATAAAGAGAATTAAAGATGTGAGTGCATTGTAAGTTGCATTTGAAGCCTACTTTCCTTCCCAAGAAAGACAGCTACCTAATCATAAATACCAACAGGTAATATTCCCCCTAGACCTCGATCTTTGAAACTCATTTGAAATTCTCAGCAAAGATGGGCGATTTGATTGATCAGTGGGTGGGTACCAATAGGGCCCAAGTGTAGCCTTCAGTTTGATATCGGCTTTTGACAATTATGTTATAGGAGAATAATCCCATTCTGCTTCCCTCATTATTATTCTTTCTTTTTCCTTGTTCCTCTACCTCTGCCAACAGCTCCACCAGGAGTTTGTTCACCCAAAGTATTCTGCTCAATAATGACTTTACTGTTTTGTAAAATTCATGCATGTTCACTATAATGAAATCAAGAAGTAGACATTTGTATAAAGAAAATAACCAAAACATTCCAAATAGCACTAGAGAATTATGTCAAGGGATTATCATTCCAGACATCTCTTGATGAAGATTTACAGATCAAAGGGTGGACAGGGAGATGAATTAAAAAAATGGTGAATAGATATACAGATAAGTGACTAGGTTATTAGGGAGGTAGGAAGCTAAATGATAGATATATAGATAGATCGATAGATTGATAGGTGGAAAATTAATCAAAAGATAAAAGTAATTTTTAAAAAATGATTATCCTATACATGATATTTTTTAAAGGATAATATTAGATTTAATTTTTGCCTTCAACAAAAGAAGAAACCCAAGGGAAGCTGAAGAAAAAGGAATTGCTAGACTTTAAGTGTATGTTTTTAAATTTCAATATATAATTTCATTTCTCCTTTATGAATGAAAACATAGGAAACAGTACTAAAAGTCTAGAGTTATTATTTCTTTTAAACAACATGTTTCAACTTTAGGGAGAATAATTGACTCCCCTGCTTTTAATTGTGAGAAAATTAGCACTCTTATATATCCTTTAGTCTCACTCCTACTCCCTAATATTAGTTATGTAATCACTGATATTACAGGATTTACAACATTTATATTCTGTTCTACAACCATAATCCCCTCAGTTATTAAGTCTAAGTTCTGTATATTAATAGATGCTATGATAACCACTAGCCCTGTTACCACACTTTTCTGTAGTCGTATCTTGGTTGAATAGACTTAATCATTAATTCATTTTTAAGAAAGGCTCATCATTCCTGTATTGTATGCATTTCTATATACCTGAAAATGTCAATATGTTGCCTTTTATATTAGATTAAAAATGAAAGAGTATAAAATTATTGGATCAGTATCTTTTTTACTACTAAATTTTCTAAGCATGCCTTCACCATCTTCGTAAATTGACTATTGGTTTAATACTTTAGTATTTTTTTGCATTTGTCTCTTGGCAGCAGGATTTCTTAGTTTCCTCAGTATTTGCTTAAAAAATAAATAAAAGTCCATGGGTGCTATGCCCACCAGTACCACACTTAGAACTATGCAGGAAGTACTCTCACCCCAATCCCTATATTTTAAAGGGCCTGGAACTAGCTTACCCCAGCTCATGTCTTTCTCAGACATGGTATAAGGGGTTTGCTGGTTCAAGGGTCTTTGTCTTTGTGCTCTTATTCTAAACTACGCTTTGGGTACCTGGATACCCAACATTCTCTGCCCAAACAACCTTAAGCCTGTTTCCAGGGCCTACACATGCACCTTCCCCAGCTCTGTTCTCCTGAGAGTGGACCAAGCCACCACACCTAGACCCAAGGAATATCCCAGGGATTACTGCTTGAGAAGGTATGGATACAACTTGAATGTGTGAACTAAGGTATTCAGATATATGCAAATGATGTCCCTGATGACGTCCAACATTGACAAGTGTCCTGGGGTCAAGCTGGCTCTTGCCACACAATCATATTTTCAGTTAGAACTCCAAGTCGTTGAAAAATTCTAAATTTAAACCCAGAATTCCAGACTGTTGAAAAACTATATTTGTCAAGGTAGGAGGAGAGAACATATTTTATTTTATATAGTTGTTAGACACACATACACACACACACACACACATATATGCATACAAAATCTTAGATATCATCTTTTACATTTTGACATATGGTACATCAGTCGCCATTTATAGTCTTGACTAGTTCCCACTGGTATGAGGGGACTTCATAACGTTTATGGTAAAATAGAATTTAAAGGTAAAAATTAAAAATATAAACTTTGTTTCTCAACATAAGCTCCATCAAGGTCAAGGCACTTTTGTAAGTGACAATACCCATCATTTAGTTCATCCCTAAAGAACTGAGGATCTTGGTAATTTAACCATGCCAATGCAGTCTTCTTTACATTATTAACTGAAGAAAAGTGAGTACTCTCACGCCAGTTAGAATGGCGATCATTAAAAAAGTCAGGAAACAGATGCTGGAGAGGATGTGGAGAAATAGGAATGCTTTTACACTGTTGGTGGGAGTGTAAATTAGCTCAACCACTGTGGAAGACAGTGTGGCGATTCCTCAAGGATCTAGAACCAGAAATACCATTTGACCCAGCAATCCCATTACTGGGTATATACCCAAAGGATTATAAATCAGTCTACTATAAAAACACAAGCATACATATGTTTATGCAGCACTATTCACAATAGCAAAGACTTGGAAGCAACCCAAATGCCCATCAATGATAGACTGGATAAAGAAACTGTGGCACATATAAACCATGGAATACTATGTGGCCATGAAAAAGAATGAGTTCATGTCATTTGCAAGGACATGGATGAAGCTGGAAACCATCATTCTCAGCAAACTAACACAGGAACAGAAAACCAAACACCGCATGTTCTCACTCATGAGTGGGAGTTGAACAATGCGAACACATGGACACAGGGAGGGGAACATCACAACTGGGGCCCGTCAGGGGGTGGGGGGCAAGGGGAGGGAGAGCATTAGGATAAATACCTAATGCATACGGGGCTTAAAACCTAGGTGACAGGTTGATGCGTGCAGCAAACCACCATGGCACATGTATACCTATGTAACAAAGTTTAATTAAAAAAAAAAAGATAAGGAAACAAAAATAAGTCAGAAGGAGCCAAATCAGGACTGCAAGGTGGATGCCTACTACTTTCCCATAGAATTGTTCACAAAATGTCCTTTGTTTGATGAGAGAAATAAGCAGAAGCATTGTGATAGTAGAGGAATCGCTGGTGAAGCTTTCTCAGGCATTTTTCTGCTAAAGCTTTGGTTAACTTTTTCAAAACACTTTCGTAATAAGCAGACGTTGTCATTCTTTGAACCTCCAAAAAATCAACAAGCAATATTTTGAGTACCCCCAAAAGCTATTGCCATGATGTTTGCTTTTGACTGTTTTTGCTTTGACGGGACCACTTTCAGCTTTGGATTGGGCTTTGTCTTCAGGATTGTACAGGTAAAGCCACATTTCATTTCCTGATACAATTCTTAGAAGAAATATTTCAGGATCTTCATCCCATTTGCTTAAAATTTCCCTTGAAAGCTCTTTACTTGTCTGTAGCTAATCTGGGCACAAAAGTTTTAGTACCCATTGGGTGAAAAGTTTGCTCAACTTTAATTTTTCAGTCAGAATTATATAAGCTGAACCAATTGAGATGTCTATGGTATTGGTTATTGTTTGTGCTGTTGTTAATCATCAGTCGTCTTCAATTAGGGTGCCAACAAGATGAAATTTTGCCTTGCAAATTATGTGGATGGTCTGCTGCTGCACGCTTCCTCTTCAACATAATCTCGTTTCCTTTTATTGACAGTTATTCGTGTTCAAACTGCTGATTTATTTGGGGCATTGTCCTCATAAACATTTTTTAAAGCATCAATGATTTCAGCAGTCTTCCACCCACATTTCACCACAAATTTGATGTTTGTTCTTGCTTCAATTTTAGCAGAATTCAAGTTTTCCTGATAGAGGCTCTTTTCAAACTGATATCTTATCCTTCTTAGTGCCTCAAACTAGATCCTGTTCAGACGTGCTATGACAAGTTCGTACAAGTTTATTTTGCTGCAAAAAAATTTTCAAACCTACACATAGTATTTTCATAATATGCATTTTCCATTAACTGTTTAAAGCCCCCTTTATAATGTGCTGGAGTGATGGCCTCTAAAACTTTATTGCTTGCTTGTTATTTGAGAATTTTAGGCCTTTTACCTAACAAATGAAAAACAACTTGGCTAGCTAAAATATGTTTGGGTCTGTCTTTCCTCAGAACAATGTTAATACATTTGCCTATTGCTGAGGAAAATGTTAAACTATTATGATTTTTTTTTCATTATAGAAGGTGACTTGTACTTTCTACTCTGATACCTAATGATGCATTTTTTAAAGCTTAATAATACAACTAAGGCATATCTTGTTTATCATGCTGTAATAATTTTTTGACCTAGATTTGCTTTTCAATCTCCTGATTCACTTATGCCATTAATTCAGGATTTTTTTCTATTTTTTTATTTTTATTATTACTATGTTCTTCTATCCTGTAATTTAGCAACAAATTTTATATATGTTAGCTGTACATATTTTGTGTCTACTACTGCTTTGATCTCTTTGTCTTATGTGTTCACTGATTATATTGTCTTTCTTCCTTGAAATTATGTAATTCATATTTAATTAAATTAATTTATTTAATTTTATTTTGTCACTTACTGTTTCTAGTTCATCTTTTAGTTTCATAAAGGCAGATTTTGGACCTCTGGTTGTTTCCTGAACTCTAGAAATTGTCTTTGTATCTCATTTTGGTGTTCATTTCCTGGATTTAATCTCTTGATTTATTCAATTTGTGCTTTTATTAACTTCAACAATGTAAAATAATAATGTGAAATTTTCTTTTGTTTTAATTATGTTTTCTCTTCAACTGAATACTCTGTATTTTCCATTCTATATTTCTTTCTCTTTAGGACTGGGGGAGAAGGCTGTTGTATTTACCCAGTCACTCATCTGCATCTTTTCAGTTTGCTCATGCTAAAGTGAGCTGATCTATGAGAAGAATGATGAATTTTTCCTCATTCAATTCCCACCTTATCTGAAACCTGCTTATCTTCCTCTGAGACAATTTGCGTGATTATTTGCGTGATTAACAATAGTGTTTCATCCATTTTAATGTAGTTCATTCATATTACTATAGCTTGAGGCCATGAGACTAATCGGAAAAGTTTATGTAGGGATTTATACGGTATTTTGAGAAGAGGGAGCTTCACTTTCTCATCAAAGATTGTATTGAATGTTATTAGAATCCACAACATTATGTTCTTATGTGTATATATTGGGCACCAAAGCAGGATAACCTATTCTAAGTTGCTTACCTCAGGATACCGGTAACTCTTCTATTATACTTTAAAGCTATAGGTTTATTTCAGTTCCACTTTTTATGTCCCATCCCACTAATCTATCCCTAGTGGTTCATTTTCTGTCAGAGCCACAGGCCTACCCAATAAATTCTGATTCAGTGTATGTAGTAGAGACTACAATTTGTACTTTTCCAGTAATTGTTTCTTTATATATTTTTCAGCCCTATACCCTTTCTGTAACTCCAATTACACATATTTTAGCCCACTTGATAATTGCCCCACGTTATGATATTCTGTTCATTTTTTTCAGTCTTTTTCTTTCCATTTTTTTTTAATTTTTACTTTAAGTTCTTTCTGTGCTTTTATTTGCAGATTTTATATTGACATATCTTTACTTTCATTGCTCTTTTTTTTCCTGCAGTGGCTAATCTGCTGTTAATCCCATCCAGTGTATTTTTCATACCAGACATTGTATTTTTGATCTCTAGAAATTTGATTTGCATCTCTTTTATGCCTTCTATGTCTTTATTATTCTCATGTCTTCTACTACCTTCTTAAATGTATATAGTATATTTAAATAGCTGTTTTATTATTCTTGTGTACCAATTCTATCAGCTGTTACTTTTCAGGGTCTCTTTCTGTTGATTGATTCTCCCAGACACCCCCCACTCGCCTCATTATGGATCACATTTTGCTGCTTCTTTGCTTGCTAGATAAGTTTTTATTACATGTCAGAGATTGGACATCTTATGATGTTTACACATTTAAATATTGTAAATATTTTTAGGAATTTGTTCTGGGAAACAGATAAGTTACTTGAAAACAATTTGAACTTTTTGAACTGGTGTTTAAGCTTTGTCAGACTGATACAGAACACCCTTTATTTTAGGGCTAATCTGGTTTCACTCTTGAGGCAATACTCTGCTAAGAACTTTGACGGCATGTATGTTAAGAGGTCTTTCCATTTTTGTTTGTGAACTATTCTTGGTTCTGTATGATCCTTAAACATTGTTCTACCTGTTGCTTTATGTTGATTCTTCTCCCAGCAATGGTTATTTACCCTGAACACATGAATTTATCAGTACTTTGCTGTTGACTCAAGGGGAGTCCCCTGTACATCTGCTCAGTGCTACTACCCCTCCTAGCCCCCGATCCCCACTTACTTTTCTCTTTTTCTCATGCATTGTTTAGGCAGAAGGTAAATTAGGTCCCTGTCACTTCACCATGCCTGGAAGCAGAAGTCTTCTCACCATACAATTTAATCAAAATGTTTCAAAGAGGACTTGCTTTGGACCCAACTATTTTGCAGAAATGGTTACCAAAGGTAAAATTGTAGCAACAAAGAGAAAAATCTCTGGTATCATCTTTAGATCCTGGTGAAGGAAGAAAAGGGGAGTAAGGAGGGATGTCTCCCAGCAGCATTATGTCCTCCTCACAGCTCTTTCTATGCCACCACACTCAAGACTCTAATTTCACCTCTCTACCCTCTTATTTCACCCACCCCCAACTTTTAGCATGTAGGCCTTACATATCTAACAAATATGATGAATGAGACTGTCCATGCCTGGTGATGGAAACTACAGAGAAAAATATATATATATACACATATACATAATATATACACATATATAATATATATACATATACATATATATACACATATATATACATATGTGTATGTATATACATATATACATATGTGTGTATATATGTATATACATATATACATATATGTATAGATGTATATACATATATATACATATATGTATAGATGTATATATACGTATGTATGTGTATATATATATACACATACATACGTATATATACATCTATACATATATATAATATATATATAAATATGTATATATATCCTTATTTTCACTTCAGTTGGTAGGAGAGGAGATGAGGTGTGTTTGACAGTTGACTTTGGAATTGCATGGAGAGGCTTTGACGGCCTTTCCTTTATATATCATCCAATGCATAATAACTTAACTTGGGAATTTTAGTTTCTTCTTCTCTGACATTAAACTCTTGAATCACACAACATCCAAATAAATGACCATTGTAGTTCTGTCATCAGTGCAGACATGCTCTGGGAGCCATTTAAAGGATTAGAGCCACATCAGAACCTCGTTTAAGCACAATTTACTTTCTAAAGCCGTATCACCCTGATTAGCTAAATTAGTAGTTCCTAAAGAGGTCTCCTGATTTTAAATGAGTCACTTTACTTGTAATGTTTAGCAATAAGCCTTAATTTACTGACACCTTCTTCTACAATTCTGATTCACGGGTGTTTTCTAAAGTCCGATAGAATAATTGGTTCTCAAGAAAATAATACTACTTTGAAAATAGACTAGAACACAGCTTGTCTTTCTATGCTCCATCTGCTCAACCTCATCTTATTAAATTCTAGGAAATCTACACACTGAGTTTTAAAATGCCATGTTGGACTCCTGAGTTTTTTTAATGTGTTATTTCTTTGATTGCATTTGTTGACATTTTAGTGTCAAAATATGAAGGTCTAAGTTCTAATTAGAGAAGCACTGGCCATAGTTGTGCAACACTTGAGATTTTCATCAAATTCCTAAGTTGAGAGTATCATAAAGCTGGGTTTCTGAAGCAAGTATTTTATTTGGATGAAGTTTGACTCAAGCTGGTCAGCATCAGTCCCAAACTTGACCAATTCAAAGAGCAACCACTTAGAGAAATTACAATGCATGACCTCAACACATAGTTATAAGATATGACTTAGTAATGATTTCAGCTATAGTTTGTTTTAGGAAAATAACATGGTGATTAGCAGTATGAGCTTGGTCCTTTGATGCCATAATTGGGGTAATATTTAACCTACTTTAAACACACACACACACACACACACACACACAATCATAAGCATGCCTTTTCTGAAATATTCTGAAGAGATGATGCACTTGGGATTGAGGAGAAAAAAATGCAAAGATAGAAAACCTCAATATTTAGCTTTATACTCAATGCTACCCCTTTAAACTAATGATAGTTAATTTTCTCTTGGTGGGCATTAATCAGTCTACCAGAAGTTACCCATGATATGAAAGCATCATGAAGCATTAGGCCTGAAAGAAGTCATTAAAATCATCTCTAGTCCAATTTTCTCTCTTGACAAATGATATCCCAAGGCCGGCCTAAATCCAGGCAAATAAACATGAAAAGCAATGGAGTTAAGTCCAGGTCTTCCAACTGCCAGTCCAGTGCTCTGTCTCCCTGTGTACTAACCAGGGTGAGGAGAAAGTATTTATTCAAAGGAATGACAGCTGAGTCAGGGTACTGATGATTAATACTGTACAACTAATAGCAGTCTCACTGAGTGATGGGAGTAAAGATGCATTTTTCTGCTATTCTGCAGATTTCAAATTTTAAATTAGCACAAGTTATTTTTAATATTGGCTACAAAATTAATTGAGCAAAGCTTTCATGGTAGTCTACCGAATTTAGAAAATACATTTGAAAAGATAGCAATTTTATACTTGGATTGAGATTTTTAGAGTTCACAAAAATATCTTATTTGAGAAATATTTGTAGCAAGTCTTGGAATTCAGATAAAATTTCATAATAGCAGCATTATTATGCTTGCTTGTTTTTAGATTTAGGGCACATTTGTTGTGAGAGACGGTGTGTGTGTGTGTGTGTGTGTGTGTGTGTGTGTGTGTGTGTGACGATAGCTCAGAATTGATCTTGATGTATATCTTATGGCCAGACATGTGGTAGCAATGCCTGGTGATATAGTGGCCTTTCCTTTTGCCTTCTTCAATCAATTCAACTGGCCATGATAACCCTATAACCTAGCTAACCCCTTATTATTTCAGAGAAAATTCTGACTTAGTTTTAATATTCAACTAGTGGTTGTGAATAATAATTTTATGTATCAACTTGACTGGGCCATGGAGTACTCAGATATTTGCTCAAACATTATTTCAGATGTTAGTGTTATTTCAAGTATTTTTGGATGAGAAAAACATTTTAATTTGTAGACTAAGTAAAGCAGATTATCCTTCCTAATGTGGTGGACCTCATTCAATCACTTGAAGGCCTCAATAGAATTTAAAAGGTTAACCTTCCTCCGAGAGAGAGAATTCTTCCTTCCTGGCAACCTTCAAACTGAGACACGAGCTTTTTCCTCAAATTCTAATGGAGACATCAGCTCTGTTCTTGGGAATTACCAGCCTCAATAATCATGTGAGCCAATTCCTTATTTCTCCTAGTGATCCTGTTTCTCTGAAGAAGCCTATATATAATGTTTTCCCCCAATTTTCCAAAATATGAAAGGTAGCTTTTGAATGGCAAGTTTGAAAATTAAGCAATAAAACATATTTCTAGCTTGTCATGAGAAATAAAATTATTAGCCTACAAATTTTAACAGTTTAATTTAAGCAAAAATATACAATGGATAGTTCATTTACTCATATGTAATAAGATAGGCAAGAATAGAATGCTTAAAAGCAAAAATTAGGGACAAAGAAGTACATTTATTAAAATATAGTAGTTGAAATTTGAACGTGTCAAATAATTAGAAGATAAAGTTGAGTAAATCCCCAAGAAAGTAAAGCAAAAACAAAGATTTTTCAATTAAGAGACAAAATATATCTAGATTGCTTCCCTCTTTCTTCCTCTCCCCTGCTTTGCCCACATAAATCTTATGCATTGTCTATACTCAATTCAAAGTCCCGAAGTCATCCTGCACTCACCACCACCACCACCTTTCCAATTCCCTTCAGAATGGACTAGATCTCTCTCTCTCTTTCCACACTAGCCTGCTCAGTCCTTAGCTATGCCACTTGTTGTTGTTCTACAATGATCTTTCCTCAGGTGAAGATCATGAGGACATATTCACCTTTGTATCACTAGCATCTATCACCATGCCTAGTACACAGTAGACACATAATAAATGCAACAGAATTTTCATTTGAAAATATGGAGAGTAATACCAAGCCTGTAAAGTGCTATTAGGAGGGTTAAAGATAATGCCATGAAACATCCAGCACATATTTTGGTCCATATAGTAAGCGCTCAACAAATTGAAATGAACAGTGTGGTAGTGTTATTGGAACTGGTAGTGAAAGCAAAATTGAACACAGAAAAGGTGATGATTTAACAGGATGTGGTAATAGTAGTAGCAAGTGCTATTAGTAATCTGCTAGTAGTAACTGTGCTAATTGGAGAGACACATATGGAAAAGGAATAAAAGTAGTACTTGTCAGGGGGTCAGCATATTCCATAAGAGGGGACTTCCATTAGAGAGATAATAAAAGGAAGGAAGATTATCCCTGACCTCTACCTGTCTTTCTTGTGCCTTTGGACCTGCTACTTACAGATACATGTCATGTTACATCCTACCTTCCAAAGCCTCTGCTACCCTCTCTAAAGTCTATGATGAGAAATCTTGCTTTTATTATGACATCTAGCAGGGGAACCTTAGGAAGCAGTGTTTATGACCAGTGTGAATCTTTCCAAGTAGCTAAGTCTGTTCTTTTCCCACTCACACCAACTCTTGGTGCTGGTTCACCCCTCACAGTTTGCTCTGACCCCAAACCAGGTCATTTATAGCCAAATCTTGACGTACAACACCTTGAAGTCTTAGTATATCAAAGGAGATACCTACTTCAAGTATAATAATCTAGCACTTGTCACTTTATAAACTGTCTGTTCATAAAATAGAGACAATGATCTTAGAGAAGAAAGTAATGGAGTTAGGAAGTTAAACTTTGGGGGGAAGTGTTCATTTCAATTCAATGGTATCTATTCAATTTCCATTGTGTACTGGGTATGCCACTAGATGCTACAGAGGATACTAAGGTAAATTTGACAATTCTGATTCTCAAGCCACTTAAAATTGTATCAAATAAGATGAAGTTCAACAATTTCATTTTAAAAAATCTGACTTCCAAAATTCATGTCTTAGCTTAATAGCTGTTATGATGTGTTGTCATTTAACGTAACTAACTCAGCATAAGCAGCAAGAAAACTTTCCCAATTGTACAGAGACTTTTAAGCCCTGGAGAAAAGCAGCACTTTGAGGAATAATATTTTATTAGTTTAAAAGTAACTAGCCATTTTTCACTTATGTGTGGTACATACATTCTTCCTCACTTATAAACTTGTGTACAGATAGGCTGGAATCCCTGAATAAGCGTACACAACTTTCTAACAGTTATTTGTCTTCAGAAGTCCTTCTAGGCCCACATTAATAATGACGGAAATTTCACTAGTTCATAACTATCTCAGATAAGACCAGTTGTCCTCTTTAACTCTTTAATTCTTCTCCTTAACTTGCCAAATTAGTAAGTTGAATTCTTTTGGAATTACATATTTAAGCCTTCTAAAATCTGTGCCTGCAATGTTAGCCCTACTGTTATTTCAAGGCCAACATTTACTAAGGTAGGAGCACTTAAGAAACCTCAGAATGCTACCCCCTTTCTCTTCTGCCCTCACAACACACACACACACACACACACACACACATATACACACACACCCTCTATAGTCTTGAAGTGTGAAACAGTATTACAGGATCTAATTGAATTATTCTTGACACTTTAAGTGATGGTCATTCGGCCCTCATCTCAGCTCAGATGCATTCTCTAACTTGCTATATACAATGGATTCTGCATTGTAATGTTTCTTATTGGTTTCTGTTCTAGTCCCTGTTTTAGGGAGCTTATCCATTTCCTACCCTGATCTCATCCATACGCCTCTGTTTGAAAACTTTTTTGTCTCATAGTAAGGACTTCTTAGAGTAACAAAGCTATTTAGAGTAACTGTCATATAATTATGAAAGAACCCCTGAAAAAGTAAAACAATAAAATTTAAAAGGCCAGTTTTTTTTCCTTATGGAATTGATTTAGCTTGCAAAATACTTACTCTATTGATCTTACTTTTCTAAAATCCAAAAGGGTCTGAATTGCAGGACAAAGCTGGTCCTGGAGTTTCTAGTGCAAAACTATGGCCTGTAATTCACACCTAGAACAGTCCCATCAAATTGCCATGACATAATAGATCTGACTTGTCGCCTTGATAGCCCTTTAATTTCTTTTTTTTTTTTTTTGAGACGGAGTCTCGCTCTGTCGCCCAGGCCGGACTGCGGACTGCAGTGGCGCAATCTCGGCTCACTGCAAGCTCCGCTTCCCGGGTTCACGCCATTCTCCTGCCTCAGCCTCCCGAGTAGCTGGGACTACAGGCGCCCGCCACCGCGCCCGGCTAATTTTTTTTTGTATTTTTAGTAGAGACGGGGTTTCACCTTGTTAGCCAGGATGGTCTCGATCTCCTGACCTCATGATCCACCCGCCTCGGCCTCCCAAAGTGCTGGGATTACAGGCGTGAGCCACCGCGCCCGGCCTTAATTTCTTATTATAAATGTTGCCTTTCAATTTCTTGCTTACCAAGCAAAACGCCTATTTGCTGACATCTGAAACATTCTGCCTCGTCAGCTAGTGACCACTGCCACCAGCCTCATTGCTATTCAGTGAGAGGCCTGCCATATGTTTGCAATATTCTGTCTATTCTCTGGGAAGAGAGTGGCAAGACCCAGGAGCAAACTTGTGAGGGAGAAAGGGAGCAAAGATGCATAAGCCCATCTTAGACTGCTCAGGTTGCCCTAACAAAATACCACAGACTGGGTGACTTAAAGAACAGTCATGTATTTTCTCACAGTTCTAAAGCCGGAAGTTCAGGATGAAGCAGTCATCAGGGACAGTGCCTGGCAAAGGCTCATTTCTTGGGTTGCAGATGGCCACTTTCTCCCTGTGTCCTCACAGGGAACAGAGAGAGCTCTTCCTCTGCTTACAAGAGCACCAGCCCTATCAGATTAGAGCTCTAACCTTACGACCTCATTTAACCTTTATCACCTTCTCAAAAACTCTATCTCCAAATATAGTGACATGGAGGGTTAGGGCTTCAACATATGAACATAAGGGAGGAGGGGCACACAATTCCCCCCATAGAAACACCTGATAAAACAAGAGAGATGATTGAGAAAAAATAAATCATCAGAGGTAATATTTGAGGGTTTTTTGACTTTTATTTTAAATTTATGGTTACAAATGCAGGTTTGTTACATAGGTAGTGTCATAGGAGTTGGTTGTGCAGATTATTTAATCACCCAGGTATTAAGCCTAGTATCCATTAGTTATTCTTCTGATCCTCTCCTTCCTCCCACCCTCCAGCCTCCAAAAGGCCCCAGTATGTGTTGTTCCCCACTACGTGTCCATGCATTCTCATCATTTAGCTCCCACTTATAAATGGAAATGTGTGGTATTTGGTTTTTTGTTCCTTTGTTAGTTTGCTAAAATTAATGGCCTCCAGCTCCACCCATGTCTCTGCAAGGGACATGATCTCATTCATTTTTATGGCTGCATAGTATTCCATGGCATATATGTACCACATTTTCTTTATCCAGTCTATTATTGATGGGCATTTAGGTTGATTCCACATCGTGCTATTGTGAGTAGTGCTGCAGTGAACATATGCATGCATGTGTCTTTATAATGGAATGATTTAAATTACTGGGTATATACCTAAAGGAATATTTGAGTTTTTTTTATAATACAGTAAACAAATGAGAAAGTAATGGCATAAATGAAAAAAAAAAAATGTGCATCATATAAAAAAATAGTAAAACAGTGCAGGCTCAGTCACTGTCAGGCCAGATGAAACAGAAAGTCATGTATTTAGCATATGTCATTCCATGGCTGAGTGTAAACTACAAAGGGCAGTGTGCTGTATGTCAAAGGTCTGAATGCCTAGAGATTTTCTCTCAAGGTTTGTAGATAGTTGTATTGAAGGTTATAGCTCATTATCTACAAGCCAGCTATTGTTACAGAAAACACACATCTTCCTAGAGCTGCGTAAATAATCCATTCCCTCAACCCACATATCTACAACTTGTTCTAGGGGCCCCAGGGGCAAGGGGGACTCAGAAAACGGAAAAAGAGAATGGGAGAAAGGGGAGGGGAAGAAAGGAAAAAAAGAGAAGCAGAACTTCCTTGGCCAATTTCTACTCCTAGCACTAAACAAAGTCATTTCCTGGAAGATACAGAATGGTTCAAGATTATTAACTAGCGGAAATGTGACCTTGCAGGCCCAGAATACCGCTGCAGTGACAATTATTAAATCATGATGAGAATGATCTATATATCCTGGCCGAAAGCCAAATATGCTTACAGCAATTTAAAACTATGTCTACAAAATCTTTGCTTCTTCTCTGAAAGGTGAGGTCTCATTTCTCTTCCCTTGAATGAAAAATGTGCTTGGTGATTTGCTTTTAATAAATAAACAGTGGTGGAAGCGACAGTATGTGGCTTCCAGGCCTAGATCATACAAGGCATTGTGTCTCCCTTGCACTCTCTTCAGATCGTCCACTCTGGGAGGAGCCAGCTGTCATGTTGATAGGACACACCAACAGCCCTAAGGAGAGTGCAGTGAGGAACTGAGACCTCCTGCCAAATGCCAGCAAGGAACTGAAGCCTGCTGCTGACAGTCCTGTGAGTATGGCATCTTGGAAGTGGATCTTCCCAACTATGCCCTCATGAGAGACCCTAGAAAAAAACACACAACTAAAGTGTTCCTGAACGCTTCACCTACAGAAACTGAGACCATAATTGTTTGTTTTAAGCTTCTAAGTTTAAACTGCTAAATTTACTAAATGAAAGAGTAAATATTTGTTATTTTAAGCTGCAGTAATATATAACTAATGATATCTCATATGTCTGCGTCTGTTCAGGCTGCTGTAACAAAATACAATAAACTAGGTAGCTTATAAACAACAGAAATTTGTTTCTCACAGTTCTTGAGGCTGGAAGTTTCAGGCACCAGCAGATTGGGTGTCTGGTAAGGGCCTGCTTCTTGGTTCCCAGAATGGCAGCTCCTTGCTGTATCTTCACATGGTGGAATGGGGGAAGAGAGTTCTCTGAGGCATGTTATGTAGGGGCACTAATGCCATTAATGAGGGCTCCACTTTCACAGTCTAAGCACTTCCCAAGGTCTCACCTCTTAATACCATCACATTGGTAGTTAGGATTCAACATACGAATTTTGGAGAGGCACAAACATTCAATTCATGACAATATTTAATATATCTAATAACTAATATACAGTATATATTTAGTAATGTAAAATATCTAATAACTAATATAATAGCTAATATTTAAAAGAAGGGAAATTGTTTATTGACTAACAAAGCATTGATCAGGTTTCATTTGTGTTTCTATTATCAACTCCACTTATGTATTTAACTTAATCATTCTGCTTTCATCCCAGTCAATGGTGCCTATCAGTGGATGAAAAGGTGACTAAATTTAATAAGTCCTTGAAACTTTTGCCTTTGATTTTTGTAGCAGAAACCTTGGCCCAGTAAATGAGAATCAAGTCACAGTGTAAACAAATTAAAATTAATAGTAGGAAAAAGTAATTTTCTCATGTTCAAATTCTTTTATTAGTTATAAAACAAGCCTGTCTTCAGTTTTCAACAACCCAATTTATATGATCTTCAGGTCAAGGATAACTATATTGCTATAGTAACTACACATTAGGAAATATTTGGAATTATAAAAAGAATAACTACAAATTGGCTTCATATGAACCCTGATTGAAATAGACTGATAGGTTCCAAATATGTTAGGCCAAGAATATTTTTTTCTAGTAAAACAATATAGAGAAAAATAATAAATTCAAAGCAGATCCTTGCCCCACCCACAGATCATCCCTGGGATACTTCAGTAATTTGGGGCCTGTAATATAATCATTTGTCTACTCCCTCAGAAAAGCTTAAAAAGAAGGTCTGGCATCATTAGATCTGTTTGGCTGGTCTCAGGAGTTAAAATCCCCGGACATAGAAATTGTTGAGCAGTTAGAAAGATGAGAAAAGCTCTGTTCTAAGGGCTAATCTAGTAAGAAGTTTACTATATTACCTGATTTTTTTTTAGAAATATCAAAAGGAATATATTGCTCTTTTTTGCCTTTTAAGGACCATTAACTGCTAACTTGAGCTGCTGAAGCCTTCCAGGCATCTTTTTCAAATGTGACTAAGTCTAAGGTTTAATGTCCAAAGGCCAGATCATTTATCAGGCCATTCTCCAGCAGGTAAGCTAGCAGAAACAAAGAGCATTGTGGGTAAACTGTGAAGGTGGCAAAAAAAGAATGCAAGGAGATTGTTGCTTAAGGCAGTGGTTCCAAATCCTGCCACTGCCAATCTACAACCAAGTATTCCCTGAACCAGGGTCAAGTAAGAAGCATAAGGTAGATGACAGTTTTTATAAGTAGAAAAATCTATTCTATTGTTTTAAAACAGTCTTTTAATATAACTTATTAATCTCCTCTATTTGTTAGAGTGTTACAATACCCTTTGGTATATAAAGTGATAATTTTACTTGTGTGTTTTTTAAGTGTTCTTAGTGTGTAAAATAAAGTATAACAGCCTTTTGTGCTACTACCTCATAAAATCTTACAGATGATCCATCAAATCCATGAGTCTGCAAATGACTGGCTGGTATTGAAAATTATGAATGAGTGTGTATTCATTTGTTCTCACATGGCTATGAAGAACTATCCAAGACTGAGTAATTTATAAAGGAAGAGGTTTAATTGATTCACAGGTCTACATTGCTGGGGAGGCTTCAGGAAACTTACAATCATGGTGGAAGGCAAAGGAGAATCAGGCACCGTCTTCACAGGGTGGCAGGACAGCATAAGTGCAAGCAGGGGAAATACCAGATGCTTATAAAACCATCAGATGTCATGAGAACTCATGAAACCTCCCCCATGATCCAGTTAACTCCACCTGGTCCTGCCCTTGGCACATCGGAATTATGGGGGTTACAATTCAAGGTAAGATTTGGGTGCAGACACAGAGTCAAACCATATCAGCATGAATCAATGAATGAATGAAGCAGTCAATTAACCAGTGAATGAATGAAAGCAACAATGGTAATATGGAGTTGCTGGAAGCTAAGGCTGGGATCCGTCTTGAGTGGACAGAGGAAACTATAATTATCAGAGCCCTCTTTGGAATAAGGTGTTGTGAAGAGTCACTAAGGACAAAATTTGCCTCTATCTACTTTACCGAAGATGGTAGTCTTATGATCTGTAAACTAGACTTATCTGATTCCAAGTGTCTTCATCTGACCTGTGACAAGGCATTTGGAAATTAAATCTGGGGTTATTGATTCTAGGGATACAAAACAGAAGCAGTCTTCAGAGCCTTCCAGACCACTTAACGTTCACGCACTTTGAGAATATATTTTGCAATCCATGCTGTCTAGGCCTCTCTTACTTTCCAAAAGGTATTCAGTATAACTTTTCAAGTCACTCAAAAAGAACCTCCTGCCACTTAATCCCCTTTGTGGCTTCTTTCAGAAACTTTAAGCAGAATCAGTATTTCCATGAAGAAATTCAAAACAGTCAAAGCATTGATAATACTAGCAGTAATAAGCTAATATTTATTGAATACCTACAACATATTGGGCACTTTTCTTAGCACTTTCTATATATTAAGACATTTACTCAGTCATCCTAGCAACCCTACAATAAAAGTTTTAGTTACTAACTTTAGACTTTTATTGCAGCACAAGACTATCAGATTATATATTTTTTTCTGTTAGGTACTGTTCACACAGTGAGGTTTGTCTTATTTCTCCCCTAAATTTCAAAGCTGTTCTCACTTTACTCCTTCTTTTAAATTTGGCTCATCCTTATCTCTGGGACAGATTCTGTGCTGGTCACAGGAACTTTCAGGAACTTTAAGGCATAGCTTAGAGAATTAAAAACCCAGGTACCCTGGCATCTGCTCCTTCTCTGACTGTTGTTCTGATCCCCAAGAATTAGGCTCTTTTCTTATTCCTAGTGGCTAAACTCTGGCTGTCTGATTATTTTTATGGTGTAAGTCTTTCCTTTGGTTTCTTGGATGGTTTCTCAGTTTTTATGAGGTAAAAATAGCCACAGTTCTGCCCTAAATTCCAGGAACTTGTCCCCAATAATTACAGTTGTTCTTCTCTTATGTTAACTCCTGACCTGCCTGAATTTCTGCCTGCTGTCAATTTTTTGGAGCTATCACTTTTCCTTCCCCAGGAGGTTGATCTAATCCCTAAGACTTTTCTCATTCCCATATGACTCCTTATTTTCCTTAAGACTAAATCTCTAAAAATCAGTACCCTTGAGTAATTTCCCGTATTGAATATGCACACGTTTATTAGTTTGTTGTTTTTAATTTAATATTAAAGATTAATTTCAATTTTCTAGCACTTGATACTCATGAGAAGGTTAACTCTCCTCAGGTAGCTGTGCTTGTTCCATAATGTCTTATCTTTGGTTAGGTTATAATCAAATTCAATCGTTTTATGGTTGGGAGAATTGCCAGGAAAGACAAGAAGAATTACATATATTTTCAGATTAATTAAAAATCTAAAATATTGTCAACTGTGGTAGAGTTTCATAGTAATAATTTGAACAACTTATTTTAAATCAATGTTTATTGCATCTCAAAAGGACCTGTGATAGGTTCTGTTGTCACTAGTTAAAGAATAAAAGGTATTATCCCTTTCACTATATTTTCTTAAGTTAGATATTTAGATGAACAGAGAAATGATATGAATACCCATTATTTTCATGTGTATTACTTTATAAGTATGCATGCTAGTAAAGTTTTGATCAGCTTTTCAGAAGTAGGTTTTAGATTCAAGTAAAAGCACAGTGAAGAAAGACTAGCAGTCCTTTGGAGATGTTTGTAATGTCAAAATAGATATTGGTATGTCTTTGTCTCAGGTCAGCCCAAGACAGATTTCTGGCTCTTCCCCTCATAACCAATTAGTAATTGATCAACTTCAGTATCTTATAATGTAAGATGTTCCACTCCAGTTATCCAAGTCACACCCAGAAAGGTGGTAGAAAGATAATTATGGAAGCACAGGTGAAAGAAAAGGAAGAGTGAATGAAAGCAGAAAATAAGAAGGGGAAAAAGACAGAAAAATGAAAGCATTGCAAGAGCAAAGAGTTGCCTATGAGGAAAAAAAAAAGATGAGTGAGAGAAAAGAAATTAAAGATGCTTCTAGGGATCACAAGAAATGGAAACGAACTAAGTTCAAGGAATTAAGGTGGTATGGTTTGGCTCTGTGTCCCCACCCAAATCTCATCTTGATTGTACCCCCATAATTCCCACGTGTTGCAGGAGGGACCCAGTAGGAGATAATTTGAATCATAGGGGTGGTTTCCCCAATACTGTTCTCATGGTAGTGAATAAATCTCATGAGATCTGATGGTTTTATCAGGGGTTTTCACTTTTGCATCTTCCTCATTTTTCTCTTGCCACCGACATGTAAGAAGTGCCTTTCACCTCCCACCATGATTCTGAGGCCTCCCCATCCATGTGGAACTTACTGTAAGTCCAACTAAACTTCTTTTTCTTTCCGGTCTCGGATGTCTTTATCAGGGGCATGAAAATGGACTAATACAGTAAATTGGTACCAGTAGAGTGGGGCATTAATGAAAACATACCCAAAAATGTGGAAGCGACTTTGGAATTGGGTATCAGGTAGAGGCTGGAACAGTTTGGAGGGCTCAGAATAAGACAGAAATATGTGGGAAAGTTTGGAACCTTCTAGAGACTTGTTGAATGGCTTTGACAAAAACATTGATAGTGATATGAACAATAAGGTCCAGACTGTGGTGGTCTCAGATAGAGATAAGGAACTTGTTGGGAACTGGAGCAAAGGTGACTCTTTAGCAACGAGACTGGCAGCATTTTGCTCCTGCCCTAGAGATTTGTGGAACTTTGAACTTGAGAGAGATCATTTAGGTTATCTGGAAATTTCTAAGCAGCAAAACATTTACAAGGTGACTTGGATGCTATTAAAAAGCATTCTGTTTTAAAAAGGAAATAGAGCAAAAAAGTTCAGAAAATTTGCAGCCTGATGATGCAGTGGAAAAGAAAAACCCATTTTTTTGAGAAGAAATTCAAGCTGGCTGCAGAAATTTGCATAAGTAACAAGGAGTCAAATGTTAATCCCCAAGACAATGGGGAAAATGTCTCCAGGGCATGTCATAGGTCTTCATGGCAACCCCTCCAATCACAGACCCAGAAGCCTAGAAGGAAAAAATGGTTTCGTGGGCTGGGCCCAGGGTTCTCATGCTGTGTGCAGCCTAGCGACTTGGTGCCCTGCATCCCAGCCACTCCAGCTGTTGCTAAAAGGGGACAGGGTAAAGCTCAGCCATGGTTTAAGAGGGTGCAAGCCCCAAACCTTGACAGCTTCCATGTGGTGTTGAGCCTGCAGGTACACAGAAGTCAAGAATTGAGGTTTGGGAACCTCCACCTAGATTTCAGAAGAAGTATCAAAATGTCTGGATGCCCAGGCAAAATTTACTGCAGGGACAGGGCCATCATGGAGACCCTCTGCTAGGGCAGTGCAGAAGGGAAATGTGGGCTTGGAGCCCCCACACAGAGTCCCTACTGGGGCACCACCTAGTGGAGCTGTGAGAAGAGGGCCACTGTCCTCCAGACACCAGAATGGTAGATCTACTGACAGCTTGCACTGTGCACCTGGAAAAGCTAGACACTCAATGCCAGCCTGTGAAAGCAGCCAGAAGCAGGGGGTTACACCCTGCAAAGCCATAGGGGCAGAGCTGCCCAAGACTATGGGAACCTACCTCTTAGATCAGCATAACTTGGATGTGAGACATGGAGTCAAAGGAGATCATTTTGGAGCTTTAGAATCTGACTGCACCGCTGGATTTCATACTGGCATGGGAACTGTAACCCCTTTGTTATGGCCAATTTCTCCTATTTGGAATGGCTGTATTCACCAAATACCTGCACCCCCATTGTATCTAGAAAGTAACTAGCTTGCTTTTAATTTTACAGGGTCATAGGCAGAAGGGACTTGCCTTGTCTCCAATGAGACTTTGGACTGTGGACTTTCGGGTTAATGCTGAAATGATTTAAGACTTTGGGGGACTGTAGGAAGGCATGATTGGTTTTGAAATGTGAGGACATGAGATTTGGGAGGGGCCAGGGGCAGAATGATAAGGTTTGGCTCTGTGTCCCCACTCAAATCTCATCTTGAACTGTACTCCCATAATTCCTACGTGTTGTGGAAGGGACCCTGTGGGAGATCATTTGTATCATGGCTGTGGTTTCCCCCTACTGTTCTCGTGATAGTAAGTAAGTTTATGAGATCTGATGGTTTTATCAGGGGTTTCTGCTTTTACATCTTCCTAATTTTTCTCTTGATGCTGCCATGTAAGAAGTGTGTTTCACTGCCTACCTGATTCTGAGGCCTCCCCAGCCATGTGGAACTGTAAGTCCAATTAAACCTCTTTGTCTTCCCAGTCTTGGGCATGTACTTTATCAGCAGTGTGAAAATGGACTAATACATAAGGTGACCTTAGGAAGAGAGGAAATGGAATATGATGGGATAATTCATTCATTTATTAAGAATCCTCGATGTACTGTGTGCTAAGCACCATGACAGATCTTTTCTATAAGGTAAAGTAAAATATTGTTTCAGATTTCAAAAGACTTACAGTATGTTGTAAATATTAGTTCTAGCTAAGAATGAACTTGAAATATTCTGATTAGAGTTAGATGTATTGTCTGCTGTTGCACTGGCCCTTATCATTACATGAAGAAAAAAAAATTGTGAATGACTTTCTTTTTTTTAAGACAGTCTCACTCTGTCTCCCAGACTGAAGTGCAGTGGCACAATCTCGGATCACTGCAATCTCTGCATCCTGGGTTCAAGCGATCCTCCTACCTCAGCCTCTGGAGTTGCTGGGATTACAGGCGCAGGCCACCATGCCCAGCTAATTTTTTTTTTTTTTTTTGTATTTTTAGTAAAGACAGAGTCTCACCATGTCAGTCAAGTTGGTCTTGAAGTCTTGACCTCAAATGATCCACCCACCTTGGCTTCCCAAAGTGCTAGGATTACAGGCATGAGCCACTGTGTCCAGCCATGAATGACTACTTTTTAAAAGGCAAGACAACAGAGGCTGCTTAAAACAACAAATAATCACGAAATTATAGCAGGTTTCTGTATATAAAATATGATTAAATGGCACCAGGAAAGCCTTTATTGCCCTACATTTTCCCTTTGAAAGTGCTTCAATTTTTCTACGTTTTCAATCCATTCTTATAGCCCAGAAAAGTAGGAAGAAACATCCTTTTCCTGTCCCGTCTCAGGTTTCCATTTGTCCACAAAATAAGCACCACTAACTTCTTGTATGTAATGGGTTGAAGCATCCAAACTTCCTTCCATTTCTCATTTGCTTTTCCTATGTGAGAAGTGATTGATCTCGCTGAGCAGACTGTGTATCAGTCTGTTCTCACACTGCTATAAAGAAATAACAGAAGCTGGGCATGGTGACTCATGCCTGTAATCCCAGCACTTTGGGAGGCTGAGGCGGGTGGATCACTTGAGGCCAGGTGTTCAAGACCATCCTGGCCAACATGGTGAAACCCCTTCTCTACTAAAAATACAAAAATTAGCCAGGCATCATGGTGGGTGACTGTAATCCCACCTACTCAGGAGGCTGAGTCAGGAGAATTGCTTCAACCTGGGAGGCCAAGGTTGCAGTGAGCCGAGATGGTGCCACTGCACTACAGCCTGACAGAGTGAGATTCCATCTCAAAAAAAAAGAAAAAAAGAAAAGGAAATAAATATCCAAGATTAGGTCATTTATAAAGGAAAGAGGTTTAATTGACTCACAGTTATGCATGGCTGGGGAGGCCTCATGAAACTTACAATCGTGGCAGAAGGCAAATCACCTTCTTCACAAGGTGGCAGGAGAGAAGTGAGCAAAAGCAGGGAAAACTGCCTTATAAAATCATCACATCTCATGAAAACTCACTTACTATCATGAGAACAGCATGGGGAAAACCACCCCCAGAATCCAATCACCTCCCACGTAGTTCCTCCCCTGACACATGAGGATTACAATTCTAAATGAGATCTGGGTGGGGACACCGAACCAAACAATATCAGACAGTATGAATATGACTCCTGTTAATTCCTATTTTTCTATCAGGTGGGGTTATGTACTAAACATCTCTGTGTATGTATGGCCTCTCCTCCCTATTCCAGCTCTTAGTAGGCATGAGATATATAGCTGATTGAGTGAGCCTTCTCTGCAAACTGACACTCCCACATTGGGGTCTTAAGATGTGAACTTGGCAATGTGGTGAGGAATGCGGGTGGAGGAAGCATTTTACCAGATCCAGGCCAAACCCTCCAGTTCAGCTTTAGCTGCAATAAAGTGGTATTGGTCTCTATCTGACCCCTACACATATTTTTCAATTAGTCTAGTGTGTTATCATCGTCTTTAAACCATAAGGACGCTTTAGCTCAAATGAGCCTTCTATGTGGAAAGAGTGGCTAATTAAGCTCACGTGTGCCATTAATTCCTTGGTTTGAATGAGTACATAAGTTTCCTTCTAGAGAACAGGACCTAGAGGTTCTGTGGGGCAGAGAGAAAGGGAAGGCTGGAAGCTCCTCATGCTATGTTGGTGTCCTGCAATGAGGAAGGGGGTAGAGTTACTGAATAAGAAAAGAGAGACACAAGAGGGGGCGAGAGGACAGAAAAATCACACTATGCCATCAATACTTTCTTTACGAAAAGCTCTCATTTTAAGTGTTAACTAGTATCCCTTCCTAATAGATCCTTAGAGAACCTTGTCCCAGGGAAATTCATAAGCACTGTATTGAGATAACAATAACCACTTATTGCAAAGGGAGAGTTGCCCCTACCCCAGCAATAAACAAACAAAAGGAAATAAAACATTGAACAGATTATTTTATGTTCCTCTAAAGTTTTTCCTTTACCAAATTTATTTACTTTTGTGTTGATACAGAGAGCAGGTATCGTGTTAACCAATTTTTACAGATGAAGACCTTGAGGACTGGAGAAATTAAGGATATGGTTAAGCAATGATGAAACCATGATTCAAGTACAGTTCCATCTATTCATTTCTAAAGCCCTTTCCCCTGCAGGATGTCATGCCATGGTCTTGCTTTAATACTTCATTGCTATTCCCTGTTTCTGAACTGGCAAGTTACTCATCTCCTTTTTTTAAAAAAAAAAATACCATACAAATATATGGTCTCACTGAGGCCTTATATAAATTAAAAGACATCTTAGAGCACAAAGTATTTGAACTAAGGAGGCTGACCAGGACGGCTGAGACTGGGGAAACTCATCTAACAGTATGTATCATTGGAATTCTGCCTCAGTCCTGTCTGAGGCTCCATAGCAATGGTGCTGGCTTCTCTTCCCCTGCACTCACATTCACTCTAAAGTGCTTGGCCACCTTGCAGGAGGTGCAAGGAAGGTGACCTAAAATTCTTAGCACTCACCTACCACAAGGTTATTAAGAAGCTGAAGTTGAAGATGCTTTTGAAAATTGCAAGGAATTTTGGGGGAAGTTGTTGCTCTGTTAGTCTATCTATACCTTAGTGGGAGAACATGAGAAAGCAGAGAGGTGAGGTAAAGTGTGTGTAAAGGAAGAGCATGTGATGCTGACTCTATTCTGCAGTGCTGGATTCAGAGCCCAAAGCAAGAAGGATCAGAAAGAGGTGAATCTTTGACTGAGATGAAGGTGTATTGATGAATATACTGAATTGAACATAGTAATTACTGCACTGAAACCACCCTTGAGAACAAACTTACTGTAGCAGCATCTCCTCACTAGTACCCATAATTCCTTCATCTATGAGACTTCTCCAGTGATTCCTTGATGGTTCCATGCCCAGATCAACTTAATGATGTCTTTCTTGGCTCCTATTTCTAGGATGTGATGCATTACAAACCTACACTCATTATTTTGTCTTACCTGCCTGTTCCTCTAGTAGTCTCAGTTTCAGTTTACAACATCATCATCTACATGATGTCCCAAAATGGAAATCTCAGTCTATCCACAATCCCTACTTTCTACTCACTCCCATATCTAATAAGTGTAAAGGAAAGTAAAAGCAAAGGGAAATCCAACTCTCAAATCTAGTGCCTCCACCACCCCCCTTGTTTCCTCATTCTCTATGCCTGGAAAATTACAATAACCTCCTAACCAAACTTAGTCATCAGCTTCTCCCCACTCTAATGTGCCTCCAGAAAGCAGGATTGATTAAGCTCTCAACTGATGCTTAATACTCTATAAAATACAGCCAAAACTCCTTAGTAGAACACCAGCCTATCTCTTTAGTTTCACTTTTTATCCCTTCTTTAATCACTGAACTCCTTCCTTTTGGTCAAGCATGGCTCACCCTATCTTGACTTCGAGGTTCCCTGGATGCCCTTTCTTCTGTTGTTATGCACTTCTCCCATTTCAACTTGGAAAACCCAGCTTCTTTTGAAGATCCAGTGGGACTATTACCAGTTGTAAAACCTGGTCTCACATCCTCTTTGTGCTTACTGAGCACTATTGTACATGATTCCATGTACACATTATATTTTAATTATTAATTGTTTGTCTCCTTTTGCCCATAATCTGTAGGATCACAGCCACAAGTCACAAAAATGGAATCTTTCAGATTTAAGAAACAAAAAGGAAAATATATTGGGTAGTTGTTAGAATTCTCTGAAAGTCAAAGAACCAGGCTTCAAACAGTCTTGAGTATGTAGGTCTGCACAGCAGTAAGGATCACAGATAATATTATGTAACAGAACCAATCAGGAAAGGACTCTGCTGACATCATATTGAACAAAGGACACCATAGTTTACAGCCAGTTCTGAATAATAGATTCCCCTACTGGAACTACTGCTATCAATGCCAATGTGTATTTACTCATGTATTTGTCTATTGCTAGAAGGTTAGGTCTGGAGGACTTCACATGTTGTTTTGTTCCCTGTGGTATACCCAGAGCCTAGCACAGTGCCTGGCTTAAAATAGTGTTCGTGAATAGTATTTATATGTGTATATTTTCCTCTGCTTCTGCTTCTTTGCTCAATTAGCTTCTATTTCAAAGACCAGAGTAGGTGCATCTCATTGGTTGAGCCTAGGTCATGTGCCCAACCCCTCACTGCAAGGAAAGCTAGAAAAGCAAGTTTCTGGGGTTTTTAACAGTTATAGTGAGAGATGAATTCTGCCTCTCGATAAGATGAATGTAGACGATTAGAAAAGTTTCAAATAATGCAAATATCCACTAAAACTACTAGATACGTTTAAAACTTAGTTATTCAATTGTAATAACCCCATTGCTCAAAAGACCGAGGTGGCCACTGGCTTCTACATTGAACAGTGCTGATATAGAACATTTTCATTATCACACAATATTCTATTGAACAGTATTGGCCTAGACAAAACCCCTAATTTTATTAATGTGTAAAGTGAGGACCCTGGAGGTTAAATGGTGTATCAAGGTCACACAGCCAGCTAGTATCCAGTTCAAAATTAGATACCAAATTTCCTGACTCCATGTTTATTCCTCTATCACTACTTATTGTCTTTCAACTTACAGTTGTAAATGTTATGTTTATTTTGGTTCATTTCCTCAATTTGTCAAAAGCTTTTTGATTCCAAAGTCTGTGGTTTGTTGTGTTAGATTGCAGAATCGAAAAGTTTTAATGAAAAGCTTTCATGGCTATAAAGACCATTAGTAGCAGAGCCTGGATTAGAACCAGTGTTCACTGACTCCTAGTCTTCAAATGATTTGTTGCATAGAATGTTGAGAGAAAAAATCTTGAAGTTTTTAATTTAGCCAGTCATAGAAAGGGGACTAAACTCATGTACCACACAAATGGTGAGAGAGAAGATACCAGTTCGTTTTCAGCAATGGTCGTCTGAATTCCTGCCAATATCTACAGAGTGGCAGGGGCAATTTCAGCTACAGTTAAGAAGTTGATCTCTGACATGAAACACTACTTTTCAAGCATTTCCCAAAGGCTTGAAAAGTAGCTAGACAAACAGATTCAAAAGAAATATTGACAACCATGGGAACTCAAAGACTGACTTTCTTACTGCTTGCGGACACACTCACTGCACCCCTAATGACTATGAAAGCTGCAGAGAACACACCTGGTCTCTTAGGTGGCACTGTGGAGGCTCAAAGGAAGGCATCAGCCCCAGCAAGATTCTCATGCTTCTATCATAAACCCAAAGTGAGTGGGTACCAGCTGCCATAGACTGCTAGGTTACCAGCACTCTGAGGGTGATTCTGAGGGATGAAGATTCAAATATTTTACTTTTCTGCCCTGTTTTTTTAGTAGGATTAGGAAGCTACTATTCATACTGCCTGGAATAAATTATGATATCTAGAAACACTTATTTTATGCTCTCCAAATAGTACACAGCACAATGCTAAAAGAATGTAAGTGAATGGTACACCCAGCCTCTGACAGCTGAAGCTTTTGATCCTCAGCAGACCACATAGACATCATCTAAATAAGAATAGACATCATCTGAATAAGAATAAGGACAGACATCCCAGCTCATATCTCAAGCCTCTGCCTCTTCTGGTTCCTCACTATTTGGTGAGATGTGCCTCACCCTATATTTTAAAAATATTTTCTAGCTATTGGCTTGGCGTGATGGCTCACATATGTAATCCCAGCACTTTGGGAGACCAAGACAGGTAGATCACTTGAGGCCAGGAGTTTGAGACCAGCCTGGGAAACATGGAAAAACTCTGTCTCTACCAAAAATGCAAAGATTAGCTGGGTGTGGTGGCACACGCCTGTAGTTCTAGCTACCTGGGGGGCTGAGGCATGAGAATTGCTTGAACATGGGAGGCGGAAGCTTCAATGAGTGGAGATCATGCCACTGCACTCCAGCCTGGGGGACAGAGTGAAACTCCTCATTCTTTACATATCTTGAAGGCAGGGAATGAGGCTCATTCTTTTTATCTGTTGTTCATTCAATACTATTCATGAACACTATTTAAGTCAGGCACTATGCTAGGCTCTGGATATACCACAGGGAACAAAACAACATGTGAAGTGCTCCAGAGCTAACATTCTAGCAATAGACAAATAAATGAGTAAATACCCAGATAGAAGTACACAAATAGGAATAAGGGGTGATGAAGGCACATGCTGCTTTAGAGAGGATGGCCAAGGAAAGTATTTCAGATGAGACTATAGAAACCTGAGTAAAGTGAGGAAGTACATCATACATGTGTGTCTGGAAGAAGAGCTTTTCAGGCAGAGGAAAGAGCAAGGGGCTGATTCCACATGTATCCACAAACATAACATGACTACTTGTTACCTAATATGTACCTTACACAAAGGAGAGGGATGAGAAGACACAGATTCTGCAGACCAGAAGATCAAACAAATACAAAGACTAAAACAATAGGAAAATGGAGAAGAAATTGACTACCTACCCACAGAAGCATCTCCAATCCTGCTACACAGTATCTCTCAGATATGTGTGGCTCTTCTTTACACCACATAAATGCCTCACCATAAAACCACTAATACAATCCGTGCACCTTAAATATCAAAGCATATTTAAATTCACTCGACTGTACATATTTAAAGTCTAAGAACAGTTCAAAATATCATTTCCACAGCCCTTACTATCACCAGCCCCTTAAAGGGAAATTAAGAGGGTAAGGCAAAGCACTTCTCTATTTAGTGTGGTGAATTACCTCAGCAAAATAATGATGGAAGCAAAAACAATCACAAAGAAGATAGGCCAAGTTCCATTTCAACTGGAAAAGATCAGGGAAATATAGCACTGAGACTTGCTCATGTTTAAACTAAGGCAAGAACATTTGAAAGGCCTTCAGGTGCTCAACAGTTCTCCAGTCTAAAACAGTTTTGGAGGAGAATCCAGAGGCTTAAAAGACTGGGAACCAGGGGATTAGAGGATGATGAAGAGGGAAGATAAATGACAGTGACAACATACTAAAATTGTTAGCAATAATTGTATTAGTCCATTCTCACACTTCTATAAAGAAATATGCAAGACTGGGTAATTCATAAGGGAAAGAGGTTTAATTGACTCACAGTTCTGCTTGGCTGGGGAGGCCTCAGGAAACTTACAATCATGGTGGAAGGGGAAGCAGACATGTCTTACAGGATGGCAGGAGAGAGAAGAGTGAAGGAGGAACTTTCAAACACTTATAAAACCATCAGATCTCATGAGAAGTCACTCACTATCACAAGAAATACTGAGTTGGGAGAGGACCACCCCCATGATCCAATCACTTCCCTGCCTCAACTTGTGGGGATTACAATTCAAGATGAGATTTGGATGGGGACACAGAGCCAAACTGTATATTTCTGCCCTGGCCTCTCCCAAATCTCATGTCTTTTCACATTTCAAAACAATAATGCCTTCCCAACAATCCCCCAAGTCTTAACTCATTTCAGTATTAATTCAAAAGTCCACAAATGAAAGTCTCATCTGAAACAAGGCAAGTCCCTTCTGCCTATGAACCTGTAAAATCAAAAGCAAACTGGTTATTTCTGAGTTATAGTGGAAATAGAGACATTGGGTGACTCCCATTCCAAACTGGGAAATTGGCCAAATTTGCAAGGGGCTACAGGCCCATGCAAGTCTGAAGTCTGGCAAGGTATTCATTAAATCTTAAAGCTTCAAAATGATCTCCTTTGACTCCATGTCTCATATCTAAGGCATTCTGATGCAAGAGGTGGGCTCTCACAGCCTTGGGCAGCTCCACTCCTGTGGTTTTGCAGGGCTGGTGCCCCCAGCCCATCCCTGGCTGCTTTCATGTCTAGCATTGAGTGTCTGCAGCTTCTCCGGGCACATGGTGCAAGCTGTTGGCGTATCTCTTATCCTGGGGTCTGGAGGACAGTGGCCCTCTTCTTACAGCTCCACTAGGCAGTACCCCAGTGGGCACTCTGTGTGGGGGGTCAAGCCCCACATTTCCCTTCCACACTGCCCTAACAGAGGTTTTCTCTGAGGGCTCCACCTTCATAGCAAACTGCTGCCTGGACATCCAGGTATTTCCATACATCCTCTGAAATCTAGACGGAGGTTCCCAAACCTCAATTCTTGAATTCTGTGCACCTGCAGGCCTAATATCACATGGAAGCCACCAAGGCTTGGGTCTTGCACCCTCTGAAGCAATGGTCCGAGCTGTGCCTTAGCCCCTTTTAGCCAAGGCTGGAGTTGATGTGGCTGGGATGCATTACACCAAGTTCTGAGGTTCCATAAAGCAGCACAGCCCTGGGCCTGGCCCACAAAACCATTTTTTTCTCCTGGGCCTCCAGGCCTGTGATGGGAGGAATGGCTGTGAAGGTCGCTGACATGCTCTGGAGACCTTTTCCCCATTGTCTTGGTGAATAATATTTGGCTCTTAGTTACTTATGCAAATTTCTGCAGCTGACTTGAATTTCTCTCCAGAAACTGGGTTTTTCTTTGCTCATGATCAGGCTGCAAATTTTCCAAATTTTATGCTCTGCTTCCTCTTGAATGCTTTGCTGCTTAGAAATTTCTTCCATCAGATACTCTAAATCATCTCTCTTAAGTTCAAAGTCCCACAGATCTTTAGGGCAGGGTCAAAATGCCGCCAGTCTTTTTGCATAGCAAGAGTAACCTTTACTCCAGTTCCCAACAAGTTCCTTATCCTCAACTGAGATCACCTCAGCCTGGACCTTATTGTTAAGACGCCTATTAGCATTTGGGTCAAAGCCATTCAGCAAGTCTCTGGGAAGTTCCAAACTTTCCCATATCTTCCTGTCTTCTTCTGAGCCCTCCAAACTGTTCCAACCTCTGCCTGTTACCCAGTTCCAAAGTTGCTTCCACATCTTCAGGTTATCTTTATAGCAGTGCCCCACTCTCTGCAGTACCAATTTACTGTATGAGTGAGTACATTCTCAGACTGCTATAAAGAAATACCCAAGACTGGGTAATTTATAAACCAAAGCAGTTTAATTGACTCACATTCCACCTGTCTGGGGAGGCCTCAGGAAACTTACAAGCATGGTGGAAGGGGAAGTAGGCACATCTTACATGGTGGCAGGAGTGAGAACAGTGAAGGAGGAACTTCCAAACACTTGTAAAACCAGCAGATCTCATGAGAATGCACTCACTGTCATGAGAACCGTGTGGGGGAAACTGCCCCCATGATCCAATCACCTCACTCCCTTGACACGTTGGAATTACAATTCACAATTAGATTTGGGTGGGGACACGGAGCCAAACCATATCAATAATTAATAACAAAAAATTGTTAACAACAAAAAATAGAGCATTCTAAAGAACAAAAGTATAAGTGCAGGTACTGGAAACAAAAAGAAAAGGACCACTATTTTGTTTAATACCTATTTATAAGGTCTGTGCATTAATAAGAAGATGGTAGTCCTATATATATGTATGTATGATACATCAAGAATCCAACCAATTCTCTGTCACTACAACCACTGCTACCACCCGGTCCAAGCTACCACTTTGTCTCACCTGAGTTATTTAAATAGTCTCCTCTATTATCCCCCACTTCTGTCTTTAACTGGTCATTCTTCTGCTCATTTTCATTCAGTGGCTTCCCATCTCACTCAGGGTAAAAGTCAAAGCCCCTACAGTGGCCTGCAGTGGCCTACAGAGCCCTATGTGTTCTGTCTTGCCCCCACATTCTGACTTCATCTTTTTTTACTCTTCCATAGGATGACTCTATTCCTTCCATACAGTCCCTCTTGCTGGATTTTGAACATACTAGGCATGTTTCTCTATTGGGAATTTTGCTTTCTTCTCTCATTCTGTTTAAGACAGCTCAAATGCCATTTGTCAGAGATTTTTACCACTTTGTTTGAATAATAACCTACCTTCCCCCCATGTAACCCCATTTTGACTTTTATGCCTCCATGTGTCCCTTGCCTTGTTCTACTTTTCCCCTCACAATACCACCTGACATGCTAAATATTTATTTGCTTATTTGTTCATTATTGATCATTTCTTATAAGCATATAAACTTCTTGTGTCCAGACTTTATCTATTTTGTTCTAGATGAATGTTTGTTGATGAATGAATGAATGAATGAATGAATGAATGAAGAAAGATAAGGAAATGAGAGCTAGAGTTTCTCAACCTCATAGTTGAGGCAGAAGTAAATCATACACAAAAAGAATCAGAAAGATAAAGAAATTATATTGATGATAATGAGGAGGAGGAGGAGGATGGTGGTGATGAGGATGATGATGATAGTAACTATTAGTTACTGATCTTTTATTAGGCACTGTCATTGTTTGCAATACCTCGTTTAATTCTCTTGCAATTATACAATGTAGGCCCTATTGTTATCTCAGTTTTCTAAATAAAGAAACTGAGGTTTTGAAGAGTTAGATAACTTGTCCGAGGATGCACAGTTGGTAAACATAAGAGCAAATTTTTAACTCGTATCTGCCTTCAGAGTCTGCATTTCTAACAGTTAATCTAACATCTCAAGATAACTACAGCGTTGTTATCTTGGGTCTGCAAAAATAAAACAACAAAACTGAAGGAGTGCCTAAAGCAGGAGTCCAAAAATAAAACCACATTCATAGAGTTAGCAAACTAGCCTCCTTATTATAATGATAACCTATGATTCTGATTCAATAAGGAATACTAATTAAGAGGCAACAAATTAAAGCAAACGAAAAGGTAACTAACTACACATAAAATAAAATAACTCTCCAGACTTGAATTATTTAATTCTCACTCTATTTGTGGTATTCCAAGATCTTGGCAAACTGACCTTTTCTCTTAATTTGTCCTCATTAGTAGCTCCCAAGTTTACATCATATTTTCCCCCACATTCAGTTTCTTCATGAAATATGTAGGCTTAGCTTCTGGTTCAGTTAGAGTCAACATGCAATCCCATTTTTCTGCAGCCACTCTATGATTTCATCTTAAGTGAGGGCTGTTGTTTTCTACAAAATAAGTGGGTGATAATTATTTTGTTTTGTTTAGTTTCACACTGAGAAGATGAGTGTGAAAAATCTAAAGAGGCAATTATTTTAATAAAATATTTTCTGCACAGTAGAATAGCAGTTTTTAAAATTAAGATACTGGTGAGATTGTAGCAATATTCTTACATTCCAGTAGTAGAAGAATGGTTAAGTGGTTATGCTACTTAATATGCAATACAATATACCCATTGGAAGAAATACTCATGGAGAGTTCACATTCATATGAGGGTATGTTTATGTTGCCCTACTAAATGGAAAAACAGGGTACTAAATTGTATAAATAGTTAAATTTCAACTATAAAATATATGTGCAGCAAAGAGAGGAGTAGGAAAAAAGAAAATGATTCTCTCTGGGGAATAAATGTAGAATGATAGTTTTCATTCTACATTCTGTATTTCAAAAATAGCTTATAGAAAGCACAAATTCTTTGCATACATTAAAACTGTTTATTTCATATTTGAGGAATAAATGTGTTGATAGAAAATGCAACATGACTAAAATTCCACCTATTTGATCACAGACTATTTTGCCATACTTTCTAATGAGCTAAGAACATCGTTTCAGCATGAAAGTCTCCTTTTCTCTGACATTTAGATAAATAAGTAGACAACACATTTTCCTTATTCCAAAGCTTCCTGTTTCTTAAAAAGAAAGAGATAAGGAAGAAAGAAATGAAGGAAGAAAGGACATTTGTGATGAAATGAGCAGTCATAGTTTCTACACTGGCTGTGTGAATCTGGGCAAGAAACCAGATTCTTGTCACTTTGGTTTTGCCATCTGATATTGTTTGGCTGTGTCCCCACGCAAATCTCATCTTGAACTGTACCTCCTATAAGTCACATCTTGAACTGTACCTCCCCATATGTCATGGGAGGGTCCTGGTGGGAAGTAATTGAATCGGGGGGGTGATTTATCCCATGCTGTTCTCGTATTAGTGAATAAGTCTCACGAGATCTTATGGTTTTATAAGGGGCAGTTCCCCTGCACACGCTCTCTTGCCTGCTGCCACGTAAGATATGACTTTGCTTCTCCTTCACTTTCCCATCATGATTATAAGGCCTCCCCAGCCATGTGGACCTATGAGTTCATTAAATCTCTTTTTCTTTATAAATTACCCAGTCTCAGATATGTCTTTATTAGCAGCATGAGAGCAGACTAATACACCATGTGTAAAAGGGGAGTAATAATAAATTATGATGTAGCGACTAAGACCACCAACACTGTAACCTGATTCTAAAGCTACACAATGCAGCCATATGGTCCGAGTTCAAATTCTGGCTCCACCATATCCCAACTGTATGATCTTGGGCAGGTTAATTTATCTCTCTGTCTTGGTTTTATCTTCTGCAAAATTATGTTAAGAATGAGAAGACATTAGATTCTTGAGGTTTAATATGTGATATGGTTTGGCTCTGTGTCCTGACCCAAATCTCATTTGGAATTGTAAACCACAGGTGTCAAGGAAGGGAGCTGTTGAGAGGTGACTGGGTCACAAGAATGATTTTCTCCATGCTGTTCTCATGATAGTGAGTGAGTTCTCATGAGAGCTGATGGTTTTAAGTGTTTGGCAGTTCCCTCTTCATGTTCTCTCTCTCTCCTGCTGCCGTGTAAGACGTGCCTTGCTTCCCATTCACCTTCCACCGTGATTTTAGGTTTCCTGAGGCCTCCCAGCCATGTGGAACTGTGAGTCAAGTAAACCTCTGTTCTTTATTAATTACCCAATCTCTGGTAGTATCTTTATAGCAGTGTGAGAATGGACTATACAATATGCTTATAAAAATGCCTAGTGTATATGAGGCATTATAAAAGTGTTAACTATTGCTACTAACCTCATCAGTAGTTGATCATAATTCACTTAAAATGTCAGCAACCTTCTCAACAAATCCTTCTCTCACAGTTCTTCAGGTCAGAAGTTCAACATGGGTATCACTGGGCTTAAAGCAAGTTATCAGCTAGACTTTATTAATTTCTAGAGGCTCTTGGGTAGAATTTGTTTCCTTCCCTTTTCCAGCTTTCTGGCTTCTGCCCACATTCCTTGGCTTGTGATCCCTTCTTGCAACTTCAAAGCCAGTAACTGCAGGTTGAGTCCTTCTCATGCTATCATTTCCCTTGTTTTCTACAGCCAGGAAGGTTCTCGGCTTTGAAGGAATTATGTGCTTATATTAGGACCATCAGAATAACCCAGGATGACCTCCTCCTCTCAATGTCTTTAATCTTAACCACACTTGCAAAGTCCCTTTTGCCATGTAAAGTAACATATTTACATATTCTAAGGATAAGAGCATGGACATCTTTGAGGGCTATTATTCTGCCTATCACTTCTTCCCATTCCATACAAATATAGACACACCCACACTTTATGTATGTAATAATTTTACCACACCTTTCTCTTTCATTTCAATAAAACAATTTCATAATGCCACCATTTTAGCTATAATAGGGATAAAGTACTTTATCTTAACCCATTATTTGTAAAGGAAATAGAGACTTTACTTTTAGTTTTTGCCAAAACTATTACTTCTAGGAGATTAGGGCAGTGGCTATATTTCAGAATCTCATTTCCAGGAATGTTCAGATTAAAAGAAGAGATGATCCCCATAGCCCTTTCCAAAATCAATGATGGCACTTCTTTTTTTGCCTCTTCAGGTAGGAAGTCAAGGAACTCTGTAATGAAGGACACAACAGGCTGCTGTCCATTCTTGAGTGATGCTTAGTCCAAATATCTCCCGGTTATTTGATGCAGGAAATTCCCATGGTAACATAATCCTCATTCTTAAAGAAAAGGAATATTTTAAGAAATAAATATGGTTTTGCAATGATTATAACAGTTATTTATACTCTGACTCAATTGCTATTAGCGAATATGAAAATAGAAGGTGAGGGGATGGAAAATGATCTGGAAACATTATAAAGAAAGAAGCACTATAGAGGGAGTAGCTGGAGGTGCAGGGTGCCTTAGATCTACTGAAGGTCACTTAGAAATTTGAGAAACAGAATGGAAGGAGGGGATTTCAAGAAATGCACATCATGAATTCAGTATGTTGCCAAAGAGGAACGTGCCAGTCATGCTAACCTTGTGCTTCACTATGTTGCCAGAGGTTCTGTTGTTGGGTCTTAGAAAGTGATTCCCCAAAGGCTGGCTCTTTAAACATGTAGAGGCCTTTGAAGGTGTCTCAGAACCAAGGTCCCCGTAACCTTGTCTTGTTCCCAGCCCCCTCCAGATGTAAGGAGGGATGCTCTCTGGAATTTCCTTATTTGACCAAGAAAGCTTCCTTCCAAAAGAAATGCAACTGTCTTACACTCTCTTCCTGGGGATCTTATCAAAAAGCCAGGAAAGATAAACCATCAGAGAAGAGGAGAAACTGGGAGTTGTTGCCATGCTCAGACAGACTTTTCATCTATTCTTCTGAGGGAAGCTCCAAGAGATTCCCTAGGGAACTTTATCTGTATCATATAACAACATTTTCCCTATGCAGCTCCACCCCTCACCTTCCCTTAATGTCTGCATCCCAGGTCCTTACATCTCTACCCTATGAGTAGAGTATTTAAGCATCAACCATCTGGTCCCTATTTGAATTCATATTTTGAACTCAAAACTTGGCATGAAGCTATATGAGCATCAGTAAAAGCAACAAATATTTACTGACCACCAGCTCTGTACTAAATACCAGGCTAGACTTAGGCCAGTCACTCTGCCATTTTGATACCATTTCATGGAGAGAGTAAGAAGGGAAGGAAGGAAGGGAGGGAGAGAGAAGAGAAGAGAAGAGAAGGAAGGAAAAGAAAGAAAGAAAGAGAAAGAAAAAAGAAGAAAAAAGAAAAAGAAAGAAAGAAAGGAAGAAAGAAAGAAAGAAAGAAAGAAAGAAAGAAAGAAAGAAAGAAAGAAAGAAAGAAAGAGAAGGAGGGAAGGAAGGAAGGAAGAAAAACTATAGATATAAAGTCTAAAATACATAATTATTTTTTCCTTAAAGCAAATCTGTATTTGTGTATATAAAAGTTTAGTGAAATATCTATAGGCAGAAAAGTGATCTCACTTTCAAGTACAGTTTTGTGTTATTTAATAGCCCCCCTTACTACTTAGAAATTTAGTAATTTTAGCAGTAGATACTCTTCTGGTATTAGAAATCCTTCTACACAAGTATCATGGGGCACATGCAATATGATCAACTTTATGGCACACACCTGACTCACACACACAAATGCACACACATGCATACAAACACACACACGACTAAATCATTTAGGGTGTATGGCAAATATGAAGCAGTAGAAAAAGTACTGAATGGAGAATCACATTACCAATTTATTGCCTTCTTAGCCAACAAATTTTTGTATGTCCCTGGACCAGTCACTCAGTCTCTTTGAACTTCAATTTCTTCATCAATGAAACTGGGGACAGGAATAAATTATTCTTAATTCTAAAACTAGATTCATTTCATGCCAAACCCAATTTGTAAACAGAATTAATTTTCCAAAGCAAACAGCAACAAGCTCCCAAGGTAAACATTATTAACTCTAACTAAACATGAACAAGTAATAAAAAAGTAATAGATAATGATAAAATAATAAACTCACATTGCATCTATACCATATTTCAGGCTATCCTGCTACCTCCAACCTACCCCCAAAAGTGTAATGACAAGCAACGTTTACAAATAAGACTAAGACATCCATTATTTTCTCTCACTATGGTACCCATTGCCCACCTCAGAGACCTCAATCTCCATCTCATGTTACATTCTCACAAAATGTATGAATTAAAGGTTTCTGAGATTATCGGGGGACTTATCCCAGTTGTGTTCATGCTAAACCCTACCTAAGTCTACCACCTCTTAAAAAGATAAATGTTGCCACCCCGACACACCACGATTACATCTTCTCCCTCACAATTATTTTTTTGCTGCATATTCTTGGAGCCTTCTTCAGTGACACATGAGACTCCAAAAAAACAGGTCATTTTTCCTTTAGAATACAGACTCATAGTTTCATCATTTTGTAGCACTCTGTAGTGTTTCAGTAAAGGCTGACTCTTACTACCCGAGTTAAAATAAGAAATTCACTGACCAAATTCCATTGGTAAGAGCAAAGCAAATCTATCAATTTTTCTAACCTTATGGGATTTGGCTGCCATACCCTAAGTCTCACCAAGTCTGCCTTTACTAAGTTATAATTCATATTTTTCAAAATGACACAACATTTAACTAGATTCACATTATTATTTTCATAGTCTTCGCATAGATCCCTTAACATGTGCCTTTTGAATCAGCTTCAATATAATGTAATAACTAAATGTAAAACTCAGTTCTTTTATACTTCAGTTTCTTCCTTTTAAGAGATAAGAATTGCAGTCCAAAATGAACAGTTTCTCCCTTTAAAAAGGTATCTAATAACAAGAGCTGCTTTCTTAGATGTCTCAACACTGGGAGAGTAAAGTACCTGCTTCCTAGCAAGAAGACTGGCAGACACATCTGAGTGATTTGCACAAATGTAGGATGTGAGATTCCAGGAAGACAAATGGAAATGAGGCAAGTGCTGCCATGAGAATGTCTCCTGTGGAGAAACAGGAATTGTGCCTAGTCAAAAGCTGTGATACTTTTGCCATGTGAGATTGGTTAAACTATTAAAGTTGGGGAGGGGTGGAATGTGTTCAGGGAAAAAAGAAAAAAAAAGCGCTATCCAGAAGCAGAAGCAGTATTGTCCCTAGGAACAGACCAAAAAAAAAAAAAAAAAAAAAAAAAAAGCCTCCTGGCAAGGCAAGCCAGCTGAAGGCTCAGCTGTGTTTGTACTAACAGCCTTTCTGCTGATCTGACCTCTCCAGAGACCAGAAGGCTATAGGCTCCCCTCACAGTGGTTATCATCTTGTTTTCAAAAACTACAGACTGTATTGCATCCAAACCACAGGTTCTTCTGAGTTGGAGATCAGTATATTAGGTTAAAGCTGAAATCAGGGAAATATTTTAGCTCATATACCTCTGCAATTCATTCCCTAGGGAAGGATGAAGAAAAAGAGCTGAAGATATATCACTAAATAAATGTTAACTAGGTCAGAATTCACTATAGAAGTTTTTCAAAATTCTTGGGCTTACTGTTTTAGTCTATTTTCTGTTGCTTATAACAGAAAACCTGAAACTGGGTAATTTAAAAGAAAAGGAATTTATTTCTTACAGTTATGGGGGCTGAGAAGTCCAAAATCAGGGGACTGAATCTGATAAGAGCCTTCTTCCTGGTGTGAACTCTCTGGAGGGTCCCAGGTGGCACAGGGTATTGCTTGGTAGGGGACTGAGCATACTAGTATACCAGCTCAGATCTCTCTTCTTTTTCTTATGAAACCACCAGTTATCTTCCCATGATAACCCATTAATCCATTTATTCATGATTAATGCATTCATGAGAGCAGAGTCCTGTTAAAACCCCTGGCTCTCAATATTACCACATTGAGGTTTAAGTTTCAGCATGACTTTTGGAGGGGACAAATATTTGAATCATAGTTTTTACTATGAGAGCTTTAACTGAGCTCTGCCAAATTTCCACAAAAGGAAGCTGCTTCATTACTCTTTCATAGGAAGAAAAAAATCCCTAGAGTAGATTCTACAAAGACACATGACCTTATTCAAGGCACACATTTCAATACATACATCATCGTTTGACTGTAAGTCTTGCTAACTCCTGGTGAAATGCAAAAGCATTTCAGAGCAGTAGCAAAAGCCCTTAAAATGTTACCTAAGTACTGGTTGAGTAGATTAAATAGCACCAACCACAGAAATTAAAATAAAAGTTTGGATATTTCTATCCTGAAGGGATATAGTAAAGAATTAGGAGACAGCTAGACAAACACTCTAAAGTCTGGAATCTAATCTCCGTGTCTTTGATCCTCTGAACATTCTATCTAATGCTCTCCATCAGAACATTACACAATCTTGTCCTGCCTTCACAATCAAATTTTTAAAGCAATAATTTACTCTGGCTGGATTTCTAAACATTTCTATATATGTGCTGTTTATTCTTCAACACACTTTAACATTTTTTCCACCCTGACCCGTTCACTAAGACTCTTCTTACGGATATCAAAATACTTCCAGTGGTTAAATTCACATCTTATAATATTTCCCACAACCATTTGCTCATTTTCCCTTTAAGAAACCCTCTGCTATCAGGGCTTCCACAACCCAAATAACTCCTATATTTCCCTCACTTCCTTAAAATCTCTTTTTCAGAATTATTTGGGAGCACATTTCTTCTGCCCGCTCCTTAAATGTTGGAGTTCCCCAGAAGCTCATCTGTCTGCATGACTTCAAATCCCAAAGCATTTGTTTTCGGCCTACATTTCTCTCTTCAGAAAGTACATCCAATTTCTTCTGAAAAACTCTGCTTATAAATTCCATGAATATCACAGCAGTTATCACAATACCCAACATTCAATAGAAATTCAAAAAAATTGTATGAGTAACTGAGTAAACACATAGATGACTCTCTTTTCCTCTTATATGAATGAGTTGACTATTTTCTGAAGTCTCATGTGGTCATTGTTTACTGTTTGGGTACCTATATTTATCTATCTCCCCTGCAGGATTTTTTAGGACAAGGACTGCTGTCTTCATATACCCTATGGCTATGGCAGTGCCTTGTACAGTGTTAGCTTCTCATCAAATGTTTCTTACTAAATATGAATGGATAAACATATTACATATGTGGATTTAAAAAATAAAATTCATATTTTAAAGAGCCATTTAAAATAAATTAAAAATTAAAATAAGATCTAGAAAGCCTAATCTTGCCTAACACCCTCCTTTTATAGAAATGATAAACCAACTTACTTACAGAGCTAGGTAGTAGCTATTGTTACTGGAACCCAGGTCTTTCACCTCTGAAGCTTCTGATATTTTGTATATAATAGTTACATTCACTTAATTAGCAAAACAATGATCAATCATAAATATTAAATTTTTCCTTTTGAGTGTCCTCTCCACAGATTCCCTGGGTCTTTCTAATTCTCTTAAATCAAGTTACAGTAAAAAATTATGGAGTCCCTACTATCTACTGGGCACCCATATACATTAGGTCTTTTGACTCTCATACCAACCCCACAATATAGTTACTTTTATTTCCATTTTACAGATAAGGAAGTACGTTGCCTATGGTCACAGAGTCTAAAAGTTGCAGAGCAGAACAAATACATGCAAATCCTGTCCTGTTGATAGTATACTCTGCTGTATCACCTAGATACAGTACTGCGGTACATTCTTACCCAAGCCATAATCCTCGTGGGCTCTTGGAAGATATGTGTGTCTTTCTGTTTTTGAACAGTTGACCCCACTAAGAAAGTAAGGAACACTATATTCCTTTTATTGCCCACAGTCAGACCTAACAGCAGGTAAGAAGTGTGGGTTTTTCCTAAAAGTTCAATCAAGATTTCATGAAAATGTTTAACTTTTCACAGCAAGATGTAAACTCTTTTAAACATCCCATAAGATGTATAATACAGCAGCAATTTGTTTAGTGAGTATGAGATATAATGTGAAATTAATATTGTTCTAACACTCTCCAAAGAACACATCTGACAAGCGGGAGACATTCCAAGATCCCTGTCTAACTGTCGCCTTTCATTGGTGCTAGGATGTTTCCCTTTTTTTAGTTTAATGTCCTCAAAATTCTCAAAAGCCTTTCCTTAACATAGTTGTACATCAAAGTTTTCATACATGAGAAAATAATTTACTTTCAGAAAATTATAACTTTCCATGTGTCAGCTCTTATTTTAGAAGCTGAAGCCCATATAGCTCATAGTTGAGTGCAATTATTGTTTGTGGGAAAGAAAGCCAATTAACCTTTCTAGGAAATAATATCACAATTAAATCTTCAATATGCTGCACTGTAAATACTTCCCAACAATGGACTTTCCTTTTGAGTTGTTATAAAATATTTAGCTAGAAATTGATGCAGCAAATTCTCAGCAAGGTTGAAATTCAAAACAAGCTACTTTCTTCCTTATTTCAATAAAGAAAAAGTTTTAAACTCATTTACTTATTTTAAATGAGCTCATTCTTAAAAGAACAAGGAAAAAAGGAAATATGGCCATTCCAATGCAATAAAAAGTGAAGGTGATATACAGTAATAATGGTGAATGCTGAACCCTACAGAAACCATTGTCATTACATAAACCATTGTCACTACCATTATATAAAAGAATATAATGAATTACCCATATTTTCTGTATTTTTTTTTACTAAATTATGGATTCCATAGTGATTTCCATCTTTGCATTAATAGTCTGAAGTTATTAATTTCCCCATAGAACCATACTTCCCATATATGCAAGTAAATTTGAAAATCAGCAGAAATATCAAGTAAATTGGAAAACAATCAACTTCACAGTATTCTCTGGAATCAGTAGAAAACAGACTCTTTTTTGTTTCATTTCCTTTTTAGACAGGCAATGTAGTGTGCTGGAAAGAGAGTGGGTTTAGAAATGGATAGATTCAGATTTGAATCTAGGCTCTGCCAGCTGATGAGTATGACCTTGGACAAGGTCATACATTTTGCTAAATGATTTAATTCAGGCAAGGTATGCAAACTTTTATAAACTTTGAGTTTTTCATGTATTAATGGAGCTAATTATAGCTATACCTATGGATAATGTGGAGATTACAGTCGATCAATTGTATAAAGCACCTGGTACACAATTGATGTTCAGTAATTATTGCTTCTTTTTCCTCATTTCTGTTTAAATCCCTATGGACAGAAAATTATTTAAAGACCAAAATCAGTGATTCTTCACCATATATCACCTTTGTGAGTTCCTCCCTTTTATGGAAAAAAATTGCATTTTGCATAAACGTACCACAAAAAGACTAGAGAGATTGTGAGTTCTAATCATGTAGTCTCATATAAAAGTTATGATACTAGAGAGATGTAGGCTTTATCTTCTTTAGTGGGGGGAATTGCAAAAAGAAAAATAAAAGGAAACATTTTGAAGTTTAAATCTCAAAATATCAAAAAAAAAAAACATTATATGGACATCAAGGTTGTTTATATGTGAATTCATGGTGAAGCATGTTGCCTTCTGAGGAAGGTTCTTCCTCTAGGACCTTCTGTGTTTCCAACAAGCAAGTCCCTAGGTAATACTGTTTTATATATATACCCTTAAAAGGATTTAGCATATGATCTCTTTATCACATCCAAACTTAACGGAAGAAATCTAGTAACCACCTACAGACTAAAAAAAAGATCTTAAAGATCATCTATCTACTCCAGTCTCCCACAGATTGCCACCAAGCCCGAGCTTGAAGACAAGCTTCACAAGCTTATTGCTGTTTGTAGGAAAGAAAGCCAATTAACCTTTCTAGGAAATTATATTACAATTAAATCTTCAATATGTTGAGTAGTAAATACTTCCCAGCAATGGACTTTCCTTTTGAGTTGTTATAAAATCTCTAGCTGCAAATTGACGCAGCAAATTCTCAGCAAGGTTGAAATTCACAACAAGCTACTTTCTTTTCAAAAGAAATTCAAAGCAAGCTACTCTAGCGTTTCAGGTGGGCCAGTTCTTTATGAGTTCTAAATACTACGTTCTTCTTTTTGTTGAACTGAAATCTGTCTTACAACTATTTTTTTTTCCAATAGATTCCAGATCCTTCCCATTGAGCAACAGAATACAGGGGCTCCCTCTTCTATGCTGTAGTAGCTATCCATTCTCTTTCTTTTCCTCAGAACCCAGCACCCAAGTTTTTCTCTGGAATATTACCCCTCATCAAATTGTAGTACATTTGGGTCTGGTATTGTTGATTGCTACTATCTCCAGGGGTGGGCCTATGATTCAAACATGAACACATAGCACTCCCAAGACCGTAGTTATTATTTCAGGAAAGAGCACAAAGCCTAATTCAGGCCAGCAATTTTACTTTGAATTGTTGAGCAAGAGAAACACTCATTGTTTCAGTGATCTTGGAGGTAGAGATCCTCTGACCACCATCTTGCCCATGGGAAGCAAGAGTCTCTCTGGAAATGGAGCCAACATACACTAAGGAAGAAGAGAAAGAAAGAGTGACTGGGTCCTGAAATATACAGCCAAATATGAAAGCAGATTACTTCCTGCACTTTTCAGTTGTATAAGTAATGCATTCTTTTATTTTCCACCTTAATTTTGCTTGGGCTGCATTTACTGTCACTTGCAGCCAAAACAATCTCGACTGAAAGCACATATCAACGTTCTATATATATTTGAAGATGGATGCTACTTCCTCTCCAGAATTTTATATTATTTTAGACAAACATTCTCAGTTCTTTTCATTTCTGCTTATATTAAATAAGTTTACAAAATCTCTTTCAGATTTGGTTTCTGTGTTCTTCAATGTCTGCTAAATTAAAAATAAAAATTTAAAAAAATTGTTGACATAAAAAGCATATAAAATATACAAAGAAACTTTTATTCAATTTCATAAGAATAATTTTAAACACTTTAGAAATGCTGCTTCATGTCATTTAAGATAGCAACTTTAATCTTTGTTAGTTCATCAATAAATCAGGTTTCCAAATGACCTCTATGTGGTCATACTTTCTTTATTTCTTTCTTTATTTTTTAACTTTTAGGTTCAAGGGCACAGGTGTAGGTTTGTTATATGGGTAAACTTGTGTCACAGGGGCTTGTCGTACACATTATTTTGTCATCCTAGGTACTAGGTACTAAGCCTAGTGCTCAACAGATATTTTTTCTGATCCTCTCCCTCCTCCCAGCCTCCAGCCTCCAGTAGGCCCCAGTGTCTATTGTTTCCTTCTTTATGTCCTTGTGTTCTCATCATTTACCTCCCATTTATAACTGAGAACATGCGGTATTTGGTTTTCTATTCCTGCATTAGTTTGCTAAGGATAGAGGGTAATACTTTATTAGCAACTCAAGTTATCACATATTTTTAAATAATCCAATTACATCTTTTTTTTTAATATTTCATGGTTGTAATTATTTTTTACCAACTTAAAAGAACTATCTCCAATTAATTCAAAACTCTAAAGTTCTCTACTTAACTAATTAAGTATACTTTACTCTGTGCAATTTGATCCTATATTTCAAGCACATAAAAAAACAGAAAAGTCATAGTCCCTTAACTTAAGGGTCTTATACTTACTGAGTTAAAAAGTTTAAATCTCATAATCACCATTACCACCATCAACCACAGGGCTACCATTCATTTACTGAGTGTTTAGAATCTGACAGGCTTGGTGCAAAGCACTTTGCATATACGGTCTCATTTAATCCTCTTAATTTCATGACACAGTATTGTTTTCACCAATTTATAGAGAAGAAAAGTAAGGCAGAGAGTAGTAACATGTACAAAGTCATACAACTTATAGATGACAAAGTTAGTAATCAAAACTAAGTCTGTTTCTAAAGTTCATGTTCTTACCCATGTTGCAATTTTGCCTCCAATCTCTATAATACTAAGTAGGATACATGCAAGCAACCTTCTAAGGAAACTATAATGAGGGAAACAAGCACTTCTGCTTGCTAGCAAGACTTTTTAAAGGTATGATTTTATAATGAGTTTATTTCTTTCAAACTAGGAAGGTAATTGAACAGACTTAAGAAAAATCAACACATTAAACATATGCTTGGTATTTATGTTGAAAATACATTCCAAACCTTTATGACAACCAGGACTTTATGGAAAGTCTTTTTGTTTCTAGATTACCTAAGATGATGGGTGGGACTGTCCCTGAACAGATCGTGAAAATAATTATTTGTGCCTAGTTTCTCTTTTCCATGTTCCTTCACCTTCCAGATTAGGCATGGTATTACTTCCTCATTTCTTAATATAAATGCATCCTTTTGTCCTTTTGTTTTTCTTCCTTAAATCTAAAGACACTCCTTTTTCAATATCTATCCTTAGAAAGAATCCTGGGGTACTACAATCTACACTTTAGTCTGTATTTATGTCATTGTCATTATTCCCAAGACTTATAGCCTTATTTTTGGTTATGAAATAAAAGTCTTTACATTTTTTTTCAAGCATCAGTCAGTAGACCAGACTTGGTGGTGTAGAAATCGATGTTGAGGAATGCCTCCAAAGTTGCACTGCATAAACAACCAAAGTATGCACCAAACAAGTAAACTGGGTGCTGATGACAAACTACCTGCCTGCTTTCCTTCTCAGGGCTCTTCCTTCTTCGTTGGTCCCATTTTCAAAGAAGCTCTCACTTCCATTTGTGTGGACAAGATGGTGGTCAGAGGCTAATTACAGTCTTTTCTAAATCTCTTGCAATGTTATTAACAAGGAGAACAAGAATTTTGTCTCATAGCTTGCATTTTACCACCTCCCCATTGATAGAGGTGTTAATGAGCAGTGAAATGACCAAAAGGCATACAATGTGTAGATAATTCACCTGTTGAGAAAGAGATACTGAGTAAATAGCATTTCTAATCTACAATTATTATTTTGAAAAGGAAGCAATCAGTATCTCATGATATTCATTACTGGATATCTAACAGTGAGTAGCATGCTAAAATTGGACAAAACTAAGCACACAGTTTTGGTCAGATAATTTTAAATCACATTTCTCTTTGACATCTCCTCTCCACAATTTAGACATAGATATGGCAAATTCAAATGGAATACATTAAAAAGAGCCATATGGGGGAAGGCATGCAAGGAATGTTAATGTTTTATGGCATCTTACAATATGTCTCTGAAACTGAGTTTCAGTTTGTTCAGTTTGATATTGTACTAATATTACAAACATCGCATTTCTTTAAAACAATCTTGTCCAACCCACCGCCCACAGGCCAGATGCAGCCCAGGACTTTGTGTTGGGCTTTGAATGCAGCCCAACACAAATTTGTAAACTTTCTTAAAACAGTGAGTTTTTTTTGTGATTTTTTTTTTTTTTTAGCTCATCAGCTATCATTAGTGTATTTTATCTGTAGCCCAAGACAATTCTCCTTCCAGTGTGGCCCAGGGAAGTGAAAAGATTAGACACCCCGGCTTTAAAAACATCCAAAAGATTAATATAAAGACCTAAAGTAGACAATACTTTTTAAGAAAGGTATCACTTCAAACATTTGTTACAGTATGACCTGAAAATGTTGATAATGTTCTTAACAAGGTCTTGCCATTTGAAGTTTTCTCGTCTGCTATGGCACTTAGGGAAACCATGAACAAAACAACACAAACATCAAGGCTGAGCTAGAAACACATCCTGTTGAGCAAACCAAGGGTTTTTCATGATTTTAATATGTCATGTGTGCATATGCTGCTTGTCACTTGGCAAGCCTTTTTTAATGTCTTAACAGACTGCTAAGGAAGAACAAGTGTTCTGTTTTTTTGTCAGATGTTAGGCATTCTGGGGGACATTTTAAAATTATGTAGGTTCAGCTTGCTCTATCCCAAATTGAGGATATAACATCTTTTTAAAAATCTGCTCCCTTTCGTCTATGTACTAACAAGCAGTATGAGGTTGTCATCCCTCATTGGAGGGTGGATTACCTGTTAACAGGAGTTAAACAGCCAAATCCTGAGCTTCGGCAGGGAGAACATGCTGCCCAGGAAGCATAATGGCCCCTGGGTCCCAACTGAACAGAGAAGTCTGTTCACAAAGAGGACCTAACTTGGAAATCATTCCTTCTTTCAGAAACAAGAGCTTTTAAAGCCTAGAATACTGCCTTATACATAACAGGTGATCAGAAAATATTTGCTGAGTCCATTCCTACCTTGAATAGCCTGGGCCAAAAATGTCATTAGACATTGGACAGGGCAGAAAAAGGGATATCCCCACTAGAACCAGAACAGAAATAATGCTCCTATGCTACAGAATCTTGATTTGCAAGAGTCCTTGTGAAGAAGAATTAAAAATTCATTGAGCTGCCTACTGGGTGGCATTTATAAGTCATGTTTGACGTCTTTTCTATGCATACGTTTCTCTTGGAGCACCTTACTGTGCAGTGCTGATTTATTACAATGTGATTTGTCTCAAATACTTTTGTATTTAAATATGCAAATCTATTTTAAGATTGAGCAGTACAGCTCCTGCATATTGTTCTCATGGCCAGTGAGGCAGTACAGCGGAGCAAATATTAGCAAATGCTCTCTGCCATTGAACACTGAGCCATCACATTGTGCTTTCCTCAGCTGAACTGATGCTCACTGATGCATTTGATTACCCTACAGTAGCCTCACTTCCCTGCTATTGTTTTGTTTTCTGATGAAGTGTTAATCCAAAATGGGTGACAAAGACAAGAAAATGTAAATATGCTGCAGAGACTGCAAAATTCCAATGTGTAATAGCACCCTGGATATTAAAATACAAGTTTAATAGCAGGTCCAGTCACCTCTAAGCAATGGTCAAAGAAAGAAAGGTAACAATCAGCAACAATTGTGGACTGAAAATAGTTATTTAACATGATAAAGGGAAGCATAAACATCATTGCTGTCTTGGAAGTTGACAAACATCATTATATGAACAAAAACTGGAACAAATAGCAACTAGATACATACCAATATTTTAAAAGATTTGAAGAGAATGAAAGCATGAGGTATGATTCTGGGAACTTATCAACATTAGAATTGCAATAATTCAATTAGTGCTTCAATTTACAAGGTGCATCTCATACACCCTCCCAATACACACACAGTGGAAAGAGTATAGTTCTAATTGAATAGTATAAGAGTCAAGGCATCTCAATAATCCTTCACTAACTTAAAAATTCCTTCCAACTATTGTTATACATATATTAAAACAATTGTGTGAAACTTGACTGACAAAAAGGGCTTCTGGAAATGCTGGTTGATCCTTAGGATTCATGTTATGTTCGAGGCATAAATGCTAGTCCATGGAGTAGAATGGTAATTGTTTCTTCTGATGCTTCTTTTGGTGAATTTGAAATGCAAACTTTTGCCATTTGCTTTCTACCTTCAAACATCTCCCCATTGCCTTTCAATCCAGCTTATTTGATTCCTTCTGTGGGTTAGTCCTAGTGCCCTAGGAATATATGAGTAGACTTTTGAAGTCTCTTCTAGAGACATGATGCTATGACCCCTCTCTGTTACCTCTTCTATTCATGGTCTGATGAGATTCCCAGTCAGTGGTGCTTAGTGACTGCAATATAAATTTTTGTTATTCTAGTATATCATTCTATTTTTATCTTCTGAAATATCATACTTCACTTGATATGATGCATTTTTTCAGCCTTTTAAAAATCTAAAACAAAAATTACTTACATACTGAGATATACTCACAGAGTTATGAGTTTAGTGAAGCCACTAAAATTCAAATTGAACAAAGTTTCACCACTTATAAGTATTCTTCTGTAACTTCTTTATTCTTCAATGGGGTAGAGCATAAATTTGAAAGCAATCAACAGAGCAAAGCTTCTACTGCAAAAATAATTCTTACCCTATATCAAAGATTTCTGAACAAGTAGAATATACAAATTAAACTGATGAGAAAACATATGCTTTGACTCTGTGTCCCCACCCAAATCTCATGTTGAATTGTAATTCCCACTGTTGAAGAAGGGGTCTAGTGGGAGGTGATTGAATCCTGAGGGTAGGCTTTCCACTTGCTGTTCTAGTGATAGAGTTCTCATGAGATCTGGTTGTCTGAAAGTATTTAGCACCTCCCCCTTCTCTCTCTCTGTCTTCCTGCTGCTCCCTCCATGTGAAGATGTGTCTGCTTCCCCTTCACTTTCTGCATGATTGTAAGTTTCCTCCCCAGAAGCAGAAGCCTGTATAGTCCACAGAACTGTGAGCTGATTAAACCTCTTTCCTTACGAATTACCCAATCTCAGGTATGTCTTTATAGCAGTGTGAGAATGGACTAATGCAGAAAATTTGTTCCAGGCATGGGGCAATGCTATGATACCTGAAAATGTGAAAGTGACTTTGCAACTGGGTAATGGGTAGAGGTTGGAACAGTTTGGAGGGCTCAGAAGAAGATAGGAAGATGTGGGAAAGTTTGGAGTTACCTAGAGACTTATTGAATTGTTGTGACCAAAATGCTGATAGTGACATGGGCAATGAAGTCCAGGCTGAGGTTGACTCAGACGGAGTTGAGGAACTTCTTGGGAACTAGAATAAAGATCATTCTTGCTGTGCTTCAGCAAAGAGACTGGTGGCATTGTGTCTCTTCTCTAGAGGTCTATGGATCTTTGAACTTAAGAGAGATGATTTAGGGTATCCGGTGGAAGAAATTTCTAAACAGCAAAGTGTTCAAGAAGTGACCTGGCTGCTTCTAACAGCATATGCTCATATGTGTTTGCAAATAAATGGTTGAAAATTGGAACTTATATTTAAAAGGGAAGCGGAGAGTGAAAGTTTGGAAAATTTGCAGCCTGACCATGTGGTAGAAAAGAAAAGCCCACTTTCTGGGGAGGAATTCAAGCCTGCAAAGTTTGCATAAGTAAAGAGGAGCTGAATGTTAATATCCAAGACAATTGGGAAAATGCCTCCAGGGCATTTCAGAGAACTTCACAGCAGTTTTCCCATCATAGGCCTGGAGATCTAGAAGGGAAAAATGGTTTTGTGAGCTAGGCCCAGGGCCCTGCTGCTCTGTGTATCCTTGGGACAAGGTGCCCTGCATGGCAGCTGCTTCAGCTCCAGCCATGGTTAAAAGAGGCCAAGGTACAACTTAAGCCATTGTTTCAGAGGGTGCAAGTGCCAAGTCTTGACAGCTTTCACATGGTGTTAAGCTTGTGGGTGCACAGAGAGCAAGAGTTGAAGCTTAGGAGCCTCTGCCTAGATTTCAGAGGATATATGGAAATGCCTGGATGGCCAGGCAGAAGTCTGCTGCAGGGTCAGAGCTCTCATGGAGAACTTCTACTAGGGCATTGCAGAGGGGAAATGTGGGGTTGGAGCCCTGACATGGAGTTCCCAGTGGGACACTGCCTAGTGGAGCTGTGAGAAGAGGGCTACCATCCTCCAGACCCCAGAATAATAGTTCCACCAACAGCTTTCACTGTGCACCTGGAAAAGCCACAGGCACACAACACCAGTCCATGAAAGCAGCTGAGGGGGCTATACACTGCAGAGCCACAGGGATAGAGCTTCCCAAGGCCTTGGGAAGCTTCGCATCAGTGTGGCCTGGATGTGAGATACAGAGTCAAATAAGATTATTTTGGAGCTTTAAGATTTAATGACTTCCCTGCTGTGTTTAGGACTTGCATGGGGCCTGTAACCTCTGTTCTGGCCAATTTCTCCCTTTTAGAATGGAAGCATTTACCTATTGCAGGTACCTTCATTTTATTTTGAAAGTAACTAACTTGGTTTTTATTTTATAGGCTGCTCATAGGCAGAAGGGACTTGCCTTGTCTCAGATGAGACTTTGGACTTGGATTTTTGAGTTAATGCTGGAATGAATTGATTTTGGGGGCCATTGAGAAGGCATGATTGTGTTTTGAAATGTGAGAAGGACATGAGAATTGGAAGGGGTCAAGGGTGGAACAATATGGTTTGGCTCTGCATCCCCACCTAAATCTCATGTTGAACTGTAATTTTCAGTGTTGAAGGAGGGGCCTGGTGGGAGGTGACTGAATCATGAGGGCAGACTTCTCACTTGCGGTTCTTGTTATAGAGTTCTCATGAGGTCTGGTTGTTTGAAAGTGTGTAGCACCTCCCCTTTTTCTCTCTTTCTTCCTTCTTCTCCCTCCATGTGAAGATGTGTCTGCTCCTCCTTCACCTTCCACCATGATTGTAAGTTTCCTGAGGCCTCCCCAGAAGCAGAAGCCTGTACAACTTGCAGAACCATGAGCCAATTTAACCTCTTTTCTTATAAATTATGCAGTCTCAGGTATATTTTCATAGCAGTGTGAGAACAAACTAATACAGTAACTCTGCATAAGATTATCTATACATGATGATAACAAAAGAGAAATACAGTGAATTACAAACCAGAAATACTTTGAAATAAAACTACAACCTGATTTCAACAAAAGTTTGCAGTTTCTGGGGAAAAAAAAGTTGTTTAAAAAAATTTCAAAATCATCAAACAAGTGATGGGATTATTTAAAGGTTAAAAATGCTAAAGGAAAATATCTGGCACTAGTTTGTAATTCTCTTCACCATTTCCCTACTAGTGTAGAATTAGAAAGGGCTACTTCAGCAGCTAGAAAAGTTGTAAGAAAATATACTCACAAATAATATTACTGCTTGTGCACTTTGTTAAGATCATATTTTTTAAAAAATTCAAGTAATATATACTGTTATCAAACAATATATTCCACATGTATGTCCAAATAATATATTTAATATAATGCAATTATTATTTTATTAATATATTGTAATTTTATGATAAATTATATTTCATTTTTGGGATATCTAATTTTATTTGCTAATAATGTTTATAACCCATCTTCTAATAAACATCTGACTTTTATATTTCTCATAATTTTTACTTAACTTTTAAAATTAATTTACACCTTCTTGCATTTGACCATATCAAATAATATGTCATTAATATTTTGAAACACTAATTCTGGATACTATTAAAATAAAATGTCAGTGTTTATATTTATACTTTGATATTAACACTATATAAATACTAAAACATTGATATTGTCATTTTATTCTGGAATTGAAATGACTAGAAGTATGTTCTTCCTCCAGTTCTTAACAATTTGAGTTCAGAGAACAGTTGCTCACCAACTCCCTTTTTATCTCCTCTCTTGAGAGAGAGGGCTTTGAAAGAAAGGGAAGCAGCTCTTCCTCATCTGCTATCAGACACCTTTAGTCTAAAAGAATAAAGGAAGCCATCGATTGTGTATGTCCATAATGTGCAGGAACAGGATAAGAAGTCATGAGTCAAGTGTGCAGGCCATTCTCCTTCACCTGACTCTTCGTGATCATGTAACCTTCCTTCAAGAGCTACTGAGAAAAAGTGGCTTCTCAGAGCCATTCTCACAATGATCACTTAAAGTGTTGTATTAATCAGAGTGAAGGTTTGCTGGAAAATGGAATCTTTATGAGATTTCAACATCACATTTCATTACCAGAAAAAAAGTCAAAGTAAAATTACCTCCTGAGTTCTAGATAATAAAGTTGCCCCAGGCAGGATTCCCTACTGTAAGCAACTGACACTGACTCTGGCTATCTTAAGCAGAAAAAAAGATAATTATTAGAGAACTATGGACTAGCTTGCACAATCTATGTGGACACTTCAAAAGCAAGGCTCAAAAATCCAATGGGAATCAAAGGATCAGGTAGCCTACATCATAACACAGTAACTCTTGGGTGAGAATATTAACCAGGGTAGCACACATGCCAGTGAATTATTGCACTGCACTGCATGCTACTGTCCGTGAACTCTAAATCACTCCTTTAGTTTTGTATTCTTTATAAGTCCTGAGCAGGAATATCCAACCAATAAAGAATAGATCTTATGTCTTCACTCAAAGAGACCCTGCCAACCATCGTACAATTAGGGAATATCCTCAAACAGGAAAGAGTGTGAATGCTTGGGAGGCAATAGGCAACAACAACAAATGTCCACAGGGAGCTCTAGATTTCCATTTCACCATGTTTGGGCTATTTTAAAAGAAATGTTAGAGTTAAAATTGCCTCTTTTTTCTTGAAGTGGGATGTATTTCAAGACATAGACGCACAAAGAGCTAGGAGTGTCCAGCAGATGGGGAAGCTGAAATGTTAAGGCTTTTGAATTCTAGGGTTTGAGTTCAATGTTCTCAAAATATGTTGATCATCAAATCCAACTTCCAGGGACTTTGGACTTTTGTGAAAGACTAAATAATGTCTTTTAAAAAGCAAAATGTAGGCTGGGTGCAGTGGCTCATGCCTGTAATCCCAGCACTTTGGGAGGCCGAGGTGGGAGGATCACCAGAAGTCAGGAGTTCAAGACCAGCCTGGCCAACATGGCAAAATCCCGTCCCTACCAAAAGTACAAAAATTAGCCAGGTGTGGTGGTGTGCGCCTGTAGTCCCAGCTACTCAGGATGCTGAGGCAGGGAAATAGCTTGAATCCGGGAGGCGGAGGTTGCAGTGAGCCGAGATCATACCACTGCACTCCAGCCTGGTGACAAAGCAAGACTCTATCTCAAAAAAAGCAAACAAACAAAAAAACACACACACACACACACAAAAAAAGAGAAAGGGAGACAGAGATAGAAAGAGAGAAAAAACTAAAACACTGTTAGCAAATACATGTAACAATGAAAAACGAAAAGTATCTAAGACTTGTTAAACTGTATTTTAACCTTGTTTGACTCACAGATTCATTTCGAAGTAATTATGATATAAAAAGCCCACCCTGTTAAGAATTTCTAAAATCATTATATCAGTGGGCACAGTGGCTACTGCCTGTAATCCCAGCACTTTGGGGAGGCGAGGCAGGAGGATTGCTTAAGCCCAGGAGTTTGAGACCAGCCTGGGCAACATGGTGAAACCCCATCTCTACAAAAATGCAAAAATTAGCCAGGCATGGTGGCATGTGCCAGTAGTCTCAGCTACTTGGGATCTGAGGTGGGAGAATCGCTGGAGCCCAGGAGGTCGAGGCTACAGTAAGCCATGATCGTGGCCACTTCATTCCATTCACTCCAGCCTGGGTGAGAGAGCAAGAACTTGTCTCAAAAAAAAAAAGAAAAAAAAAAAAAAACAAAGAAAGGAAAAAAATCATTTTATCAATTTGTGCTGTAATAAAGACCTAAAAACTTAAATCATTAAAGACATCATTTAGTTAATATATTTTAATAATCTTCATAATATGTTACTTATTTTTAAATCTTTTACTCTTTAAAGGAAACATAAAGATAATTTATTTGAAGTATTTATGATTTAAGTAAATCTTGAAAGGTCATATTTTTTCTTATTTGTATATATAGGACAAATGTACATTAAAATGTAGATTGAAAACCAGCTACAATTTTAGAATCAAATGAAGACAAAATATTTTTTATTATATGATATTTTGAGTTCTTGTTTTCTGTATCACTTTTTATAATTTTCATGCTTACTGAAATATGGCATAAAAATGTTTCAGATACTATTTATAAGGCCCTTTTATGATATAACCCATTAAAGATATAAAAAGTGTTATTTCCCAGGAAATGAAAGAGTGAAGTGGAAATAATTTTTCTTTTTAACTCTTGTTATTGTCCTAGTAAAGATATCTTCAGGTGGTACATAAAAAATTTAAATCAGATAGATGTAATTTATGGATCTGATGAATTATTATTTTATGCTCTCTATTAAAATGCTTTTTGTCGTTAGTGTTTCTTTGGTTGCTGTTTTCAATGTCTTATAAAGAATATAAATTTTAAAATAAATGGATAGAAATTAGAAATTACTAAAGCAGTACAAGAACTTTAACCCATTTATGCCTGAAGTTGCAATTTTTTGAATTTTTACAATCAGACCTTGGCGATGACCTTGAGCAGTAGGATATAAATAACTCTCACATACTTAGCATTCCCATAATAGAAAGCTAGGCATAGGATAAAATCCAGCCCATTTAGTTTCACCAAACGTGGAAGCCATTACTTCATTTAATAATTGTTTGCAAGCAGATGTCATTTTCAGCTTCTTGAATCAATAAAATCTTATATGGAAGCAGAGAAGGAATTCTAGTCTCATTTCAAATTCTATGTAATTTTCCTTCTGTAAGTTCTACAGGCAGTTGTGGAAAAGCCAAAAGTCAAATGCTGGCCTGCCCTAGATGTTGGGAAGCACAACTACCATCTACCACTTCATCTTCAATTACACAATTATTCCTTGTTTCTTAGAATCCTGATATTCCTAAAATAAAATTCTTCACTTGTTTTAAGCAAAACGTTCTCTTTTCTCAAGCTGCACAGAGTTCCATGTAGCCTATCTACCCACTCTTTAAACAGCTGCTGCTGTTTTATCTCCATACTCCCTTCATCAGCAATTACAGCAGTCTCACTCCTCAGGGTGTAGAGGAAACCCATGCCAGGTGCAGTTTTCCCAGAGACAGCAATCACACATAAACACCCGTCCACACTTGCTCAAGGACTACAATCTAGCCAATTGGAACGACTTAAACTAATGATCACATCAATTACCAGAAAATTTACAGCTGCATTATCTATTTATGCAGCCTCACAGCAGAAGTGAGTCCTCTGTATTTACCAAGAGGACTGTGGCTTCTTCCTAAATAGTGTGTTAGCATCACATAATGGTCTAGAAGTCTTCATGAGGCTTCTTTATTATTCCCTGTTTAACTTTGATGTCAGAACACATGTAAAACTGGTTCACCAAAAAATCAAAAGGAAAATAATGGGAGCAAATGAAATAAAAAGCGCCCAAGATCATGAGCACAGGAAGCCAGCACAAAATTTTGCTTATGTACAGTCCTATTGCAGGGCACTAAAGGTCCTCCTGCTGTGTTAAATGCTGTACCTCTCCTCCCACTTCTTGAAGTGTGGTTAAATCTCTACACATCTAACACAGAAATTTGTACAAATTTTTTAAAAGTTATAAAATCTGCTGCTCTTATCCCTTTAATGGTTCCAGAAAGAATGGAATAGATTTCTGTTACCTCTGATACTAATTATGTCACAGGAACCAAGGAAAGGTTAAATATTTTCAATAGGATGTGCTACTGATTGACAAAAAGCCCTACCCAGATAATTTGAAAACGGGCCTTTCTACAATGAATCTGAAATAGTCTACTGTTAAATACATGCCCATTAGCACTGAGTTGCTTAATGTCTATTTTCTTCACAAAATGATAAGATAGGGAAAACACTGGAGAAAAATTGTGTTTTTTTTCATTCTATCTCTTATGTATAGATAATGTCTATATCTTATAAACCACTTGATAAATATTTATCAAGTCATGAATTATTTCATGACAAATTGTTATACTAAATATTGCTATCAATAGAACTTTCTGTAATAATGAAAATGTTCATGCAGCCTTCGTCCAATAGAGTAACTTCTAGCCATAAGTGATAACTACTGAGCACTTGAAATGTGCTTAGTGTCATTGAGAAACTGAATGTTTAATTTTATCCAATTTCAATTAATTAAATTTAAATCTAATTAGCCACATGCTACAATATTGGATAAAACAATTCTGAGTACTGGGGATATAACTATTATTGGGACACAGTTTTTGCCTTCAAGGAACTCGCCATCCAAAAGATGAGCTGAAAAATCACGCAATTCAAAAAGAAGTATTTTAGCTGGTATGCAGGATAAAATATAGAATTTAACCTACAGTGAGTGTTCAGTATGTCATCTAAAACACACACTTAATAGCATGCCCAAGGGCTGAAGACAGTGCTTTCTATTTGACTTATATGTAATTATGTAAAAAGCAGACTTGTTCTGAGGATTAAATGGCAATATACAAAGCAGCTAGAATATAATAATAGATAATAAATAGGTAGATAGATACATAAACTGATAGACCAATAGCTATAGATAGATATCAGATGATATCCTTATTATTAAAAATAAATATTGGTCTATGACTGAAGCCCAACTTGCTCATCGTTAAAATTAAAATTAAACCATAATTTATTTTTTAACAGCCTTATGCATATTTTTTGTTTCTGTTTTTGCTAATATAATAGTATAGATTTCTTTAAAGCTACCATTTCACAAAACAATGTTATTTTGGATAGAGGAACACTCTGGATTTTTAGGAAAAAAAACAATGGTTTAAATAAAAATGCTATTGTTCATGGTCTCAGTTGACTCAGACCAAAAAAAAGAATAATTTTGCTCATACATGGTGTTTACTAGCATAACTGGCCTTTTTTGATAAGGAAAAAAATAAAAGAGGAAAGAAGTCAGTGCACATTATCAGGAACCCCCAGCATTAAGCAATCTTCAAACGTTAAGGCCTGGAATCCTAGAAACAAATAGCATGAGCATGTTCCTTTGGTTACATTCCTTATGACTTTAGTTTATAAGAGAAAAGGTTAAATAGCTCCATCTAGAGATACTTGTGATAGATCTTAGAGATACCCAGAGCAAGAAATCATTACAGGTCCTGAGTCATGGACAAAACTTTCTGTCCAATGCTCCAAAGGGGTCCATAAATAATTTACTGCACTGATTCTAGATGGTATCTACAGCAAATCTGCCATAAATCACTACAAATGAATCATTAGACATGTATAAAAATGTTATAGTACTAAAAGCTGAGGCTAAATGAATATAACCCCACTAAAAACAACAAACCCCAATGACAAGTGAGACTAATAAATGGACAAAGCTTTAGCATGGCTCATAAATAAGCTTAGTAACATGTACAGATAGAATCAATAGAAACAAGCCCAATTTGTAAGTAAAACAAAGAAAATTCTAAGACTGAAGTGTCAACTTCACGCTGAACACTGTACTGTATGGGAGGAACAAAATAGTGTGCAAAACCAAACATAATGGCCAGACTTTGTGGCTTATGCCTGTAATCCCAGCACTTTGGATGGCCAAGGTGGGAGGATCAAGAATAGCCTGGGAAACATAGTAAGACCCCATCTCTACAAAAAATTTAAAAAAGTTAGCTGGATATGGTGGCACATAGCTTTGGTCTCAGCTATTCCGGAGGCTGAGATGGGAGGATGACTTAAGCCCAAGAGGTCAAGGCTACAGTGACCCATGATCATGCCACTGCGCTCCAGCCTAAGCAAAAGAGCAAGACCCCATCTCAAACAAAACAAAACACACACACACACACACACACAGTCTCTGACTCTAGAACACTTACCATCTAATGGAGGTTAGAAACATCAATCGAATAATTGTAATTTTTAAAAAAACTCACAATGTGATAAAATGTGTTAATGATAATTAAATGATACTAAGAAAATTAAATGGAAAGATCTGAGAAAACTTTTCTGAAGAAATAACATTTGAGCTAGGCGATAAAGTTTGAGTTGGAACCAACAAGATGAATAAGGGAAGCATGCATATTCCATGCAAAGGAAGAGTGTGCAGACTGTGCAGAAAGGGCGTTACAAAGATAAGCAAATGAAAGTGGACACTGGTGGATGGGGTGGAGAGAGTGAAAGAGTGGGAGGAGGGGTTCTTACTTTCTGGGTGATCTTTTTACTAGAATGTATCATACACTCCATAGTGTGTTGTTTCCCATTCTGCTCTGACATTTAGAGATAGATATAAGATGATAGATAGATAGATAGATAGATAGATAGATAGATAGATAGATAGATAGATAGATAGATAGGGCTAGCTTCTGTTTCTTTCCTGGAATGAAAAGGAATATCTGGATCTTTCTTGAAAGAGGCTCTATGGAAATGTCAAAGGAGGAAACTATAAAATTTGTTACAATGGCTGAAAACTGAAAAGACTCAACTCTGGAAAATTATACATTTTCTTACCAACACAGCAGAGAAAGGTTGACCCCTTAAAAATTTCAGAATAAAATTGATTTATCTACCTCAGACTAATTTTCAGACCCTATCCTAATGCAAAAATGAGAAAGCAAATAATAAGCATACATAAGAGAAAAAGGCAAATGGCAATCAACATATACAAAGCTTTTAATTTTACATATAGTAAGGAAAAAAGCATATTAAATCAGATGCCATTTTTCACTCATTATATTGGCCCTACCTATCTATCTATCGAACTATCTATCTAGATATATATCTATATCTATATCTATATCTGTATATACCCAGGTAGCCCTCATCTAAACTGAGTCCATTCTTGAAAAATGTGGGGAATAACAAACATTCAGAAGGCAGGAGCCATATTTTATTATTCTAAACAGGAAAAAATAACAGTGGATTCTGAGTCCTCAGGAAACTCCAATAAACATTCCCAGTATCACTAAATCACTCTTAAACACTATGTAATTAATTTCACATAGTGAAATTAATTTCACAAGATATCTACATAATATAAAATGTATGATATGTAGATATCTACATAATATAAAATGTACATAATATAAAAATGTTTGATTATTTACCTGCAATTACTTAATTATCTGTCACTTAACTCATTAGCAGGGAAGTTTGTATCCAGTATTGAAAGATACTGGGCATGAAGTACTCTTTCTTTCTCATTGCAACAAATATGTACCATAATATAATTTAATAATGATATAATTAAATAATGAATAATATGCCAAACATACATAAGAAATGCAAATGGTACTTAGCAAAATGCAGTTTTAAATGGCTTTGTAAAAAAATGTTACTAACCTGTTAGAGAGATTGTTTTTTGAAGAAATAACTGTGTTAAAGCTACAGCACATTTTATGTTCTCTTGCTCTGAATTTTGCTAAAACAAGCCTAGCACCTACACTTCAGACCAGCAGTTCCCAACCTTTTTGGCACCAGGGACAGGTTTCCTGGGAGACAATTTTTCCACAGATGGGAGGGAGCAGGGAGATATTGTTTGGGGAAGATTCAAGTGCATTACACTTATTGTGCACTTTATTTCCATTGTTATTATATTGTAATATAGAATGAAATGATTACACAACTCATCATAATGTGGAATCAGTTGGAGCCCTGAGCTTGTTTTCCTGCAACAAGATGGTCCCATCTGGGGGTGATGGGAAACAGTGATAGATAATCAGACGTTAGATTTTCATAAGGAGAACACAACCTAGATCCTTTGCATGTGCAGGATGTCTCGCTTTGCTCACTGGCCTGCCACTCACCTCATGTTGTGAGGTTCCATTCCTATGCTCCTAATAGGCCAAGGACTGGTGTTGCTCTATGGCCTGGGGAATGGGGACCTGCTTTAGACCAAGTAATTGATTCAGATAGTTGAATTTGGGGTAAAAAAAATTAAAATACATTATGGGGAGTGTATTAGTCCATTTTCTAAATATATAGAACTATAAAGAACTGCTATAAAGAACTACCTTAAACTGAGTAATTTATAAAGAAAAGAGATTTAATTGACTCACAGTTCCAAATGGCTGAAGAGACCTCAGGAAAGTTACAATCATGGTGGAAGTTGAAGGGGAAGCAAGACACGTCTTACATGGTGGCAGGGAGAGGGGAAGTGCCACACTTTTAAGCCATCAGATCTCATAAGAACTCACTCACTATCATGAGAACAGCATGGGGGAAATCCACCCCCATGATCTAATCACCTCCCACCAGGTTCCTCCCCTGACATGTGGGGATTACAATCCAACATGAGATTTGGGTGGAGACATAGAGCCAAACTCTATCAGGGAGATAATGTTAGAAAGTGATGCTTGTGTCTTTAAATGATAGGGTCTTGTTTCTATGAAGGTGTTGTAAAGAGCCCTATATTACACATTGTTGGTGAGGTCTTTATTGTTAAAATCATTTGGGGGAATCAAAAAGTGTCCATATTGATTAAAGTTAAATTATGAACACTCTTTGAATAAATGGTTATTTTTATGACATCATCACACTAAAAAATTAATCATAAATAGGAATATATAAGACTTTAGAGTAGTATTATAATAGCATAAATTTGAAAACATTGTAAATATCCATCAGTTTCTCCTGAATCCAAGTCCTACTTTGATTTCCACCACAACCACTGCAGTTAGCCTCTGTGTTCTCTCTTCTTGAACTACTATTGTGTCTCCGTACTCCCTCTCCCGCCCTTTACACCCCCATCACCCTTACCTACCTATTTTCCATACTACAGCAAACATGATCATGTCTAAATACTAACTGAGCATGTCATATTCCCACTTCACATGATCGAAAAGATTCCCATCGGTAAAGATCAAAATTCTTGATAAGGGCCCTGCCTTTGAAATCTCATCTTAGGCCACACTTCCCCTCACTTAGTCCCGCTTTCTGCTCCTGCCACATGGTAGTTTTCAATTACTTGAGCACTCCTGCTTCTTTGCATCCATTTGTGCATCTATTTTTTCCACTACAAAGAATGTTATTCATTTCCCATTCAGAGACATTCTCATCCTCATGAAAGCCTTTCCTGGCCTCCTACTGGTTCCAGTCTCCCTGTTATGATCACTCATAATGTCACTTACTGTTGTGGTAGGTGATACCAATATTTCTGGGTCTTTCTGAACATATGGAAGATTTTTACAAATCTCTGGGCCCTTGATGTTGGTCATGCTCGTGTCAGTTTCTGTGGCCAATAAAATGTGTTCAAAATGACAGACAAAAGCATTTAAGAACCAGAATACAATGTCCCATGCTGTCTTCTGCTGTGGTGAACTCTGAATCACTAGGGGATGGCAGTTTAATTTGTCAGAATTCACCTATAAAAATGTTTATACTATATTATAAAATAATTTTCAAAGAATAGTCCCATTTTTATTTTTAAAATTTCTCTGTATTCAAGTAAGCATTTAAACTTAGGAAAATATATGGAAGAAAAAACTCCACATTATTTTATATTCTTTACTATGTGTAGGGAGGGAAGTCGTATGAAAGAAGAAAAGAGGGAGTGATACTGTTTTTTTGTGTAACTTTATGTGATTTAAGTGGTCAAAATGAGTATGTATATTATTTTTCCATTAAAATATTATTAGAAAATGTTGAGGTCTTTGTTTTCCAGTCTGATGTATGAAAGCCAGATTTAATAATAAATCAAGGATCAAGGCTAAAAATCCCAGGAAAGTACAGATGGAGCCATAACAATCCAGGTAAGACAAATAGAACCATCTACTAATTCAAACATGAGGGGCAGTCTTTGACCAAAAACTGATAGGCCAGACCCCTGAAATAAGTCAACATATTGGGGGAAATCAAAAACTATTCCTCTACAATTTTTTATTTTTCGAGGAACCGCCATACTGTTTTCAATGATGTCTGTACTAATTTAGATTCTCACCAACACTATACAAGGTTTCCCTTTGCTCCATATCCTTGCCAAAACTTATCTTTTGTCTTTTTGATAATAGCCATCCCAACAGGTGTGAGGCAATGTATCATTGTGGTTTTAATTTTATTTTCCTGGTGATTAATTAAGTTGAGCATTTCTTCATATAACTTTTGGCCATTTGTATGTCTTCTTTTGAGAAATGTCTTCTTAATTTACAGTTTTATATAAGCCTTGACTACAAAATGTCTAAATTTGAACTTGTCATTCATTCAACAAATAGTTGCTGTGTGTACTTTGTCTCATCTGCTGCAAATACAAATATAAATAAACATATTCCTTTCCCCCAAAGAATTCAGTCCAGCTTTTAAGGTAGGTTATTCTAGTAGGTGATATAAAAAGGAATGACATGAAACAACATGATGTGAAAAGTGCAATACTAAAATATGTGTTAAATTTTTGACAAAGTAGAATGACTAATGCTACTTTAAATAATCAAGAAATATTTCAAAGAAAAGAAAATCTTTGAGGTGAGCTTTGATGTATGGGTGGAAGTTATCAGACTACAAGGGATGGAAAGATACTCTAGGCTGAAGGAACATCTGAGAAGCAAAGAAACAGAGTGCAATTTGAGTGGTCGTGGTTCAGGCTAGAGAGCGGGCTGTTGTGTGATATACTATGGAGGTTATATTTTAATATAGAAAATGTTAAACATACTTGGAGGAGGGTAAGACTAGAGGCAAGCAGAACACAAGAGAATGTAATAATCCAGAATAAAGAAGATGAGAACTTGCTATTCATTTGAATAGCTGTGAAAAGGGAGAAGACAGAGGGAGAATAAAGAGACATTAAGCAAAAGAATGAAAATGACATGGGTGACTGCATACAAAGGAAGTTAAAGCACATTGAAGAATCTAAGGTGATTTCTAGGTTTCTGATTTGAACAGATAGTGTTGCTCTAACAAGAATAAGATATGTAGAAAGGTTTCCAAGAGACTCCAAAAAAAAAAAACCCGTTAAATACATGAGTTGAGAGACCACGAATGATGATACAGATTTGGGAGTTGTGGCAACAGAGAACATTGATGAGATTGTTCAAGGTGACACCTCTAAAATGATAAGAAGATAAAATTGAATCCTGGTGATATGGTTTGGTTGTGTCCTCATCTAAATCTCATCTTGAATTGTAGCTTCTATAATCCCTACATGTCATGGGAGGAACCCAGTGGGAGGTAACTGAATCACAGGGGCATTTACCTCCATGCTGTTCTCCTGATAGTGATTGCATTCTCACAAGATCTGATGGTTTTATAAGGGCCTTTTCCCCTCCTTCACTCTGCACTTCTCCTTGCTGCCACCATGTAAACATGTTTGCTTCCCCTTCTACCATTACTATAAGTTTCCTAAGGCCTCCCAGCCCTGTGGAACTGTGAGTCAATTAAACCTCTTTCCTTTATAAATTACTCAGTCTTGGATATGTCTTTATTAGCAGTGTGAGAATGGACTAATACACCCGGTGAACAACATTTAAAGGGTAGGATGATGGGACAAGCAAAGGGATCTGGGAAGGAATGTTCTAGTCTTGTAGCTTGTTTGATTACTTTTTTTTTTTTTTTTACATCATGTGAACCTCCCACCCATCAACTCTTTAACATTCTTCCTAATCATTCTCCTCTTTCTAGCATTTATACCTCTCTTCCCTCTCAACTTAAATTCCATGAACTATATTTTCAATCTGTTTTTCCTTTCTGTCAATAACAAGGAAAATTAGGTGTAGAATCAATGGAAACTTTGTATTGTCTTCCCAAATTTTCTAAATTATTCTTAAAAAAAGTCTAGTTATAAAAACTAAAATAAAAATATTTTAAAATGAGAATAATTATATTTGCTTCCAAATGTATTATAGTACCAAAGGCCATTTGGCAAAAGTCCAGCATCCTTAATATAATCCTTAAGGCTCACCATGATGTGGTCTCCTTTACCTCTCTGGCCTTATCTATGCCATCCTTTCTCTCTCGGCTTTAACTACTGGCTGTTTGAAGAAGAAAACATATTCTTTAGAAGTAAAAGAAAAGGATTAAAAAGTGAAAATTCATGTACATATAGTATTGTCAGTTAAAAATACATCTACTATCAAGCCTTAAAAATGAAGGATATGATTGGATATACAAAGTACTTGAAAGATGTGTTGTCCCAGTCAGCAAGATAAGGAGATAATATAAAGCTGGTTGACAAACCTGAGAGAAAAAGCAGAAAGATCTAATTGCACTTACGGTCTGGTGACTAGAAGCATCCAGAAGCCAAGGGCAGATTTTGAATTTAGTCAAGTACAGTATGTATGAGGAAAGATTAAACAATTTAAAAATGATTTAAACTGAAAAGGCACTACTTCATGCTCTCCATGGTTACAGAGCTCATAATCATAATAAAAATAATATGAATGAAAGAATAAATAAAATATTAAACAGAGGCAAAGCAACATATTGCCTATCTAACTTTATCTAGGAGGAAGACTAGGGAAGGACTTTGCAATTAGTTTGCATAATAGAGAAAGTATGGCAAGTAGAATTGTAAGTAAAAAGGATTGTACAGAAGCTGTGGGCACAAGAAAGTAAGTTCTAAATACTGCAGAGCTATGTCTACCACTGATTCCATAATTTGGTATAAATGCAATTAATTTTTTAAAAATCTGTACTATTTCACCTGTTCTTTCTGGTTGTCATTGCCGCAAGGGATGGAACTCCAACACTGGACAAAAATTGAGAATATTTTCTAATATGGTGACTTCTGTGAATTATTTGCATTACTGTCAATTATGGTAGCTGTCTGCCTTTTCTTCTTTGGTCATTGCTGCTAATAAGGAAAGTCAAGCACATCCACAGGAGTTAGGTGGGTACAGGGGAGTCTATACTAGACTTGTCTTATTTTATAGAATGTGTCATGTTCTCTTCTGCCTTGGGGAATTATTTCATGCTATCTTTTTCCTGGAATGATCTGATCCCTTTCATCTAAGTTCCACTCCTGCTTTACATCTCAACCTACACATTGTTTCCTCAGAGAAACCTTCTTTAAGCCCTCAGTCTTTCTTGTTTTATGATCTCATAAGACTCTGCTCCATTTCACTGTTCTCCAAAGGTTGAGTGATTTGTTAAATGCCTCCACTATTTCATGTGAGGGCACAGGGCATGTATGACTTATTCAGCTGGGAATCCTCAGTGTCTGACATAGAGTAGGTATTTAATAATAAGTGTTCAATAAAGAGTAGATGACTAAATCACTCATTATCAAACCTGTCATTAACCTCTGTGTTTCATGATTCTTTCTTTGGAATAACTCCCAGATTCTCTTTGTCCTTTCCATTCCTGAAGCTATCACACCATTCTAACCTGGATTATTATAAGCCTGTTCATTGGCTTGCTGAGACACAGTCTCTCCAAAAACTAACCTCCCACACATGCCTCCCATAATAAATACTGTTAATTAATATCTATAAATTAAGTACTTTGCAATTTTCAAAAGTCTTTCATTTTTACTTTGTCTTTGCACAACTCCATGAACCAGGTAGGAAGATGCCATTCTCCCCATATTAAATGAACTAATGGAGTTAACCAAAGTTACACAGTTAATTAAATAATAACCAGTCTGAGACTAAAACCCAAATATTCTGACTCCTAAAATTTCTTTTTGCTGCTACTATTAATACATTACTTCTCCTTTCAAAAATCAAGAAAAGCTCCTAGCTGTCTATTGTATACAATACCAAGCCTTTATCATGCTACCAGATACCTTACATACTGAGGTACCTTAGTCTTCCCTTACCCATGAGAGGTACATTCCAAGACCTGGAATGTCTGAAACCAAGATCTGTGGATGCCTAAAACCAAGGAGAGTACCAAACTGAATATATATAGACTATGTTTTCTCAATCTGATAACCAAGATGGCTGCTAAGTGATTAATGGGCAGGGAACATAGACAACTTGGATACACTGGACAAAGGGATGACTCACCTGGGCAAGACAAGATAGGACACAGCAGGGTGGTGCAAGATTTCATCATGCTGCTTAGATGTCACACAGTTTAAAACTTACAAATTGTTTATTTCTGAAACTGTTAATACATTTGGACCATCCTTCAAAGGAAATAGTATAGATCTATTGTAGACTCCCCTGTACCCACCTAACTCCTGTGGGTGTGCTTGACTTTCCTTAGGAGCAGCAAGGACCAAAGAAGAAAAGGCAGACAGCTACCATAATTGACAGTAACCCAAATAATGTCAGTAACCGAAACTGTGGAAAAAAGCCATGGATAAGGGGAAACTACTATATACAGAGAAACCTCCTCAACATACAGTACAGTTATTTACATGACAATGGGCACCCATTTCCATGGTACCTAGTGAAATACTTAACACATCATAGTTATGTTAAATAAATGTAGAGTTGCATGTAAGTGAATGTTTTCCCTCCTTCAGTTGGATCACTTAATTTCTTTTCATTCCTTACCATTTGCTCATGGCGTGCTGCCTGCCTAGAACCTTCTCTCATTTCACTGTCTTTATCCCATCCAATGTCTAAAAGATACTGTAAACTCTACTTCTTCCATGAAACATTCCTAATGTCTTCAATTCCAATCATTTATTTCCCTAAATTTTCATTGTATTTAGATTCATAAAACCCAACAATTTTTTATTCTTCTATTTCTTCCTCCAAGTCATTTTGTATTCCCAGTCTGATGAAAGGTTTCTGGAGGGTAGATTACAGGTACTTTACTACACTAGATCAGAAACATGGTGCGGGTTGAATAAATACTAGCTGACTACCAATGTGGAGACAGAATAACTAATAGTGTATTCCTTAAAGAAAGGGTTAAGAAAGACAAATATAAGTTCAAATTTCAGTTTCATCACTTATGCAAACTGACTTATATTAAGCAAGTTATTCAAGCACTCTATTCTTCATTTTTAAATCTGAAAATGTGCATAAGGATAATAATGTCTTCATAAGATTATTGTAATATCAAAGAGATATGCTTTCAAAGCCCTTAACACAATGTGTGAAACATACTGCAGTAAATAGGAACTGTTATTATCACCACCTAATTAGCTTTGAGGAGGAAGAAAAAATTATATATAATGTTTTCCAGAACAGTAATTTTATTGTACATTGGTGTTAATTCAGAAGACAAGAATAAAATATCACCAAGCATGTGTATTGTAATAGAGTGCTATACTACATTCATGAATCTATACTGTTTTGATGAGTTAGAAACAGATCTTAAAACATCTAAAAAACAAGTTTGTTTAGCAGGCACTTTTCCTTGGTATTTGAAATTTCTCCTGCCTGTTTTCCACTTTGCTGCCTAAAAGGAAACTAAAGATTAATTGTGTATCCCAGATGAAAACTCAGTTATAACACGTAAAGATAATTTTCCAACTATCTGACCCTTAACCAAGATACTTAACCTTTCTGGATTTCAATTTCCTTGTTTATAAATGGCCCATTGTGAGGATTAACTAAGATAACATTTGAAAGAAAGTCATCATCATGTCTGGTCCATAAAAAGCGTTAGATAGATGGTAGTTACCTCCACTATTATCATCAAGTCTTGTAGGTTAAGGCACTTTTATGTACTATAGGAAGAGAAAAAGATGGATAAGCTGTGATTCCTGCCACTTAGAACTCTCTTCTACCTCCAATAGCTATGCCAGCACATGCATATATTAGGCCTTCAGATATGGTCTGGGTAATTGATACTGTGCTGACACACATGATTAAAAGGTTTTATTCTTCTTTGTCCTCATTTTTTATAATAAATATACCACAACCTGTCAATTTCTCTATGAATTTGATGGAGTTTGAGTATTTTAAGTACCTGAAAATTGTCATTGGAGATTGAAAAAGAGAATGAGGGTACAGGATGAAGGCAAATGTCAAATTTCCTCCTCGTACATCTAAAATAAGGAGAACTATGAATTGATAAGGGAATTCACAGGGGGACATAGTTGAAGTTAGGAATTGAGAGGAAAAAAAACTTTTTCTGGGTTTAATTTATAATGTCTACCTGCTACTTTCTCTATGACCCCAGCCTTCCATGAATACTCAGCAAAGTCTATATGCAGTAGTAAAGATAATTTCTCCATTATCGAGTGATCAAATAACAACTCTTACAATATTAATTTCTCCATAGACTTATTTTAGAAAACTCAGATGTCATAAACACCATCCTAATTTATAATAACATGCAGAAGTTGCAATCTTGCACTGACCACTATATGTTAGCCTCCCAAGGTTGATATGGTCCTCAATATACATACTCTTCCCTTGAGTTCATTTTTTCCACCCAGATAAACAAAAAGGGCAGTCTTCTTCTAACTTCCTCATACATTCTTTGTATTTAATAACAGGCTGGCTATCTCATCTGCTATTGAGAAAATCATAGGAGATCTTTGCCAATTTGCAGGAATTTCCATTAGCTTGTACAAACACCCACATACAGGTATATATATACAGTGTGCATATACATATAGAGTCCATCTTTTTTATTTGCTGATTCCACATTTGTGGAATTCACCTACTCGCTCAAATTTGTTTGCAAATCCAAAATCATTATCTATGGCACTTTCAGTCATTTGTAGACATATGCATTCACAGAATGGTAAAAAATTTGAGTTCCCTGGGGCAAACATTCCCAGTGAAGTAGAGGAAAGTGATGCTTGCCTTCTAGTTTCAGCTCTCATACTGGAAAAAAATAATGTCCTTTTTATGGTATATTTAATAACACATTCTTCACATTTTTATGTTTTTGTTGTTGTTGTTGTTGTTTATTGGTGATTTCACTGTTTAACGGCCCCAAACATAGTGCTAAAGTACTGTTTAGTGTTCCCAAGCACAACAAGGATGTGATATACTGCTATGGTTCGGATATAGCTTGTCTCCCCCAAAGCTCATTTTGAAATTTGATCCCCAGTGTAGTGGTATTAGAATGTGGGGCCTATTGGAAAATGTTCTGGCTATGGAGGCAGAACCCTCAGGAACAGCTTGGTGCTGTTCTTGTGGTAGTGAGTTCTCACCCTCACATGAGTCAATTAGCACTTGAAGGAATAAATTAGTTCCTGAGACAGTGGGTTGTTATAAAGCCAGGATGCTACTTAAGTTTGCTTCTCTTCACATGTGTCCACTTCCTCTTTGACCTTCTACACTGTGTATGATGCAGCACAAAAGTCCTTGCCAGGAGCCAGGGCCATGCCCTTGAACTTCTCAGCCTACAGAACCATGAGCTAAATAAACCCCTTTTCTTTATAAATTACTCAGTCTCAGGTACTCTTTCATAGCAAAACAAAATTGTCTAAGATATGTACCTTATGAAGAAAATATGTGTTCTAAATAAGCTTCATTCAGGTAAAAGTTCTAGTAGTTGGCTGTTAGTTTAATTTTTTTATTTTGAGATAAGGTCTCACTCTGTCACTCAGGCTGGAGTGCAGTGGCACAATCATGGCTGACTCAAAAGACCCAGCCAGAAGGTACATACTAAAGGTACATACTAAAGCCAGCATCTTTGTTGTGTTCCTGATGTATGTACAGAACATCCAGAATGATACATGGCACAGAGTCTCCACAAATGTTTGTTGAATGCTTAATGATCATTCCAATAGTGATTTACAAATGATCGTCCTGAAATCCATGATTTACTGTTTTGCTTCTTATTTCTAGTCAGTGATAGAGCAACAGTCCTTTGTGGATCATGAGCATATCAGCAATTGGTAGATCTGAGAGTATTCAGTGATTTGGGGGTTTTATATATATATTCCCAAATCCAAGGACTAATCATCATGTCAACCTTTCTAGCCACTAACGGCAAGACTTTGATTCTACATTTCCTAGGAGCCAAAGTGAAAAGGAGTCATGCCAGTCCCCCAGCTAGTTTTTGTTATTGTTATTGTTTTTATTCCAACAAGGATGAAACACTGCAATGTTTCTGGAGCAGCAAAACTTTCCAGCCCTTAACTCTAAAAAGAAATTTCTCACTCAGCATGCTTCAGATGGGGCATAATACTATATAGACATTGTCCTCAATAACATTTCTGTAGCAAGTATAGTAGTTCATTTCATGGAGTTCTTTCTTTTACTACCCTCAGTTAAAATCCAGATGTGACAATATAAAAATGCATCTCAATAAAATAAATCTTGCAGTGGGTGAAAAATAATACAGTCCAAGCATCTATAGCCTTCTTCTCATCAGAACCAATCCTCTGCCAGAACTTGGTCAGGCCAGAGAAATGGGTAGAATTCTTGGTGTTACAAACAAACTGCCTCTCCAATTGTTGGCTTTCGAAGCCCTCAATGCTTAAAAATTTTATGCCAATGATTAATTCAGCATCATTTTCCTACCTAATTGATTGATTAATTGGTTCTAGGTTTACCAGTTTGCTTCTCTGACTCCCAGATTGCTCTACTAAGAATCAAGACTATGACCATACCAGCGCTGGCCACGTGGAATTCTACTGCCCATACTACTTGAGCCACTGCCTGCACTGTCCTCCTTCCCAGGTAGGAGACATGTGAGCACAGGTCTCTAAAAATTATCTTTTCACAACCATACATCTTTATAAAAGTTGGAATTATAGAAAATTGAAGGCTGAAACATCTGTTGACAACCTGGAAAGCAGTTACTTTGAGTTGAAGGTAAATCTATAATATTTGACAATAATATAGTAATAGAATTGATGTTCTTGGATATAACTGTATACGCCAAAACAAAAATTCATCTGATTTGATTTTAGTTGCACTAAAGAATCTTGCCATTGCAGGAATTTCTTTTTTAATACAAATAAAATAAATGTATTTGTTTAATATAAAGCAAACAATTATTTTTCAACCAGAAAATCATTTCCATATGTGTTTGTTTTGCAGATTTTCTTAAGCAGGAAATACCCATACAGTAATTTATAAACATAGTTTAAAATAACTATTTTATGCTTTAATTAAAAAAAGAATAAGGCAAATTTGTACATGATTAAATCATTGAATACTCAGCCACTACCTCTAAGTCAACAGGCTCTTCTGGGAAGAAAAATTGCCAGCTCAATTGGAAGTAAAAACTATATTCACACTTCAGAAATGCATCACAATCAGCACAGGTCTATTGTCACACAGCACACGGTCCTAAGTAGCAATTAACCTTAACCCAAGCAAACATCAGCATTTTACACAGAAGGTACTTACTGTTTTGCCCTGCTCAGATAAGGTCAACAAGCTGAGAGAGTCTTGTGTAGCACTGTCCAATAGAGTTTTTCTGACGGAAATATTCTGTATTTGCTTGGTCTAATATAGCAACAACCAGCCATTTGTGGCTACTGAGCTCTTGAAGTGTGGTCAGTGTGAATGAGAGACTAACTTTTAAATCTTAATTTAACAAATACATTAAATTTAAGTAGCCACATATGGCTGGTGGCTACCATACTGTCAGCACAGGTCTAATGGGTAGAAACTTAGCCAAACTAGCCCAAGTATTAAACCATTACCTCTTGCTATCTCCATGCAATCTATCTTTTTCACCATCATGTTACAGTAGCTATCCTCTGTTTCAGATAGCATCTAAATAGTAAAAATCAACAAACCAATGTATTTGGTTTATGGTGTTTCATCTATCTTCTATGCAGGTAGAACAAAGACAAAAGCTTTATAAATCTATTAAATATGTTCTACTGGTAAAAGATATGGGTTAAACTGCCACTTTCAGAAGTTATTATAGATGACATTAAATTCTCATCCTATCTACCCAGCATTTGAATAATGAGAAAGCTCTTTATGGCCTTTACAGTGGTTCCCCTTCCAGCAGCTTAGATACATTCATTAAAGGGCACCAACAAGAAAAAAAGCTTGTTAAAAAAGATTATTAATTTTCAGGCTCATTATTCCAACAGTAATTTTTCTCTGTTATGTTTCAATGAAATATGTAGACACGTCTAGAAGTGAGGAAGAACAAAAGCTAAGAGGAAAAAAATGTGGCAGCCACAGCAGTCATGTGTCAGGATCACAACAGAGCCAAGAGCCTCTTGCAGGCTGATGACAGATCACACATCAAGTAAGGTTGAAAGGCTGAATAATGATACGTAAAAGGTAGGATGCGTGGTGAGAAATTGTGTTTCCAAAAGCAGGGCAATAGGACTAGAATACCCACTAAATGTTCCTCACCTTAGAGCTTAGGAATGTCAGCCACATGACAAACACATTGTGTAAGGATTTTTAAAAAATGGGTTCAAAATATTTCGGGACAAAAATCTTTCTAAAATAAACCTTCCAAGATTAAAAAAAAAAAACAGTTAGCTGTTACACTTAACTCCCAAGACAGCTTTTAAATCCATAAATTTCCCATTCTTTGTTAATGACCACGCTATAGGTTGGTGTTTCTCAAAGTGTGAATATGGACTAAAGGTATCAGAATTATTTGGGAGACTTGATAAAAATACAGTCCTGAGACCTGTCCTAGTTGTACCAGATCAGAGTCTCTAGGGATGAGGACCAGAAACATATGTATTCACAAGATCTCCAGGTGATACCTGTGCAAACAAAAATTTGATAAATTCTGTGAGAGATGACAAGGAAACCTGGAATCTCACAAAGCCCTCACCTATATAGTGGAAGACAAAAGAAAAAGGATTTTAAATGTATCCAATAGGTAGACACCAAAATTCCCAATGTCACCACATAGGCTGAAAAATAACCTATATTCAATATCTTAAAGTAATTATGAATAACCTTATACTTTCAATAAAATCAGGGTACAAATCATTAATAGGGTGTCTGACCCTAAATGCTCTGAATAACTGCTTAAGCATCCATTTTCCTACTTGAACTTGTCTTTTTGTGAGGTAGCCTTCAATGCTCCTTAAATAATACAATTAGGAGGTCTCATTACTGACTCATATGATTTGATTCTGTGTCTGTATTGGTTGGAACTCACATCAACACTCTATAAAGAAGGGTTATACTATTTAGGTAGGAATTACAGGCTGGACAGCCCACTCCTGCTCCAATCCAACTCACTCCAGAATTAGCTGTTTACTCTTCTGGGAAAGTTTCATTTAATAATGAGTCCATTGATTAAAATAAATTGTGAAAACCACTGAACTAGAAGTTGCCCAAAATGGTTTTTAATTCTAAAATCCAATCATTTGCCTGAAGGTGATTTTGTTAGTCCATTTTAATTGCTATAAAAGAATATCTGAGACGGGATAATTTATTTTAAAAAAGAAGTATATTTGGCTCACGGTCTGCAGTCTATGTAAGAAGCATGGTATCAGCCTCTGCTCAGCTTCTGTTGAGGCCTCAAGAAGTTTTTATTCCTAGCAGAGGGGAAGGGGATCCAGGGTGTCACATAGCAAGAGATGCAGCAAGGAAGGAGGAGATGCCGCACTTTTGAATAACCAGCTCTTACATGAATTAGTAGAGCAAGAACTCACTCATTACTGCAAGGACAGCACCAAGCCAAAGAGGGATCTGCCCTCATTGCCCAGACACCTCCGATCAGGCCCAACCTTCAGCACTGGGGATCAAATTTTAACATGACATTTGGAGGAGACAAATATACGAATTATATCAATAGTGGTAATTTCTCATTAACAAAATATCAAGTGCATTATGGCATTGAAAAATAAACACAAGACCGGGTGCGGTGGCTTACGCCTATAATCTCAGCACTTTAGGAGGCCAAGGCAGGTGGATCATCTGAGGTCAGGAGCTTGAGATCAGCCTGGCCAACATGGTAAAACCCCATCTCTACTAAAAACACAAAAAATTAGCCAGACATGGTGGCAGGCACCTGTAATCCCAGCTACTCAGGAGGCTGAGGCAGGAGAATCGCTTGAACCTGGGGAGGCAGAGGTTGCAGTGAGTCGAGATCGCACCATTGCAGTCCAATCTGGGCAACAAGAGCAAAACTCTGTCTCAAATAAATAAATAAACACAATATAAAATTTCTTAAATTTCAATGCTCACTCCAAGTTGATAAGTCCAATGTATTCTGGATTAGTCAGACCATCTTGATCCACTATGACCAGATATGAGCACAAGTTTTTAAGCAGATAATTAATACACAACATAATCTGGAGAAAGTTAGTGAGAAGGGTGAGAATACTGTAAGCCACACGGCTCTAGAGCGAGTTGTCCTTCAGAAACAGAAGACTGAAACTCAGACAATGCAGTGCCACTAAATACTTCAACAGTTGTCTCCTAGAAGAAAGTTTAAATAAAATTTAAATAAAGAAAAAAGATTTAAATTTGAGTAACACTAAAAATTCAGTTTCTTATCATACTAGCCACATTTCAAATGCTCAATAGCCTCATCTAATATGGTAGCTAATATGATAGCTGCTGGCTACCATATTAGATAATGCAAGATTTAGAACATTTCCATTACTGAAGAAAGCCCTGTGGACAGTGGTATTCTTAAGGGAAAAATTAGAACCAGTAAGGACTAAGAAGTTAGGAGAAGTCAGACTTTGAATCAATATAAGGAAGAATTTTTAAGTAGTTACAGTTATCCTACAATGGAATGGGTTGGACCCAACAACCCGAGGAGCTGCTCAAGCTGAGCGAAAACACGTGTATCATCCTAGCATTTTTGAAAGGTTGAGCAGAAAATTCCTGAAATGATAACCAAATTGATGGCTTTAATTATGAGGATTGCTTTATTATAGATATTTTTAGCTGATCAAAGGCTACTCTTTTCCCACTTGCAAGCTGCTGTTAACATATATCCCAGGGCCCATTAAGATTGAGAGCTTAATGCTTCCCATCATACCTACCACTTACGCACTAGGTTATTTACTGGCCTTTGAAAATATATTTCCTTGTTCTTGTTACAGAAATAATGTGCAGAAATAAAAACTCTTTTAAGATACAGAAACCAACTCACTCAAGTTACTTCTCAATCAGACACAACAGAGATATTACATGTTGCACTTGCAGGCAAGCTATGGTCAAAGTGTGAAATGACAACATCAGGCATAGGTGAAAGGACAAGGTATGACTAAAGCTTCAAAGTTATCATCTTACCAGGCTGGCAGGGTCTACTTGACTGATGGTGATCTATACAAAAATAATGTTCATGGGAACAAATATCCATGCATAGCCAAATGATGAAATTAGAAATATAGACATCTAATAGACATGTATTCATCTTCTCCTGATAAACTCAAACAGCAGCAAATGGACAAGTCAATAACTTGGGCAAAAATATTACCTTTGGATATTTTCTTGATATCCTAGAAATTTATAAGAGAGGGGAATGAGAAAGCAAATTCTTCATCTTAAATTTCCAGGATCAGAGACATTAGTCAAAAGGAAACAAACAGAAGAGCTCCTTCATATTTTGATGCATTGATAAGCCTCAATTATGTTAATATCATTCAGATTAAAATTTCCAGTTTCCTGCTTCAAGAAGGCAAATGTTTTCATTATGGCCCTGACAATAACTCTCTCTAATAATGGAAAAGATAAAGGCATACCACGTTTTATTGCACTTCATTTTATTGTGCTTCAAATATACTATGTTTTTAACAAATGGAAGGTTTATGGAATCCTGCATTAAGCAGGTCTATTGCTGCCATTTTTCCAACAACATGTACTTGCTTCATGTCTCTGTGTCACATATTGGTTATTCTCACAGTACTTCAAACATTTTCATTACTATTATATCTGCTATGGTGATCTTTGATCAGTGGTCTTTGATGTTACTATGGTAATTGCCATATAAGATGACAAATTTAATCGATAAACGTTGTGTCTGTTCTGACTGCTCCACTGACCACCATTTCACCATCTCTCTCCTTCTACCTCCCTATTCCCTATGACACAAAAATATTAATATTAGACCAATTAATAACCCTATGATGACCTCTAAGTGTTCAAGTGAAAGAAGAATCACGTGTCTCTCACTTCAAAGCCAAAACTAGAAATGATTAAGCTTAGTGAAGAAGGCATGCTGAAAGCCAAGACAGACTGAAGGCTAGGCCTCTTGAACCAAATAGTTAGCTAAGTTGTGAATACAGAGGAAAAGTGCTTGAAAAAATTAAAGTGCTAATCCAGTGAACACAAGAATGATAAAGCCATACAGCCTTATTGATGATACAGAGAAAGTCTGAGTAGTCTGGATAAAAGATCAAACCAGCCACAATATTTCTTTAAGCCGAAGCCTAATCCAGAGCAATGGTCTAACTCTTCAATTATGTGAAGGCTGAGAGGTGAGGAAGCTGCAGAAGAAAACTTGGAAGGTAGCAGAGGTTGGTTCATGAAGTTTAAGGAAAGAAGCCATTTGTCTCCATAACATAAAAGTGTAAGGTGAAGCAACAAGTGCTGATGGAGAAGCTGCAGCAAATGATCTGAATAAGATAATTGATAATGGTGACTAAACTGAACAACAAATTTTTCAGTGTAGATGAACTGTCTTCTACTGGAAGAAGACGCTATCTAGCACTTTCATATCTAGGAAGAGAAGTCAATGCCTGACTTCAAATGATAAGTTGACCCTTTTGTTGGAAGCTAATGTAGCTAGATACCTTAAGTTGAAGTGAATGCTAATTTACCATTCCAAAAATCCTAAAGATGTTAAGAATTATACGAAATCTACTCTGCCTGTGCTCTATAAATGGAGTAACAAAGCCTGAATGACAGCACATCTGTTTACAGCATCATTTACTGATGATTTAAGCCCACCGTTGAGATCTACTGCTCAGAAAAAAAGATTCCTTTCAAATCATGACTGTTCATTGACAATGCACCCAAGAGCTCTAATAGAGATGTAAAAGGAAATTAATGTTGTTTTCATTTCTGCTAAGATAACATCTATTCTGAAGCCTATAGATGAAAAAGTAATTTTAACTTTCAAGCCTTATTATGTAAGAAATACATTTTATAAGGCTATGGCTTTCATAGATATTGAGCCCTTTGATGGAGCTGGGTAAATAAAGTTGAAAACCTTTGGAAAAGGAGTCAACGTTTTAGATGTCATCAATAACATTCGTGATTCATAGAGGTCAAAATGTCAACATTAACAGGAGTTTGGAAGAAGGTGATTCCAACCTTCATGGATGATTTGACTTGGAGGGATCAAGACTTCAGTGGAGGAAGTAACTGCAAATGTGGTGAGAATAGCAAAAACCTAGAATTAGAAGTTGAGCCCGATGATGCAGCTGAATTACTACGGTCTCATGATAAAAGTTTAACAGATGAAATGTTCTTTTTTACAGATATGAAAAGAAAGGCATTTATTGAGATGAAATCTACTTCTGATGAAGATTTTGTGAACATTGTTGAAGTAATAACAAATAATTTAGAATATTCCGTAAACTTAGTTGCAAACCAGCTCTAGGGAAAGATTGACTCCAAATCTGAAGGTAGCTCTAATTAGGTAAATGCTATTAAACCGTTACATGCTACAAAGATATTTTTCATGAAAAGAAGATTCAATAATCTGTCAAAATGTATTGTTATCTTATTTTAGAAAATTTCCAGAGGCACCTCAACCTTCAGCAGCCACCAGTCTGATTAGTCAGCAGCCATCAACATTGAAGCAAAACCTTCCACCAGCAAAAATATTACAAGTCACTGAAGGCTCAGGTTATTGTTAGTATTTTTTTAGCAATAAAGTATATGTACAGTTTTAGGTATAATGCTATTGCACACTTAGACTATATTATAGTGTAAATATGCATTTTATATACGCTGGACAAACAAAAAGTTATGTGACTTTCTTTATTGCACTATTTGCTTTTATTGCAGTAGTCTGGAATCCCACCCACAGTATCTCTGACGTATGCCTATTCTTCCATTTCCGGGAATGTGTTATAAACCCAGGAATCTCAGTTTGGGCTTGGCGTAAGACATAAAATGCTGAGTGAAATTCTTGCTTCCAACTGGGGCTACAAAACAGACTAGGAAAAAAAATTTCCCACTGGCAAAAAATGATATCAGGATAGTTTTTCTGTCTTAGTCCAGTAACTATGCAAGGGAAAAAGTCTCCTCTGAAGACTCTGAACCAGAGTATTACTCTATAAGAGTTCAGGATTCAATTTTCACATCATCTTCAGGTGTCAAGAATGCAAAGATAATCCTTAGTATTACAAAGAAGTTCTGAAAATCCAGTATTTTGAAAAAAACGGTAGTTCTGGTCTCATAATAAGGCTGTCTTAGTTTGGGTACTCCTGAAATAGTTTCTGAGTTGGTAAGTATTTGAGTGAGTAGGGGAGTATGTGAGTCAGGAGAGTAAAGGCAGCCAATAAAGGGTACATTATCCAGTGTGTTACCCCTGAGGGTAAGGAGATTTTATCCCCATGGGGGAAAACTGGGAGATGATACCAGTCACTAACCTCAGAACTATTCCATCCAAGACGCAAGAGAGCTATGGTATTTACACACCAACTCTGATCTTTCATTTGTTGAGGTAGGGAACATTAATTACCTTGCACTTTTGGCCTTCTGTGTACCTGGTAAGAGTGGTGGCCAGACAAAACTTTCAGGCAAAGAGACATGTATGCTGGCAAATAAAAGTTAGTCCTATATGCATAGAAATAATAAGGCATAAAAGAGTATTGGTAGGGCTACAACTATATCTGCTATAATCTCTGAGGGACTTGCAGAGTCACAAAATAAACCTTGATAAAGTAACACATTCCAAGTTAGGCTGCACAGAATTATCAAGGGTGGCCACACCAAGCATGGCATCCCAATCTGAAATTAGTAAGCACAGAAAACAAGTCATTATGAGCTGAGTCAACATAAAACATAAATAACAGAATTTGACTCCTAAGAATGTCAAGTGGTAGAGTTATAAAACAGAGATTATGAACTCTATGTGTTTAAAATAATTAAATATATAAAAAATGAATCAGAAACATGAAAAAGCAAAATCAGGCAGACATAAAGAGAAATGATCATTGAATTTAAAAAATTCGTGGGTTGGTTGACAGCAGATTAGACACAATTGGATAGATAAGCACCAGAAGATAGAGCTAAATAAGCCACCTAAAATGGAAAAAACATAGGGTAAAGAGTTAGTTAGTAAAGACACATGGAAAATAGAGGCATGGTCCATTATATTTCTCAAAAATCTTTCCAGAAACAAAGAGAGAATGCAGGGGAAGGAGAGAAGCATTTATTTAAAAGAATCAGAATTAGAATTTTAGAATTCTTCAGAGTTTGTTAAAGAATTCAATCCTTACATTTAGGGATCCCAGCACATTCCAAACACGACTTCTCAGTGTGGTGCAATCCTTTGAAACTGCTGTTGGTAAAGGCATCAGTAACCTCCACGTTGTTAAATCTTACAGTAAGTTTTAGTTTGCATCATTCTTGACTTATAAGCCATATTTACTTCAGTTGATCACTCTTTTCTCCTTGGTACGTTCTATTTACATAGCACACCTCACTCATTTGATTTTTTCTATCTTATAGATCACTTCTCAGTCCCTTTTGCTGATCTCTCATATCTGTCACCCTCTTAATGTTAAAAATATCCTTAGTCCTCCTCTCTCTTCTTTCTACATACTATCAGTTATTGATTTCATCCAAACTCATGGCTTTAAATAGTACACAATTCCCAAATATATATTGGTAGCACACATCGTACTCCTGTAAATCCAGACTCTTGAAACTGAACATGTTCAAAATGGAATTTGTTCTTTTTCTTCCAAAAATGATCCATCTATAACATTTCATATCTCAGTTCATGACAAGCTTATCTTTCCAGGTTCCCATACTAGAAACTTTGAAATCATCCTTAACATCTCTCCATGACTCAGTAAATGTCTCTGGCTGTCCCTTCCAAATATATCCAGAATCCCACTACTTCTTCTCATTACCATAGTTCTATACATGGTCTGAACCCAAACCTCTTGTCTAAACTACTGCAAGAGACTTTCTGGTACATGGAATCACTAGTCTCACTTTTTTTCTCCTTTAACCATGCCTTCTATCGCCATGGAATTTTGCAGATCTTTTTAAAAAAACAGAATTTATTTTCCTACCCCTTGATGTTGGCCATATGACTTGCTTTAGCTAATGGAATTTTAGAAAAAGTGACAAAAGAAGGAGCTTGTGCCTCTGACATTGCCAAGAGAATATACCTAGTTTGCTGGTCCCAAGAGGGGTATGAGAAAAATGTGGAGCTCAGCCACCACAGGCAAGTTCAACTTAAGTTTACAGATCCTCCAGCCAAACACTGCAGGTGAGTGATGAGAACATGAGCACAGTCAAGATCCACAGAGACACCTAGCCCACCCACAGATGTATGAAATATAAATGCCCTGTATGCTACTGAATTTCTATGATTTTTACTGTTATTGTAGAAATAGTAGATTGACACAGCTTCCTAATAGGTCTCCCAACTTCTCCCTTAGCCTCCTAAAATCTTGTCTAAGCATACGAGCCAGAATTTTTGTTGTTTTTGCTTTTAAATTATTTTTTCTAATTTTGTGTTACTTTAATTTCCCATAGCATATGGCAATCTTTACAGCAAAAATACAAATTTAAGGATGCATTTATTTTAATATTGTATCCATATGTCACCCATATTTTTGAACAGCTCTGACAACAAGCACAAACCTAAGCAATAGGTATAACAGAAGCCAGATAACTGGTTTTGTTCCCCAACTCCTATCATTTAAGAGGGAGCAATCAAGGAACATCTTAATCAGATGAGCATCAAAGGATATGTGCATGTTTCTTTACATATATTAATTAGTGTTTTGTGTTTCGCAAAACTGAAAACAAAGCCATTTTTACACAGCGTGTTGATGTCTGAGTTGTACTTTTAGAAACTGTCAGAGATCTATAAAAAGGCTTTTCTTTAAAATCAAACTTTAAGTTTACTTATTAATAATTAGATGAACTTTTAAATAAGATGTACTCTCAATTGTATTTGAAAAAAAATTATCCTTCAACTTCTTAAACTGTCCTTACTCAGATAAAGAAACCTCAAATGTCTACATATATTCTTGGAAGCTCAGACCAGGTATCTAACATACATCAGACAGATAAAGTTAATATTAACATTCACCAAATTATAAGGAAATATTAAAAATTAGGAAGAAATACATCATATTTATCTGTTTACTGCGGCAATACATCCCTTCCTCTTTTGTATGATCTTTTTGTAAATAAACTGCTACATTTTAATATGCTTAATATGCCAACACAAATAGCAGACTTAATTCCATTGTTGCTCAACTGAATCAAAGTAAAAGGGCATTTTACTATGCGCATTTAAGTCAGAAGATTAATGATAGAGGCCAAATTTAAAAAATAATAATGATAAATTAGAAAAAGTGTTTAGTAACTTTCTTTCTTTTTTTTTTTTTTTTTTTTTGAGACGGAGTCTGGCTCTGTCGCCCAGGCTGGAGTGCAGTGGCGCAATCTCAGCTCACTGCAAGCTCCGCCTCCCGGGTTCACGCCATCCTCCTGCCTCAGCCTCCGGAGTAGCTGGGACTACAGGCACCCGCCACTACGTCGGGCTAATTTTTTGTATTTTTAGTAGAGACGGGGTTCCACCGTGTTAGCCAGGGTGGTCTTGATCTCCGGACCTCGTGATCCACCCGACTCGGCCTCCCAAAGTGCTGGGATTACAGGCGTGAGCCACCGCGCCTGGCCGTGTTTAGTAACTTTTAAATGCTATTTAATACTGTTGCTATAACTGGCACAACCTACTACTTGTAATGTTTAGCTATTGTTTGATTGCTAATGTTTTCATCTTTTTCTGCCTTTTCTTATTTGTCTGCTTTAGGCAAAAGTAACCATTAAACACAAAGATGATCAGCTCTGCGTTTCTTCCATGGTCTCTGACCATGGTTAGAAGATCCCCTAATTCTGCTTTCCAGAAACATCTTTTTCAATGAAAACACCTACATTTCAGGATTTCACTGATTTTTCATGAGAGAGTTTGCCACTAAACCATGCTCTAGGAAAGTTACTCAGATCAAACAGTCATATCCAATGACAACTTCAGTCTGAATTTTTTTGGAAAGAGACCCAAAAAGTAGGTACATGGGTTAAGACAATCTGAATCTGTACCTGCTGAGGAAGGATTCTCTCTTTGGCATCAACTCACTTTTACAATTATAATTTATCCTTACACCTTATAAAAAATTGATTCAAGATGGATTAAAGACTTAAATGTTAGACCTAAAACCATAAAAACCCTGGAAGAAAACCTAGGCAATACCATTCAGGACATAGGCATGGGCAAGGACTTCATGTCTAAAACACCAAAAGCAATGGCAACAAAAGCCAAAATTGACAAATGGGATCTAATTAAACTGAAGAGCTTCTGCACAGCAAAAGAAGCCACCATCGGAGTGAACAGGCCACCTACAGAATGGGAGAAAATTTTTGCAATCTACTCATCTGACAAAGGGCTAATATCCAGAATCTACAAAGAACTCAAACTTACAAGAAAAAGACAAACAACCCCATCAAAAAGTGGGCAAAGGATATGAACAGACACTTCTCAAAAGAAGACATTTATACAGCCAAAAGACACATGAAAAAATGCTCATCATCACTGGCCATCAGAGAAATGCAAATCAAAACCACAATGAGATACCATCTCACACCAGTTTGAATGGCAATCATTAAAAAGTCAAGAAACAACAGGTGCTGGAGAGGATGTGGAGAAATAGTAACACTTTTACACTGTTGGTGGGACTGTAAACTAGTCCAACCATTGTGGAAGACAGCGTGGCAATTCCTCAAGGATCTAGAACTAGAAATACCATTTGACCCAGCCATCCCAGTACTGGGTATATATACCCAAAGGATTATAAATCATGCTGCTATAAAGACACATCCACACGTATGTTTATTGTGGCACTATTCACAATAGCAAAGACTTGGAACCAATCCAAATGTCCAACAATGATAGACTGAATTAAGAAAATGTGGCACTTATACACTATGGAATACTATGCAGCCATAAAAAGGATGAGTTCATGTCTTTTGTAGGGACATGGATGAAGCTGGAAACCATCATTTATCAGCAAACTATTGCAAGGACAAAAAAACAAAAACCACATGGTCTCACTCATATGTGGGAATTGAACAATGAGAACACTTGGACACAGGAAGGGGAACATCACACACTGGGGCCTGTCATGGGCTGGGGAATGGGGGAGGGGTAGCATTAGGGGATATACCTAATATAAATGACAAGTTAATGGGTGCAGCACACCAACATGGTACATGTATACCTATGTAACAAGCCTGCACATTGTGCACATGTACCCTAGAACTTAAAGTATAATAAAAATAAAAATAATAATTTTAGTGATTCTCAAACAACCTACATTTGAATCACCTGGGGTACTTTGCATTCAAAATAAAAGTTCCTGGGAGTCACCACAGACCACCTAAAGCAAAACAACTTGGTGGAGATTATGAATATGTATTAAAAAAATTCTTACCAAGTGATTTGTGCTCACAAATAACTTCCCATTTAAAAGTCGTTTCAATAGGGAAATTGATGCATTATTTGACAAGGAGGCCTAAAGGAGATAGCGTTGACTAAGGTAAGATCTACATCTGAACAGAAATAGACACTAAAGAATTGTTATAACTTGAAAACTAGGCACTGACGATAGAAGCTGATGCTTTTTGCCATGGTGTATAAAATGAAAATGGGGAGTTTGAACAGAAACTCTCCAGCTTTGGCTCATCCTGGGCTGCTGCCTCTAGAATTACATTTATACTCTTGTTCATGTTCCAGTAAAAATACAATCTATTTTACATGACTTGTTATTCTCTATAGTCTTGGCTGGCTTGCTCAGGCTAACATTTTTTTAATTGAAAAATTCAAGCATCTAACGTAAAATTATAAACTTGCATTGGCAACCAGTACAAAAGCAGACATCACATAAAACCTTTGAACATAAAAGCAATGAAGCAAATTTTTTAGAGTATGGAATTACTCCCCCATTCCTACAACCAAGGCAGCTCAGACTGTGTTTGCTGATGTTTTCTTTATTTCTCTTTTTGGCACATCAGTAAACACTAAGTAATTCATCCAGACACTATTGTGCATCTTTGAAATCAAATTTATTTGGCTTTTGTGAGCTAGTGTGAAGTCTCACCTTTAAAATGAGCAATGAGAGTTAATAAATAGCTATTGAACTGTACCCAATGGAAGAGGCAGAGCTGGGGGTTGATGGATGTCATTGTTTGTCACTCAATAATTCATCTGAATGCCTATGACAGCGCCTTTAAGTATGGGAAAATAGCAATGTAGTTATTCAGAAACAGACCCAGTCTTTTTAGACTGGACTTCTGAAAGACAGACCTCGCTAAAAAAGCTGAAAAGAAGGGAATAGCATTCTGTCTCATTAAATGCCCAGCACACATGCAAAAACATAGATGCACACACAAGTTTTACACCCCACTTTCAAAATCAGATTTTATTTTATCTCCAAAACATATAACTAAATAAAAGATAAATGAGTAACATATAGACTGAAATATATGAACATTTATTAAAATATTCATCAGGTAACCTCAAATATTTAATTTTGAAATGCTCCATCCATTGGTCTGTTGGATTAATAGCATGGTAATTCATGCAGAAGATGGTCAAAAATCATTGTAATCATGTGTGTGAGCTGTGTAAGCTACTTCATACTTCCCCTTCTACAAAATGGGAATAGTGGACTGGATTATAGTTTGATAATTTATAAAAAGAAACTATCAAAGTGAGATTCAGCTTAAAAATAAAAACTAATTATTTCTGCCTTTTTTATAAGTCAAAACATATAGATTCTGCATTTCCAGAGATTACTAAATATACTTGAAAATATTTAAGATAAAATTATTTGGGTTATTATGATAAGAAATAGAAGGAAATGTAGCTGATTATATTTTACTGCTAATTTATCAATATTGTATTCCAGAGGATGTATGTGTGTGCACATCTGTATTAATAGATAGAGACATATATAGATAAATAGATCAATAGATGGAAAAATAGAAACAAATATAAATGTATAGATATAAATATGGAATCCTAGGTATATGTAGTAAAATAAAATTTTTATGGCAATATACATACATAATGAACACACATGTATCTATTTTATGGAATTAAGAGAAAATCAAATAATTATGAAAAATAATTGGCCAAGCCTGCAAGAGAACACCAGTGAAACTAAACAGCAATAACTTTTTAAATATTCAATAAACCAAAACAAGGAGGAGGTAGCATTACTGAATACAATGAAGAGAGACAGAAATAGGTATAATGGGGAAAACAAAGAGGAATAATTAACAGAAGCATAGAGTGGCTTTAAATGGTTATTTTCTTCACTTTTGTATTCAAAATTAAACTTTAGTGTTTGAATCGATACTTAATGTACTTCTTATATTTTTAGATATCTCTACTCGATTATTTTTAACATGTGGAGCAGAGAATTCAGCAGAAGAAGAAGTAGGAGGAGCAGGGGTATGGTAAAAGCGAGGAAAGAAAAACAAAACACTCTGCCTTACTAACTTGAACTTCTCTGAAAACAAAGGGAAATAAACAACTTCTGATATAAAGACTGTGATACTATCCTCCCCTATCATTACCTCAACTACTCAGTGGAGTCCAAATTCTCTAAGCATTATTACCTTCAAAATAGATTTCGAAGCACCTTCAAAACGGCCCATTGACTTTGAATCACTTCTGGTCAACACTGCAAGCCAGGGGATTTCTCCTCCATTCAGTAGACTACAAACACATTTCCAACAAAAAGTCTGCATCCCAGCCTTAAAGCCCATCCTTCCCTTTCCAAGTTAGTTTCCTCTTTAGGTAGTCACCTTCAGACCCAGAGTAGTCATTAGAATCCTCTTTTATTCTCTCTTAGTTATAAATAATTGATTATTAGATAGATAAGAAAATATTTATAATTATCCACGTTAAACTTTCCTGTTTAAATTATTGTTTAGTTTTTGTCTCCTGATATGACCCTTGACTAATACAGTATTACAGGTACTAGTGGCAGAAACAGGTTAGCCTATTTCTAAGGATTAAAAAAACCCACCCAATCAAAATACTTCCATTAGAAGCAGAAATACATTAGTAATATTGAAAGTATGCCATAATCATTCTTTGTATTAAATAATTATGGCTATAATTATCCACAAATTTAAAAAATTAAAAGTAATAAAATTTATTTTTAAGGATTCAGTTATTTATTCCCACCAGTCATATCAGTAGGTCCACAAAGAAGAATGTTCAGATGAAAGCATTTTCTTAACTCAGGAATAACTGTAAGGAAGCTCCTAGAATGTAATGCACTGTACATTATGCAATTTTTATGCATCATGTATGTTTCATGCACATTTTCCTTCATACATGTTGCCTAAATATAGCAAACACTCAATACAAATCTAGTTTAATAGGCATATTATAATGCAACCACAAAAATCAACCACTATACTACTTAAAGGGCTACCACTTCATTATCGAAGAACTCCAAAATGATCTATCAATTACACTAAACCAGATAAAACCACAAGGATGCTTTGTAGTAACCTTGAAATTTCTACATGTAAACAAAGCCATGCAATAATTTTTGCATGGTTTATTTTATTGTGATGAAAGCTACATTAATATTAAAGGTTTCCACCACATTTTCTCTGATGTCAGTCTAAATGCAGTAACTACTAATAATGTTATAGCAGAAAGCCATGCAGCTTAGCGTATGTTCCCGTAACATCTTCATATTTTTGTTAATTCCTTTAGCAAGTGATACCAGCTTCAAGGAAGATAAAATAAACAGTAATCCTTCCCTCAAGGAGACAAGATAATGAGAAGTCTTCATGTCATTTGAGCTCAGTCTTGAAGGCTTGTGGATGAGGACTATGAAAGGCCTTTAGGGAAATAATGAGAAATGTGATGGGGAGGGACTGATATGGCTTGGCTTTGTGTCCCCACCCAAATCTCAAATCAAAATCCCCACATGTCAAGGGAGAGACCTGATGGGATGTGACTGGGTCATGGGGGCTCTTTCCCCCATGCTGTTGTCATGATATTGAGTGAGTTCTCACAATATCTGATGGTTTTATGAGAAGCTCTTCCCCCTTCACTCACCACTCTCTCTCACCTGCCCCCATGTAAGATGTGCTACTTCCCCTTCCACCATGATTGTAAGTTTCCTGAGGCCTCCCCAGCCCTGTGGAACTGTGAGTCAATTAAACCTCCTTTCTTTATAAATTACCCAGTCTCAGGTATGTGTTTACAGCAGTGTGAAAATGGACTAATACAGAAACTAACAGATAAATTGGCAACCAGTTGTGATTTTCTTTACCCAGAATTTTTAACAGATTCAATCATCATGAAAGAAAGCAGAAAAAATAATCTACTAGACTCATCTAGGATTGAGGAGGGCAAGGCAGGAGTTGCAGAAGTTCAAAGATTCTATAACACAAATAAGAGCACCATGAAAATTAGAAACAAAGATAAGATCCTTGCTGGGGAGAGACAGAGATGATGTCCAGAGAGGACTGATGGAAGAATAAAAGAAAAGAGTAAGTTTATATAAGTAAGAAATATATGGGGTTATGGAAGTGGTAGACAAGGGAGAGATCTTAAGAGTTAAATGTCTTAGAAATCAAGCAGTGCTGAGTCATGACAAGGACCACGATGCACTCATCTTATGATTCCATTGCTTCAGCAAGTGGGCGGGTGGGGAGGAGGGCTGAGGTGCACACAGTGGACCTACTATTCAATTGTTGTACTTAACCTGATAACAACCAGTATGTGGCCAAAATCCATCAATCACCCTTGGGTTAGAAAAAGAAAAAAGGGTAGAGTTTGGAATTAGGCCAGAATAGCATAAATGTGATTTAGAATATTTAATGGAAGTTTGAGAAAAAATATTCCATAGAGGAATTAAAATACAAGTTGTATCCCTCTCTTCAGAAATTCTTTTGTCACTTTAATTGCAGAATCTCTAGAACCAAGATCGTACCTCGAAGCAAAAACACATGGGGTTATGTGGTACAAGTTCATTTTATAGTTAACATACTAAATTCACCTCTAGTTGTTTTACAGAAAAATATGTTTTTCTTCCACAACCATATCATACACTCTGTAAAGAAAAAAGTCATATTCTCCTTTTCCTCTGGACCATGGCTACTGAGGATAAAACTGTGTAGGGCACTATGAAGCAATGAAAAGAAAATGGGCTCAGAAGACAGAAAGTTCTCCATTCCAATCCCTGCACCTTTACTTCCTAGCCATGTGACCCTGAGAAAGTTACTACTCCTTTTGAAACTTAAATTTCTTCATCTAATGTAATGTTGATAATATTTATGCAATAGATCCCGTGAGCCTTTAGTGAGATAAGCACCTAGCAGAGTTCCAGGCATGAAGTAAATACTTTAAATGATTGTTAACTATTGCTGCTACCATACGAACAGACTAAGCTTAAGAAAGATTTTTTAAATCAATGTAGTTCAATATAAGCGCTAGTTTTTTAAAGAAAAATCCAGATTATCTTATAAGGTCCTTATTGCCTTCAAATTTCCAGAATGTGTCTACAAGGTGTAGCAGAAATGAATTATTTTTATGGACAGTATCATTATAGAGCAAGTCAAGGCAAATCTTCCAGATGACAAAATCTGGAGATACCTGCAGAGCAACCTCCTGTCTCATAATGGCGTGATACGGTTGATTTCAGGATGAGGCTGTGAGCCAGTGCTGCCATTTGAAGTAGACAAGGCTGGTGAGCTGCTGACCACAATAAGAGGCTCTCTCTTGTAACCTGACTCCAGAAATACCCACTCTTTTTTCCAGCTTCTCTCTTGTGTTTTTCAAATATGCCTTAGCCCTGCTTCCTTCCATTCTGAAATATAAACCCTTGCCCTCAGAAAGGACACCAGCATATTTTGCCAGACAAATAAATTAAATTCAGTTGAACCTCCATCAGTGTGTTGACCCTGTACCATCCATGATTTAAAAAAAAAAAGAGAAAGGAAAGTAACTATCTTAACATTCCAGAAGACAAATTGAAATATATAATAATATAAGAGTTTCTGGCACTCCCAGCAGCCAAATTCAAATGAAAGCATTTGTTTAACTGCATTTAGCAAAAAAAAAAAAAAAAAAAAAAACCACAAAAAGGAAGAGAGATGTGCAGAGTGTGTGTATTTCCATGGTTACTATATTTTGAGTAGCTTCAGGGTGGAATATATGAAATAATCAGTACACAGACTGTACTAAACCTATGACAGCTGAGCTTGAAAGTTAAAAAATATCCAAGAAACAGAATAATTATACAACTAAGATATCTCTACAGATATGTGTCTGGATTTACTACACTATTAAGAAAGAAAAAGGTAGAGAAAAGGAAATGAACATTTACTTCCCTACAAATTAATAATTTTCTTGCCAGTGTTACATGTACTAGAAGTAAAAGCGGATTAACCTGCTTTGTAGAGGTATTTTTAGAAACAAAATAACCAAAAAAAAAAAACTCTTCAAAGTACAAAAAATGCAACATTCATAGCAAGTAGCACAAAGAAAAGGGAATAACCCCTTTAGCTAATTAGTATTTAAAATTGACTCAATAGCAACAAAATATGACAATATGAGTCTAGACCCAGAAATTCAGTATTTTATCTAAAACTAAATCTTTTTCTTTGAAATAGAAATGGCCTACTCTTGTTACAAAAGATGAAATAATCATTTAATGCAATAGAAGAGCATCAGAACTTAACCTACTAGGCAGTTTTTCACTTGGCCAAAGTCATCTTTTAATTTCTTAACATCATTTATTTGTATAATTCTTCTTGGTAATTACGAATGTACCTTACTTGTATGCAACAGATGTGGAGGATTTTTTAAAGCCGAGTAACTTTAAAAATGTATAAATTATATTATGTTTGCAATACCTCAGGAAGATTTCCTACTACTTAAAGAGATCCTTTTAGAATAAAAAATCATCTATGGAATTAAAAACATAAAATAACCCCAATTCTGTCATTTATATAAATCACATAGTTTGGGAGGTTTTAAGTTGCATCTCTCAAGACTGCCAATTAGTAGAAGAATTTCAAATATTCAGATTTAATTATAGCTCTGAAGTATTCTCTGGAATATTTCTATTAAATATATACAAGATAAAATGTGTGAGAAAGCAGAAATGATAAAAGGATTTTTAAAATTTTAAAATGGCAATGTGTACAGGTGAGGCATGCAAACACATATATTATGAATAGTCTTAGAGAGAACAGACAGGTTATAACCATCACAGTGTCTGGGACAACATATGCATTCTACAGTTAAAACAACAGAGCAGGCCGGGCATGGCAGCTCACACGTATAATCCCAACACTTTGGGAGGCCAAGGGGGGTGGATTGTTCGAACCCAGGAGGTCGAGACCACCCTGGGCAACATGGCAAAACCCCAGCTCTACAAAACATACAAAAATTAGCTCGGTGTAGTGGCACGTGTCTGTAGTTCCAGCTACTTGGGAGACTGAGGTGAGAGGATGACCTGAGCCTGGGAGATCGAGGCTACAGTGAGCTGAAATTGTACCACTGCACTCAAACCCAGGTGATAGAGTGAGACTCTGTCTCAAAAACAATAAAACAACAGGAGGGGTACACAGTGACGAAAGCCATCTGGAGAAGGATATTGGGATGTGCCTAGACAAGGCAACCCAAATCTGGAAGAAATATAAACATCACAAAAATCACAAGCGGGTAAGATGAACAATGCACTATTTACGTCTGAATCAAATTGGCTTGTATATTTTTAGTTGATAATTCAAATCAGAAAAAAAAGTTTTAAAAAAATCGTCCAATGAATTATTGGTCAAATGGAGTTTTACAGCTGACCATGTTCTTTAAATAGAGAAATCATGTAAAACAGTTATTGAAATAATTGAAATCAAAGAATTTTTGAGATAGTTATTGATTGATTCCAAAATTTGTTTTATTGTATTGGAAAACCGACAAAACATTTTTTATTAAAAAGTTATTTCCAAAGAAATGCCTTCTAAAAACTAAAAATAGCATGTTTTTTACATTAAAGTGATATTTTGAAAAATTATATTGATTATTTGAAAGTGGCTTTGAAATTCTTAGCACATCACTTGCCCCAAGTGTAGCAGATAGAAAGAGGTGAGAAGACCAAGGAGGTCTTTCCTTCCTAAGTGACTGGAGATTTAAAAGAACCATTCAGAAAGCTTGCCATATGTTCCCTGGAGTTTGAGGACAGTTTCTGACCCATACCAGAAAAAGATAAAAGGTAAGAAGACAGCTAGGGTAACGTGTGGTAAGTATACTGGGAACAGACTTTGCTTCCACAATTTGGAAAGCCAAGAAGTTTGTGTTCCATCAGCAAAAGAGGACTGTGAAAAATAGCCAAGTCTGAGTCACAGAAAAGTGTCTCAGATAAGAGCATCGATTCTGCAGTGGTGTGGGGTGCAGCTGGAGGACTAAGGGGAGAATCATAGGCAGCTGCTAGCTGGAGAAGATGTTGTCTGTCAGCAGACTACAAGAGGAAGAGCCACTAGCAATGGGAATAGGGAAAAACCTCAGAAGAAATGACAGGAGTGTCCCACAGGAAAGAAACCTGCATTTGGAAATCTGCTATATACAGGGAGCAAAAACACTGATTCTTATCTCTAAACTTCACCCCTAGGCCTATCCGTGGATGAGACTAGAACCAGCATCTAGAAGGAGAACAGGAGATAAAGCAAGAAAAAAGATCTACCCTCCACACTTTTCATACAAGTTTTAAAGCCTGAGTCAAAGCAAAACTAAAGAATGTTTTAATTCAAAATTATTGAAGTTTTGGTAATAAAATTGTCTGGACTTTTTAATACCTGAAAATGACTAGAAAATCCATTGTCTCTGCCCAAGATTTTTTTTCTTTATTTCTTCTAAGAAAAAAAAAAAAACAGGATACATAAGCAGAATGTGCAGATTTGTTACATAGGTATCGTGAGCCATGGTGGCTTGCTACACCTATTGACCCATCCTCTAAGTTCCCTCCCCTCAACCCCTGCAACAGGCCCTAGTATGTGCTGTTGCCCTCTCTGTGTCCATGTGTTCTCAGTGTTCAACTCCCACTTATGAGAACATGTGGTGTTTGGTTTCCTGTTCCTGTGTTAGTTTGATGAGGATGATGGCTTCCAGCTTCATCCATGTCCTTGCAAAAGATATGATCTCATTCCTTTTCATGGCTGCATATATGTGTATATGTACTACATTTTCTTCATCCAGTGTATCACTGATGGGCATTTGGGTTGGTTCCATGTCTTTGTTATTGTAAATAGTGCTGCAGTAAACATATGTGTGCATGTGTCTCTATAGTAGAATGATTTATATTCCTTTGGGTATATACCCAGTAATGGGATTGCTGGGTCAAATGGCATTTTTGGTTCTATATCCTTGAGGAATTGCCATACTGTTTTCCACAATGGTTGAACTAATTTACATTCCCACCAACAGCATAAAAGTGTTTCTATTTCTCCACAGCCTCGCCAGCATCTATTGTTTCCTGACTTTTTAATAATCACCATTCTGACTGGTATGAGATGGTATCTCATTGTGGTTATGATTTGCATTTCTCTGATGATCAGTGATATTGAGCTTTTCTTCAGATATTTATGGCTGCATAAATGTCTTCTTTTGAGAATGTCTTTTCATATCATTTGCCTACTTTTTGATGGGGTTGTTTGTTTTTTTCTTGTAAATATGTTTAAGTTCCTTATATATTCTGGGTATTAGACCTTTTTCAGATGAGTAGATTGCAAAAAATTCCTCCAATCCTGTAGGTTGCCTGTTCACTCTGATGACAGTTTCTTTTGCTGTTCTGCCCAAGATTTCATTTAGCAGCTGGGATGAACAGTTCTGCATAATGGATTTAAAGATTAAGAAAGCAGTACTGAGATAACAATAAAAATAGTAAATTATTATTATTATAATGTTTATCTGGCTTCATACTGACTCATAGTCATTAAACCAATTATATATTAAAGTTTATTAAAATATTAAAGAGTTATTAATGACCAGGGCTTTTCCCCTCAAATCTTTTCTTAAGATCACTATTTCTCAGATTGGGGCACTTGTATCCCTAGGAGGTATGGCAGTATGTCAGAGTACACAAGCAAAGTCATAAGATTGTGACTTTGAAACAAAGAAATGATCATTTGTATCCAGGGAAGAATAGATTAGAAAAGAAACTCAGTGTGTGTCAGAGCCAAAGTGTGATAGAAGAAAAGTTTCTGAACATAATAGGAGAAACTAGTTCATGAAGCACTCCTGGCTAAGAATTTCACCGGTTCTTTGATGGAAATGTTTGGAAATTTAACATGAGAATCATATTATATATTATGACATTTCATGATGTCTATAAATATGTCACTTAGTTAAACTATTACACAACACTAATTCTCTACTGTTTGTTTAGCCATTTTTATTTAATATTTTTATTATCTATATAAAGTTGCAAACCAAAAAAATTTTCTCATATATTAATAAATAAACAATTATATTAAAGTCAAGATTCTAGTATCTTTTGTGGGCAAAGCCGATACAACACAACTCCTGAAAATGGCTTCTAAAAATACACCAATTAAGAGAGCTAAATGGGGGAGGGAGTCTCTGATAACAATGTTGGTTATAAGTTTTGTCTTCGATTAATACCTTAGCTGCAAATCTTTGACAATGATAGACAAAATATCTCAAGAGCAATCTGAACATAGTCCAGCTCTGAAGCAAAATAAACATCTTTATGGAGCAGAAACAAACACAAAGTTGAAGGGACAAAGCCACAGGTCTGTGAGAGTTGGAAAATGGAAGCAGCAAGTGTTGGACAAGAGTTCACTGCTACACGACAACAGGCTAACTGGAGACAGGAGTTCTAAGTGAGATGAGGGGCAAGGACCAAGCTGACTGCATGAAGTCAGTGCTCCCTGCCTTTGCCCAAGGGAAGATGGAAAAACTATTGCTAGTCCCTGCCTACACTAAGGTTTTTGAGAAGTGAAAGGACAAGGACATATAATTTTAATCAGAAACTAAATATATGCAATATCCTTAATATCACTAGACAATGTATGCTCTGAGCCACCATTATAAGTAAGACCTGGTTCGAGGCTGGGGACAGATGCCTGAGTGAAGTGTCTGACTTCCAAACTACTTGACAGCCATTTAGTTTGACAAGCTGGGGGATAAATTTGGGATGGATTTGAGGAGGA